>NC_000001.11:46523531-46826562 GCF_000001405.40 Homo sapiens
AAGTGCTGGGATTACAGGTGTGAGCCACCATGCCCAGCCCTCTGTCCCTATTTTTTTTTTAAGTGGGGCTTTGGACAACTTCTGAGCCTGATTTAAGCGCCCCACCCTGCTGGGTTGGGTGGAAGCCATAGATACATAGAAGAATAACTGAAAAAGCAGTCATTCTTCTGTCTGCCTTGTTACCTCCCTCTCCCACACTCCAGCCACCAGGGGCCTGCAGAGCCCAGGAGGATGGACAAGGTGTGGGGGAGAGGTCGCCTACTAAAGAGCCAGGCCTGTTGAAGTCTGGCCATTTCTGCTTCAGTTTCTCAGAATAGACATTCTCACCGGTCTCTAGTTCGGCTTCCATCCGGGGAGGAATCACTGATACCCAGCTCCTATCCACAAGCCTGAAGGGGTGGGCAGCTCACTACCTTCCAGGGCAGCCTACGCCAGGGCTGTTGGAAAGTTCTTCTTCATGTTGTCTGAAATCTGCCACCCAGTAGCCTCCTTATCAGGCCTGGCTTGGCCTGGGAGCCACACAGAACATGTCTATTCATGCTGTTGTGGAGTGTGTCACCCAGCTGGCGTGGCACCTCACACACTCACCGTGCCCTCTCCCCGGATACCTCTGCTCTGCCGGTCCCTCCTCCTGGGGACAGGCTTCACTCTTCAGAGCCCAGCCACATGCCACCTGCTCCAGGAAGACTTGCCAGATTATCACAGGGGAGGGAGATGCCCCTCCTCCTCTTGATGCCTCTGACCACTATATACAGTTCTCAACCACTGCCAGATGGGGCTCCCTGGGCAGAAGCTGGCATGGCATACAGCCTGGTATGGAGTTTGTGTTCAACCAGTACTGAACTTGTTAAATTAACTGGGAAGAGCATGTGAGGGACAAGCTCTGCTGAGGACCTCAGGGAACCAGGCTTCTGTCTGGGCCCTGCCATGGCTTTGCAGTACACTTGGGCAAGCCCTGGCTTTTTCTGGGCCTCTGTCTCCTGTGTAGAGGTTGGTCAGGGTGGTCCATACAGGTGCCTTTCTCAGGCAGCCTTGGTTTCCAAGAGTCTTGCTGGGTTTTGTCTTCCATGTGATATCATCCTGTGTCCTCAATTGTTCCATTCAGAGCTTCTTCCCATGCTGGGTCCTCCTGGCTGGGGGTGCAGATGGGGCTTAGAGGTCATCAGAGGGCAAAGGCACAGCAGCCTGGGGCAGTGGAGTGAGCGGATCTCCTGGGACAGCACCCAAGGACAGGTGGACCCTCTGTCCTTGCAGGCCTTCTCACTTTTCCTGCCTGCCTCCCTCATGCCATCTTTAAGAGATGAGGCTAGGTCCAAGGCAGCGGCCATGCCACAGCCTCCTGTCTCTTCCAGAGGACATGGCTCTGTCCTGGCACAGTCTCCTAGTTCTCGGCATCAACATCCAGAGTTTAGGGACCATGTCCCAGTCTCTGTGAGGTGGATGGGAAGTCAACATTAGTTGACTGAGCACCACCTGCGTGGAAGATGCAGCCCCCCCCCCCCCATCACTGGGAATACAGTGCTGAGCAGGACAGCACCTGATGTGCGAGGGGGAAGACAGACAACAAATACATAAGCAATGGAATGTACCTTTGGCAGGCCGATTAAAGGTTATGAAGACACTGTGACCAGGAGTGAGGTGGGGGCTCAATGCATGGCTGGAGGAGACAGATGGAATGACTAGACCAAGAGTGAGGCCAAGATGACCAGGCAGTGCAACTGCCAGGTGGACAGATGTGAGGAAAGAGGCTGGCCCAGGCCCGGAGGCAGGACTGAAGGCTCCTGGGGGAAGGAATGGGGTGGGGAGGTGCGATCTATTACGCTGATGACTCTGGGCCCTAATCCTGTGCCAGGCCCGGCGGGTAATGTGTGTGTAGGGGGAGGGTAGCACCCCCGCTGGGGTGTAATTTCACGCTGAAGGGCCTGATGGGGCGTCCCAGGGACTGATCCTTTCTGGATCAGAAAACCCACTTCCCTTTGTCGCATGCATGGCGATTAGCACCTTAACCCTTTGTGGGCTGGCCCAGGGCCAGCCCTGCCCCATCTCACCTCCAGCCCCTTGGGATCTTAGCCCAGAGCCCTTTGCCTTCAATCCAGCCAACTCCCCAACCTGGTCTTGTCTGCAGGGTGCAGGGAGGGAGAAGCTGTTGACTGAGGAAAGCCAGGGGCTGGATTCTCAACTCCTGTCTGTGTCCCTGTTCCCTGGCACCCAGCTCCCCGAGGCCCTTGTGCCCCCAGAGAAGTGAGCTCACCATGCCATCTTTTCAGGTTCCTGTTACAGCTTGGATCAAGTCCAGTTGCCTTCAGCAAGCCTGGGATCTAGTCTAATCCACTGCCTCGTTTGGGGATACCCCAACTCACAGCCTTCCCACATCCGCTGTGATGGGGAGCTCACTACCTGCTGGCAACACAGCCAGTACCTTCCATTCCCACTAACCTCTCATGGGGAATGAACATTGACCCCAGGAGGCCAGGACCATACTTCCAGCAACATCTCAGAGACGTCCCTGGCCACTTTGTCCGACAGCAGCATTCCAGGACTGGGTAGGTCGTCACAGTCCCCTGCATCCATCCCCTCTTTTGCTCATGTACACTGATTCTTTTCAAAGATTCACCAGGAAGTTGTCTCAGCTTCTTTGGCTCCAATGATGTTGTCCCCTTCCCTTGGGGAAGTCCCCTTGGTCCTCCCAAGGCTAACTGCAATGCATCCCTGGGGCGGCTCCGGCAAGTTCTCCCCTCGGGAGCTCCCCTAGGGTGGGGGAGAAGGCAGGGACCAGGCTGGGCCTCCCCTAAGCTCCCTGGGTCTCTAAAACCCTAGCTCCATTAAAAGAAAGCCCCTAAATGTTATTTACACTTTGGAGTCTTAAAAACCATTAACAAAAGCCACTTAATTCAATTATCTTCCCGGCTGGCTCAGTTCTCAGCTCTGAGCGCCAGCCTCCCCTTGTTGCACCCCCACCCTGCCTGTCCCCCCACCACTGTCATTGTGTCGGGCTAATGAGGTAAACTGAAGCGAGCCCTGTCCCCCCTGACAGGTTTATGAGAATTTAATAAAGCGTGGCCGGGACCAAATGAGTTGCCTCAGCCTCGGAGAGCTCATTGTCTTTGGCGTCAGCGTTTTTTGACTCGAGCTGCCCCCATCCTCCGCCCCAGCTCCTCCCTGGCTCGGCCCCCACCCCCGCCCTTGGTGCCTCCCTAGGTGAGCCTGGAGGCCAGTGGGCCCTGCAGCGGGAGGGCACCCAGGCTGAACCCTGGGGATGGCAGAAATTAAGTTGGTCAGTGTGCCCTGGGGAGGGACTATGCTGTCCTTTGCCCTCACCTACCACACCTTCACAAGCTGCAGACTCCAGGAACATACTCGGGCCTCGGGGACTTCCCACACAACTGCCTCATGCTCCTATGTCTTGGCCGCTGTCAACCTGAGGCCCTGCTGGAGCCGCCTTGAGCCTGATTCACCTTTTCTCGCCTGTTTGGAGCAAGCAGCCAAAGTGAGCTCCCAGAGGGAGGGGCTTCTCTTCCGGCCAGGGCACAGGTTGGGGGCATGGGGCCTTCAGTCTGGCCTGGTTCCACCCCTTGCATGGAATGTCCCTCCTTATTTTCCTGGAAAGCTAGCAAGGGGTGGAGCACAGACCGTGGAGCAGAAGGGAGTCCGAAGTGCAGATGAAGAGGCTGCCAGTCGGGAGGCTCCCCAGATGGACAGGCAGGCAGAAGAGGCCCCGCCCCCACGGCTGTGGGGATACCTTGAGAAGGTACCCAGCTGCCCTTCTTCCCTCATGTCCTGGGCAACCTAGAACCAGCCTTTCTCTGCCTGGCCTCTTAGGGGTCCAAGGCCGAGGAGTTTCTGGACCATTTGGAGACCCAGAATTCCTTCTCTCCCCAACAAAAGTGTTTCCAGGAATTACTTCCTTCTGAGACTAAAGCTTGGCCTGACACAAGAGCCTCTTCTGGAAGGTCCTTAACTCATTGGGGTGTTGGAAGGCAAGTCTTAGGGATCAAGGCCAGTTTGTGACCATGATAAAAGCTCAGTTGTTGTCCAGGGTCAGGATTCAATGCATATGGATCAGGGTCAGAGTTCAGGTTGGCACCAGATTCAGGGTCAGGCTCAGTGATCAGAGTGAGAGTTCAGTGTATGGACCAGGGTCAGCGCTATCTGTTCCCAGGGTCAGGGCTCAGTCTATGGCCTGAATAAGGGCTAATGTGTGTCCATGATCAGTCTGCATGCAAGTCAGGTTCACTATATGGTAATTGTCAGGGTTTAGTTTATGGACTGGGGTCAGAGCTCAGTCTGGGATCAAGGTCAGTGTTTGATGAATGGACAGGCAGGGTCAGAGCTCAGAGTGTGACTAGGGTCAAGTTCAGTCTATGATTAAGGTCAGGACACAGTATGGACTGGGGTGAGGTTTCAGTCTAACATCAAGGTCAGGGTTTAGTCTATAAGCAGTCTCAGGACTTATCTGTGACCTTGATAAAGGCTAAGTTTCTGTCCAGGATCCAGGCTCTCTCTGTAATAAGGTCAGGTTCCAGGGTTGGATGAGTCACTTAGTAAATCTGAGTGACCTAACTCCCCCTCTTCCCCCATTTCTTAGGGCCTTGGACCTCAGAAGAGGAAAAGGCAAAATTGTGCAGTCTGGTTGGGCTGAGTGGTGTCTATCTCCTGCCATGTGCCCGGGGTGCCCTCTGGTGGCAGTCCCCAACAGTGCCGATTTCCTCAGGCTTGGTCCCTCCATCTGGCCATCTCCTGCTTTGGGGAGCCTGGCCCTCAGGCTGGTCCTTTGGCGCTGATCTAGTCAACCCTTCCTTCCCGTGCCATCCCACCTCCCCACAGAGAAATAGAAAACTGTGCAATTGGTTAGGGGAACTCTCAGACATATGAAATCTTCTCCCTTCCTGCCCAGAGTTAGGCATCTTGACAAACCCGTATTACTCGGGACCTGGAATCTCAGCTGTGCGATGAGATCCACACCTTTTCCTTCCTCCTTCAGTCCACAGGTGCTTATTGAGCACCTACCTTGTGCCAGGTGGGCACCGAAGGTACAGCTGTGAACAAGTCAGAATCTGGCCTCTTCGTGCTCACATTCCACTTCTCCCTAATCCCCCACTCCTAGTCCACAGTTCTCATCAGAAGGCTCCTGGCATCACAGAAGGCTGAGTGGGATTCAGAAGTCAGCAGCATGGGCTCCCTGCTCCCCCTGGAGTCTGCAGTTAGACTATTCTATCTTCCGGGTTCTCTGTCTTCCTGTCTCCTTGGAGTTTCACCACCACCCACATGCCGACAGCTTCTACGTCTCCATCCCAGCGCCTCCTCTTCCAGAACTCAGAGCTGTGGCTCCAGTTTCTGTGGGACAGTCCCTCTGGGCTAACAGGTCTTTTGCCTTACCAGGATGTCCCTTTTTTCCCAAATCCAGATCCTCCACCATACACCCTGGTGCTCAAACCAAAATTTTAGAACTTCCTCAGGATTCTTCTCTTTCATGCCCCCAAAACTCCCCCAAGAGGTGCAGAATCTGTCTACTCCAAGCAACCACCCTAGTCCCAGTGCCCATATGTCTCACTGCTGTGACCTCCTAGCCTGCCCCTCCTAGCCTTGCTTTCCCTCTTGCCCCTCGCCACTCTGTTACTTCCACACAGCAGGTGGAGCAGTCTTTACCATCATAAATCAGATCATGTCACTTCCCTGCTTAAAACCCTCCAGTGGGTCCCATCTCACCAAGAATCAAATCCCAACTCCTCACCCGGGCTTACTAAGCCCTCCATGAGCTAAGCAATACCCCCTCCCCGCCTCTCCAGCTTCATCTTCCATCTGTGTCTCAACAGCCTTTCTTTCTTGTTCTGACACACAGAGGCCAGTTCATTCTCACCTTAGGGCTTGGCACTGGCTGTTTCCTGAGCTTGAAATGTTCCTGCTCTAGACCTTTGCATGGCTGACTCACCATTCAGAGCCCAGCTTAAATGCCACCTCTTCAGAGAAAAACCCCCAACCATCCGACAAGTGCCTCTATCTATCACAACATCCTATTGTAATTTTCTGTGTAGTGCTGTTCACTAGCTAAGCTTTTTTGGTCTCATTTGCTCACTTATTTAATTCTTTATTGTCTGTCTCCTCCAAATAGAATGTGAGCTCCCTGAGAGCTTGTTCATCATTATATTCCCTCATAGCAGGGAACATAGCAGGGCTCAGGAATTCTTAAATTAATTAGTAAAAAAAAACGATTCTAAGGCTGGGCACAGTGGCTCACACTTATAATCCCAGCACTTTGGGAGGCCCAGGTGAGAGGACTGCTTGAGCCCAGGGGTTCAATATCAGCCTGGGCAACATAGTGAGACCCTGTCTCTACAAAAAATACAAAAAATTAGCCGGGCATGGTGGGGTGTGCTGGTAGTCCCAGCTACTTGGGAGGCTGAGGTGGGAAGATCACTTGAGCCTGGGAGGTTGAGGCTGCAGTGAGCTGTGATTGTGCCACTGCACACCAGCCTCGGCAACAGAGAGAGATCCTATCTCAAGATAATAATACAAAGAGGTTCTAAGTGGCTGCCCTCATTTCTCCTAGAGGGAGAAGCATGGGGGAAACCTCATTTCCCTTAATGAGCTGCCTTGTCCGGGCCAGCAGTAGTTTCCTTGGGGAGGCAGGGGCCACTCACCACGTGTAGCACCCTAAAGCCCCCCCGCCCCCAGGCCCTGGGGAGTACCCCTCCTTTAGAAGGACCAGCTCTGTGTCCTCTACCACAGTCCCTGTGCCTCTGAGGATAGGCCCTACTGCCTCAATTCTGAGGCTTTCAGGGCCTAGGGTGGGAGTGGAAGGTTTTACCCTCCTTCCAGGGCCGGTCTGCAGCATCCCTGCAGGAACTACTGGTCCCTGCTCAAATTCCCCAAGGTCAGGGAGCTTGATGCTTCTGTGCTGTCAGAATCATGTCCTCTCCTCAACAGAAACCTGCCTCCCAGAGGCCCTTTCAGGGCCTGAAGCCTGCCTGGGAGGGGCCTGCAGAGGTGTGAGACAGAGCACACCCTCCAGCCTCACCATGTGTAGGAGAGTGGGGCTTCCCTAGGGCCTCGCTGGCCATATTGCCCTAGAGGGGCCTGTCCCTGGGTGTCACCCAGGGAAGGGGTGTGAAGTGAGGAGTCCCCACGGTGGCAGACTGGAGCTGTTGGGAAGGTGAGCCCTGGGGCACTGGATCTGGAAAATCTCTTCTGGTGTGCCCGTGGAGGAAGCGGGGCAGAGAAAAGACAAATGATGACCTTCAGCTGGGGGTGTAAGTGGAAGGGACTCCAGGGAGCCAATGTCCCGCCTTCCCTGATCCATTCTACCCACACCATTGATCCATGTCCCACTGCCCTGAGTTTTTATCGTAGGCTCACTCTTCCTCTGCAGCAGCCAGGCTTGCAGAACAGGATCTGGAAGTCTTGTGGGGGAACAGGAAAGAGAATGTAATTCCAGGCATCTAACAGCAGGTGGGAGAGGGGTTCGGCTGAGCCTAGCATTGCAGGGCTAGAATCCTAAGGTGGTAGGAGAAGGGTGGTTCTGACCACACCCCAAGGCTGCATCAGCGGTGGCCCCTCTCACCTACTGCTCTACCACAGCAGCAGGTGGCATCTAAAGCTGCAGACCAATGCACCAGAAGAGACAGGACTGGAGCCTGGGGAAGTGGCCTTCCTTACACACATACAGGGTGGGGTTGGGGAGCTCAGAGAATAGGTCATCAGCTGTAGGTACTGGGAGCTTCAAAGGTTAAGGCCCATTGACACGTGCAAATTAATAGAGATGGCCTGCTCAGCACCTGCTCAGGCAGACTTGCTCTTCTCTAGGTCAGTGGGAGAGGAGACAGCAGGAGAGACAGAGGTGGAGATGGCGCCAGAGGAAGGAAGAGCCCAGGGCTGGTGGGAAGTGTCTGGGTCATGGCAGAGTAGTAGCAAAGCCTGTCTTGGAAACAGAAAGGGAGGCTGGTGATGAAGCCAGGAGTGGATGGGCAGGGAGTCATAGCCAGCCGGGGGCAGTGGGTCAGCATGTGCCCCAGTCACTGCTTGCCTAGGTACCTGCATGGAGACGAAGGGCTGGCCCAGAGTTGCAGTGTCTCCTCCTCAGTCCCCTGACCCCTTTTCTTTTTTGCAAGGCAGCCCCTATTCCTCTACTTGGCCCCCTCACCTACCCCCTCACCTGGACGAACCACAGGCCGGGCCCAAACTCGGCAAGTCCAGCTAGCTTGGGCAGTGTCTGGGCTTTGCACAGCCCCGTGGAGCACTTCTCCCCTCACCCTGCTCAGTGACCATGCCCTCAACCACTACTGCTGCCCTCACACCTCCACATGCATGTGTGATGTCAGACTGTTACCCAAACGCTGCCACTCCCCACCTCTTACAGGAGCCAGGCAATCACACCCACAGTCACACTCCTATGTTCATCCAGTCCCCCAATCTGACCCATCTGTTCCCACATTCATGGGCACACAGTCTTAGATACAGTCTTTTACTCATAGTCACACACTCCTCTCCCTTGAAGCCGCCTTCTAGGTCTCCAGGAGGGGCTGGTACCAGGATGCTCAGGCACTCAGCCACAGGCTGGGAGGGCCCCAGAACCCAGGGTGCTTAGCCAGAGGCCCCACAGCCACCCCTCCCTCCCGGCCTGCACTGTCACAGAGGACTGACTCCAAAGGTGCTTTATTGAGGAGTAAGGCACTGCAGGAATGCATGGTGTGCCACAGTCAGGGTGGGTGGGGGCCAGCATTGCTGGCAGTGAAAGTCACACTAGGACTTTCAGGGCTGCAGAAGCTCCCTCACCACTCACCTCTGTCAGGGCCCCAGTCTCAGCTACTCTTGCTCTTAGTCAGACAGAAAGGGTGGGGAGTGCTCACCCCGGCCCTAATTCTAGGGACCATCCTGGCCCAAGTCAGAGCCACGGCTTCTCAGCCAAATGAATCCCAAAGGTCATGTTGGGGTAGAAACAAGGAAGGTGGGGAGGGGCAGGAGAGGGGACTGGAAGCCTTTCACGGTGTGTGCAAGGACAGAGACAGCCCAGGCTGACATTCAACCCTTCTCCCTCTCTTCCTCCCACCTCACTGGGGGGACTGCTGGTGGTTAGCCCCTTCAGGGTGGGTGCTCCTTGGTTCACAGTGCCCAAATGCCAGGGGGAGGTGGCAGTGTCAGGGTTCCAGGGTCCAGGGGCCTACTTTCAGCAAGCTGGATGGGTAAGGTTTACTAGAGACCAGAGACCCTGTCTAAGGGGCCAAGGCTCTGCTGCTCCCTTCTTTGGGGTGTGACCCCTGACACCATCACCACATTCTACCCAGGAGTTTGGGAGATGGAAAAGATGAGGCCACCTGAGCCCAGCACCAGACCCTTGTAAAAAAGAAAGGAAGGAAGGAAGAAAAGGTTTTCTTTTTTCTTTTTCTTTTCTTTCTTTTCCCCCCTTAAATGGCACTGAAGGAAGGGGAATGAACCCGGACAGCGGAGTCACGGCGGGGCCCTGGTCCGCTAGGGGGCGGCGCGCGCCCGGGGTGGGTTGAGCTGGACTCCTTCCGAGCGCAGCGCGCAGACGGCCGCGGGCGCCGGGGCCTCCAGGGCGAGGGGGCTGGGGCCGGGGCTGGAGCAGCCGGAGGACGCGGCGGAGACGGCAGGGCTGAGCTGCACGGCCGTGGTGTCCTGTGCCGTGGGCTCGCTGCTCTCCATCTCCAGCGCCACGGGCCCGGCGCGGCCGCCACCCTGGCCCGGGCCCGCCGCGGCCGCCGAGCGCCCACGGGGCGCGAGGCCCCGGCGGCTACACACGCAGCAGGCCGCGAAGAAGCCGAGCGCCAGCACCAGCAGCGCCAGCCCCACGACGAGCAGCGCGTTGTGCTCGGGCAAGAAGGAGGCGAAGGCGCCTGCCAGCGTCACGTTCACGCCCGCCAGCAGCGCGCACAGACCGCAGGCGCAGCACAGCGCCGGCGACGGCAGGCCGGGCACCCGGCCCCGGGCGCGTTCCGCGGGCGCCGGGACCGGTGGCCCCTCGCTCTTTTCTGCCGGCGGCATCGGCCTGCGCACGCCAGGCACGCATCAAGCTCCCTCCTGCCGCCGGCCCGGAACAGCCCAACTGCCAGGAGCCTCCTCACGCTGGTCCTGTGGGCAACTGCCAGGAGCCTCCTCACGCTGGTCCTGTGGGCACACAGCAAGAGGGCGGCGTCAGCAGGGTATCTTGACCTCCAGTCCTAGGCTCCGTCTGTAGCTACACTGAGTGCCTGGGTGGGCAGAGGTCATCTTGGCCAGCCCCCTGCCTCTGCCTCTGGGAAGCAACAAACCATCCCATATGTGAAGAATCGACTTGTTTCCCCACCTAGTTCCGGGGGTCCCTCGTGGCCAATCTTGCCATCCTCCCTCTCTCCTCACTTTTTTGTCCTCCAAACAGACGCTGCCCCTCCAACCCCTCTCCTCCAGGAAGCCTACCTGAACTCATTTGAGTGAGATAGTGGCTGGAAAGTGCTCAGCACAGTGTCCAGTTCAGCTTAGGTGCTCATCACATGATAATCATCGTCTTCAGTAGTCCTAACTAGTAAGGCAAATGGCAGCTCTTGGGATTTAGGCAACTCACTCTCTCAAGTGGAAGAGGCCTTGGAAATCATCTGACCTTGCCCCCCACCCCCACCCCCTTATTCAGATGAAGAAACCGAGGCTCCCAGAGGTCTAGCAGTTTATCCAAGATCCAGAACCAGGACCCAAATGACCATGCCACTTGGCCTCAGTATCCCCACCCTAGACTCCGGTAGGCATAGCAATGACACTGACTCTCCTGAACATCAGATGAGGCCCTGGAGTGAGTGGCCACGTGAGAGTGAGGAGCTCCTGATGGTTCAGACGGTCAGTGAGAGGGCACAGTCCCCACATCGGCTGGCTTGGGCTGGAGCAGATCTAAAGCACCAGGGCCCTTTCTAGACTGGGCATTCTATTAAATTCCAATCCTACCTCCATTCCACTCCCCATTGTTTTACTGTTGAACCTGGATTCAAAAGCCTAATTGCTGGATGCTAGAATTCCTTTCTAGGATTCTCTAGATGTCTCTGGTTCTGGGATCTATCACTGGATTCTAGAATTCTGGAAATGCATGCAGAAACAAGAGTAATAAAATTAGAGTCTAGGGATTTATGATTTCTATTTGAGAATTCTGTTCTATAACGCATAAGATCATAGTTGGTACAAAGGCCCTCAAAGGACGAGATCTTAGCTAGTGAGCTGTGTTAGAATTGTGGGGAAAAAATGCCAGAAAAGGGTCCTGGATGGGGATGAAAGGGAAGTAATCAGATGGTACCGCGGGTCTGAGGGGAGCATGCAGGGTGAGGAGCAGTGAGTGAGTGTGACCTTCACAGGGGGCCTGACTCTCCTGCTTCCATCTTCTCTTCTGTAATGTGGGGCTAATCATAGAACCCACCTCATAGGGTACAGTGATAATTAAATACTTTAAGCTAAATAAAGCGCTTAGAACAGTGAGTATTTAATAAATGTTAACCATGCCCTTGTGGTGCTGGTTGACAGAGAAGGGAGTCATGAAGTCTCAAATCTGGGAGGTTGGTCATGTTGGTTTTGGAAACAGAAAAGTTGGGCTGTCTCCCAGGTGGAGGTACCTTTCTGAGTGTCCAAACCCTATACCCAGTGGAGATGGAGAAAGCTTGATGACTGAGTGAAAATGAAGGCTAGTGTCAGATCCTTCACTTGCAACACACAGGATGCGCAGGTCAGAGGACTTGAAAGGCCACCTCCAGGCCTGTCCAGAGCTGATGACTCCAGGGCTCCCTCTCCTGGCACCATGCTGAGAGGTGGCAGCCCTACTGAGACTCTAGCCAGAATCACCTTGTTGCCGTACCAAGCTGGCAGGAAGTCAGAAATCCCCAAATCTTAGCAAAGAAAGCACATGTTGACCCTTGAGGGCATCTACAGACCACAGATTCCTGAGGAAGCTCCTCATCTGCATGAACATTTGCTCTCTAACCTGCTGCTGATGGTCCTGCCAGGCAGGGATAGCAACCACTAAAAGGGTACAGCAGTTTACAGTTTGCAAAGCACTTTTACATCTATGACATCACAATCTACTACTGCTTGATGCCTATTAATAGCCATATTTTGGCTGGGCTTGGTGGCTCACACCTGTAATCCCAGCACTTTGGGAGGCTGAGGCAGGCAGATCACTTGAGCTTGGGAGTTTGTGACCAGCCTGGGCAACATGGCAAAACCCTGCATCTATTTATTTTTTTTTATGAATAAAAAAAATTAAAAAAAATGTTTTTAATAGCCACATTTTGCAACTGAGGAGACTGAGGCTCAGAGAGGGAAGTGGATTGGGGCTCTGGTGGCTGGACTAAAAGGAAGAATAGACATTCTGAGACCAGAGTCAGAAAACAGATGAGCTGGCTCACACCCCACACAATCTTGCTTAATTTTAAAGAGAAGGATTTGATCCTCGGAGGGGCTGTGAGATTCCCAAATCTTCCCCTTTCAAGCCTCTCCCCAACCTCATTCATCAACATCTGACATAATCTGAAAAAGGCAGGGGTTCCCTTCCTGTGGGGAGGGCTCAGTATGAGGGTGCCCCGATGGAGAGGAGGGAGTCTGGTTCACCTCACTTCACATCAGCCTCCTGGAAGCTGACACTGGATGAGGGTCAGGAAGGCCCTGCGGGCTGGAGAGTCCAGGGATCTTGCCTCTCCTTTTTTTTTTTTTTTTTTTTTGAGATAGAGTCTTGCACTGTCACTTGGGCTGGAGTGCAGTGGCGCAGTCTCAGCTTACTGCAACCTCCGACTCCTGGGTTCAAGTGATTCTCTTGCCTCAGCCTACTGAGTAGCTGGGATTACAGGCACCCAACACCATGCCCAGATAATTTTTTTTTTTTTTAGTAGAGACGGGGTTTCACCATGTTAGCCAGGCTGATCTCGAACTCCTGGCCTCGTGATCCACCTGCCTCAGCCTCCCAAAGTGCTGGGATTACAGGTGTGAGCCACTGCGCCCGGCCAAGATCTTGCTTCTTTTCCCATACGGGGAAGACTCTCCTTTGCCTTTAGGTTTTAGCAGTTTTACTGTGATGTGCCTAAGTGAGTTTTTCTTTGTATTTATCCTTCTTTGTAGATATTTGCTTTGTATGTATCCTTCCTGGTGCTTCTACAATCTGTGGCTGCATCATATCACCCCACAGTTCAGGAAACATGTCAGCTCTTATCTTTTCCCCATTCTCTTTCTCCTCTCCTTCTGGGACCTTCATTGCTTGTATGTTCAGCCATTTGCTATTGCCCCACATGTCTCTTTTACACTTTATTCTATATTTTCTAGGCTTTTCCTTCCTTCCTTCTGTTTCAGTCTGGATATTTTTCTACTGAAATATTTTTCTACTATCTAGTTTACTAATCCTATTTTCACATGTGTCTTTTCTGCTGCTAAATCCATCAACGGAGTTATTGATTTCATTTGTTATAACTTTTCAGTTCTGGAATTTCCACTAGATTCTTTTTCATAGATTCCAGTTTTCTATTGAAAGATTCCCTTGTTGTTAATTTTCTTGAACATATTAAACCTTCTAGAGTCCATATCTGAAAACTCCAACATCTGGATCTCCAGTGGGCTTGTTTCTATTGTCTGTTTTATTGCTCTTGTCTGTTTTATTGCTTTTGTTCATTTGGTCTTATCTCCTGAAATGCCAGATAATTTTTTATTGAATGTCCAACATTGTGTATAAAAACTTACAGAGCTAGCATGAGGCTCTGAATGATGCCATCTTTCTCCAGAGGGGATTTACTTTTGCTTCTGACAGGCACTTAAAGGAGGACAGGCCACTTTAACCCAATCGAGGATTATACTGATTGGAAACTTTGTTCCAGTCTTCCTGAGTCTAGTCTATATCTGGTTAGCCATTATTCCTAGAGTGTTTCTTTGGTCTTCCCAATAAAAACTGTTCCCTTTTTAGTCCCCAAATTCAAATTTGACTCCCCAGTCTCATGACCACTGCCTCCTACAAACTGGAAAATGCCTTTAGGGAAAAATCAAAATCTAGTATTACTTCTCTCCACAATCTTGGCCCCCTCAAGTCCTCAGTGCCTTCGTAGCTCTCCCATGCCTTTAAACAGATTTCTTAAATGCTTAATCCAGCTTTTAAAGTTATCCTCAGCAGGTAAATTGGTCTGATAGAAGCTAGTCTACTTTAGCCAGAAACAGAAGTCTAGATGATAATCTGAAATTAGCACAATTAGATCTACAACTAAGTTATGCTATGCTAAGCACTTATAATAATATCCAATTTAATTTTTACAACATAAGATTAAGTATTACTTTTACATCTCCATTTTACAGATGAGGAAACTGAGACAGAAAAAGATTAAGTAAACTCATCCCAAACCGCTCAATTGCAGTGTGGTGCCAGGATTTGAAATCTGGTGTACTGATCCAAAGCCTGAGCTCTCAACCTAGCACAGTGCTAGATTTGCTAAATGTTTGTTGAATGACTGAGGCACAGGGCACAGGCTCTTCTGAGGCCCTGTAGATAAGCTCCTGTAATTAGAACTTACACTGCTCAAACGTCAACCACAGAGGAAGACAGGTTTTCTCTGGTTCAAGGAAGGTAAAAATCACTTTGCTTCTTCCTTGGTTTAGCAAACTAGGTTCAACAGAAAATAATTCCAGCCCAGGGGCTGAGCTTCTAAGTGCTAATTGCTAATGAATGATTGATTCTTATCTGCTCCTGGGAGGCAGAGTGACTATAAGACAAAAGGACCTCTGCCCTGGGCACAAAAAGGACTAAGAACATGTGGGTGTTGGGCTTATTCCCGAGGTTGCCCTCCGCCCTGGTTAATTGGGATCTGGGAGTGTGCAGGGGTGAGGTGTTGAGGCTGCTCAGCTGTTGTAATTCAATTTGCACCACCATTTCATCTGGTGGACTGTGGCCTCCTGTGGCTGCTGTTGCAGTGTTGGTTCTATTTTGTTGTGGGTGTTCTGGCTAGCTCTGTTGTGGGGTGTCCTTGGCACTGTTCACTAAATCTTTCTGGTTTTCCACTCTACTGAGCACAGGTTAAGATTGTACTTTCTGGCTAATTTGTGATTAGGTGGCACTGTGTGACGTTCTGGCCAGGGAATTGTGACACGTGCCACTTCCAGGCTGGCCTATTGGATTATGGAAGCAGGACTCTGAGTTGATGCTATTGCTCTCCCCAGTCCTCTAAGCCCCTTCTATTTCATTCCAAGTCCAGCCTTCAACCCCAGTGCCTGAGCAGGAGGGAGGGACATTGCTCTGACTCTTGAGTTGCGAGGACTGGAAGACCTTCACTTTAGTGAGTACTCCAAGCTGCTGAGCCCATGGAGATCATCTAGTTCAATCCCTAAATCTTCAGAAGTGGGAAACTGAAGCTTGGAGTAGAGGAGGGCTAGGGCCAAGCCAGACCAGAACCAGGCCCTTTCCCAACCAGCCAGGGCTCTGAACACTGCCATTCAGCTGCCCATGACCCTGGCCAAGCAATTCACCCTCCCTGCTGCCCTGCCTCTGGTTAGGGAGGCCTCATGGTCTCTGCATGGGGAGTCCAGTCCACAAGCAGTTTGGGGGAGGAGCAGACACTGGTTGGGCAGCCTGGGAGAGCTGGGGTCCCTCTCTGGGCCTTTGTTGTCTGAATGTGAAGGGAGGGGTATAATGAGGTTATTGTCCCCAAACTGAGGTCCCTCATCAATCAATCTGCTGCCCCACCCTCAACTACTTGAGGTTTGTAAAGGTGGAAATGAGGACCTGTTTAGAAATTACTGTCAGTGTATCAAAAGGTCTCATAAAATGGCACATTTACATATATGTATACATATATGTATATATGGCACATTTATGTATAGGTATACATATAAATGTATATGGCTGTACCTGCTCATTGTACCAGATTATTTGCTTTAGGCTGGGATTCCGTTATTTCCCTGGGAAATCAGCTGCTGCACAGGGGTTCTTGTTGAGGGGGAGGGGCACTCATATTGAGCAGCAACTCTCTGCTAGGCACTTTCCCTACATTAGCACATTTAACCTTCACTACAACCCTGTGAGCTGTTGCAGTCCTGCCCCCAGTTCACAGTGAGGACACCGAGGCTAAAGAGGTGAAGGGACTTACTCTGGTTTACTCAGCTGCAATAGGGAAAGCTGGGATTCAAACCCAGTTTTGTCAGATTGAAAAGCTCATGTTTTTGGCTCATTAGAATTGCTGTTTACTGAAAGGTACAGAGATGTTTGCTTATTTAAAAAATTTGGGCTCAAGGGGGTGGTCCTAAGTAGGTGAAGGCAAGAGCTCCTGGAGAGGGAGTCTCTGTCTGAAGTCCCTTCAGGTCAGCAGGTCAGCCTGCACCCCCCTCTGCCCCCAACCCATGGTTCTGGGATGTTTGTGTTGCACAAGAGCAGTTGCTTGACTAGAGGTAGCTGCCAGGCCTCTTGGCTCCAGATTCCTGGTCCAAAGGCCCAAGAACCTCTGGGCGTGGGGGCTTCAGTCCAGACATCAGCCAGGGGCCCCAGCCCCCTGTCCTCCATGGGAGGCTGAGCCCCTCACTTGCTCAGTCTGAGCTCTTTACCGCTCACTATGAACTCCTCTGTTCCTTTTAGTCTTAGCCCTTCTGTTCCCTCTCAGTCCCTGGAAATCTGGGCCAGCCCTCTTCCCAGCACCCGCATCCTCAGGAACCTCCCACATCACTCTTACTCATCGCCGGCTGGGGCTTATTCACTACCTTGGGAGCTCTCAGCTTCTGCCAACTGAATTCTGCATACCCAGAGCCCAAAGAGCTACCATCACCCTCACCCTAGCCAATCCATGGGCCTGTCCTCACCATAGACACAGGCATATATACATGCATACTCACACATGTGTCCATGTGCGTGTGCGCGTGCGCGCGCGCGCGCACACACACACACACACACACACACACACACACACACACACACACACACAGTCTCCAAGCTGGAAACAAGGTTTGAGGATGAAGCCTGAAGGCATGGCTTTCCAGCTCCTGTGTCTGATTCCTGGGATCTATCATCTTCCTCTCTGAGCCCATGTGCATGCACGAACACACACACACAGACACACACGCAGTGACCGGACATATCCAGAAATACAAACACAGATGCATAGATGCATTGCACACAGACAGTTGCAGACACAGGCCAACATATCACACACTGTCAGTTGCCTGCCTATCTGGTGGAGATGAGCTGCTGCCCTGGAGACTTCTCCTTGCCTGGAAGTGTGATGGTGGAGGGAAGGTGCTTGAGAGCAGGAGCCCCTGGGAGAGGTGATGGGTGAACAGGAATTCCATTCTGGCTTCTCTGATGGTGCCTCCCCATTCACAAGGGGTCTCCATGCTGGCAAAAGGCAAGCACTCACCATTCCCGTCACTGGGGCTCAGCTTTGCCATTGGTAAAGTGTGAGATTGATCTAGATGGTCTTTGCAGGCCCTGCAAGCTCTGGCTTCCAGCACAGCTGAGAGGCCCCAGTGGCACAAGACTCCGAAGGCTTCTTTGAGCGATCACAGGTCTGTGTTGGTTAGACCAAGCCTTTGTAACAATCCAGGCAAAGATGCTCCCTTCCAGTCCTTCCTGGTGCTCTCGCACTTCCCCAACAGAATCCTCAGGCCACAGTCCCCAGCAGGGGTTATATAGGTGGCCAGACTGGGATCTCTAACCTCAATCTGGGCCTCTGCGTCTACCCTAAGCAACTCAGCTGCCTGGATCCAGCCGGAGGGGTGGAGAGAGAGGACTTCAGACTGGCAGGAGTGGAACTGCCCTTCCTGTCTGTCTCCTTCCCTCCAAGGCTCTGGAACTAGCTCCACTTTCCTCTCCAGCCTGAGGAACTTCAGCATCTTTTGCCCAACGACCCAACCCCTCTGGCCTCTTAGTTTCTTGACTTCTCATCTCCAATGCTCAATTCCTTCATTCCACCTCAGCTACACTTCCTCATACCTCATTACCTTCAGGACTTTACCACCCTTGTCATCACCCTGAGCCATTCCACCTCTGAGAAACTCTGACACCCTACTCTCGACTGTAACTCCACTGCTACCTCTGTACAAACACGGGTACAGCACAAACACTGTTCTAAGCCATATATGTATACTTTTTTTTTTTTTTTGAGATGGAGTCTTGCTCTGTTGCCGAGACTGGAGTGCAGTGGTGCAGTCGGCCCACTGCAACCTCCGCCTCCAGGTTCAAGCGATTCTCCTGCCTCAGCCTCCTGGAGTACCTGGGACTACAGGTGCGCACCTGGCTAATTTTTGTATTTTTAATAGAGACGGGGTTTCACCATGTTGGCCAGGATGGTCTCAATCTCCTGACCTCATGATCCACTGGCCTCAGCCTCCCAAAGTGCTGGGATGACAAGCATGAGCCACCGCGCCCGGCCGCCTTTTATATATATTAACGCATTTAAGTGCCATGACAACCCTTAGTTAGCACTACTGCTGTTGCTAATTTATGGATTGGAAAACAGAGGACTGAGAGGTTAGAAGAATCGCCTAAGGTCACAGACATCATGGTAATACAGGGCAGAGCTGTGATTCAAACCTAGGCTGTGTGTCTCCTAAATCTGTGCCCTTCATAACTCCACACTGCCTCTGGCTGTAACTGTTCTCTGATCTCATGCAAACCCTGAAACTCTACAGTTTTCTCCACGATACTGTTGCTTCCAATTCTGTCTGCATCTATCCAAGAACCCAAACTGCCTTATTTCCATTACTCTCTTGTAACTTCACTTGTCCCTTTGTCCTTCTGCCAAAGCTGCCAGCAAAGCCTCAATTGCAACAGTCTGGCTTTCTGCCACCTCAAGTCTATGCCTAAACTGCCAAGCCTTGTAGGTGAAAAAACCACAGCGGGGCGGCACGGGCCCTTTGTACATCCACATCCCTGGCATCACTGTGGTCCTTAAGGATCCCGGGAAACCTCCCACTTCCTAGTCTGAGCTCACCAACCCGTCACTGGACTGTACCTCCCACTGGATGCACCTAAGAAGGCCTCTCCCATCTTGAAACAAAACCCTTCTTCAACCCCACATCTGCCTCCAGCTAACACTCTGTCCCTTTCTTGAAAGCACTGTCTGCAGTATATATCTCATCTCCTTGTCAAGAGCCAATCCACTCCAGTCTGGTTTCTGCCCCATCACACCACAGACTGCTTTCACCAAGGCCACCAGCTGACTCCTTTTTGCTGAATTCCATGAACACTGTTCAACCCTTAGCTAACTTGACCTCTCCAGAGCTTGGGACCTACTGAAGCCTCCCTCCTGGAAACATACTCTTCCCCTGGGATACAGTTTCCTCAATTTCATCTTCGCCCACAGAGCCCACAGACCCAGCCAGAAAATCTGGGCTTCATCCTCAGCTCCTGTCTCCTGAGGCGTCCCTCCACACATTTGCCATCTATCACAAAGCCCTGCAGACTCTCCCTGCCAAGCATCCCAGAATCCATCCCTTCCTCTCTAGTCTCACCACTGCACCATCTCTCCTCCTAGGATCGTCATGGCTGCTGCCCAGCCCTGCCCCCCTCCCCACCCCCACCTTGATTTTGCTCTTGCAGGGCTGACCTCACCAGGTGTGTGAGCTCCCTGTGCCTGAGCCCTGAGCCTACTTTCTCTTCCCCTGGCTGACCCCAGCTCTACCTTCAGAGTGCAGCTGGGATGCTGCTTCCTTCCTTCCTTCTTTCAGATTTCCAAAACTCTGCAAATCAGGGCTCTTAAACTCCCGATACCCTCATGGTGCCATGACTCCTGTGTCCAGGTCTGCAGGCCCCAGCCATCTTCCTTGAGGGCCAAGATTATGTCCACCTTGTTTGTTGCAGTATCCCCAGCGGGGGGGCGGGGGGAGGAGCGGTGCCTGCCACTCCCCAGGTGAATATTGGTTAAATAAATGGCCCAGTGAATACTGGTTAAATAAATGGTGGGGGAGGCATTGGTCAGAGAGGCGTTTTCTGCCCTCCTGGCTTCCCCTGTCTCGGATTTGAAGTTGCTCTGTGCTCTCTTCTCTCCCATCCCCTCCTCACTTTGGGCCTTGGGGAGGATGTGGAGGGGACAGGTGAGATTCTAGGGCAGAGTCCTACCCAGTTCAGAGCAGGGCGGGGTCAGAGTGGAGCAGAGGAACCCCCGAGCCAGCGGCCAGTGCCTGCGGAGTGTCTCCCCTTCTCCTGCTCCCTCTCTATCTTTCTCACCCCTGTCCTCTCACGGCTACAGGTTCTTGACCACTTGTCTGGGCACTGCTCCTGTCTCCTGGAGCTCAGGCTGGATGGAGTCTCTCCCCTAGTTCAGGTAAGCGTCCCCTCAGCCCCCTCCCGCCAGCGTCCCCCAGCTCCTTCACTTGCCTGAGCCCGTCCGTGGACACTCCCCTGCGGGTCCGACCAGGCTGACCCTTGAGCACCCTGGGTCAGCAGGAAGGAAAGACCCCGAGAGCGCAGGACCACCAAGAGAGGCCGGGCCACCTCCTCCGCCGTCCGCTGACTTCTAGGGGCTGGGCCGGCGCACAGCAAGGGGGTTGGAGGTGGGGTCGCCCTCTCCCACGCGGCTGGGTTTCCAGGCGGTGTCCTGGGCCGAGCCGCTTGGAGATCCTAGATCAGCATGTGGGTGGGAAAGGGCGCCCCGTCCTGGGCCCCCCCGCCCCTGCGCGCAGAGCAGAGACGCGCAGACCCGCTCCCACTCCGCTTGGCTCCCTTGGAGCAGCCCCGGCGGCGGCAGCGATGGGCTGGGAGGGGCCGGCACGCTGGCCTGCGCGGGTCCCCAGCCGCCTCCCGCCACCCGGAACCCCTCTCCTTCAAGCGTTGACCGCCGACCCACAGCTCCCCTTCAACCCGGGGCGAGCGGGGTTCTTACCATACACCTCCCCTCTCCGCTCGGTTCCATCCTTCTCCCGTTCTCCTCTAGGCTTCACGGTTTGCAAGCACCCTTGCAAATAACTCCTAGCCCACCCACACCGTCTCGTCCGCACTTTCCGAGAGCCAGGCACGGATATATTGCAACTCACTCTAGGGCAGGGGGCAGGGGTACAAGTCGAACTGGCTCTGCCTTCAACTTCAAATGGATTCTTCTTTCTGGAGCGGGGCTGGAGCTGTGGGGCGGGGGAGGGGGGATTTTTCCAGGGATGGACTTGTTTTCAGCACCCCTTTCCCAATCAACCACCAATCCTGCACCCTAGAAAGGGGTGTGGACATGAGCCTGTCTAGGGAGTGACTCTATCTCCTGGTGGTGTGTGTAGGAACTTTTTGGGATGAGGGCTGGGGAGGAAGTGCTGGGCAGCAGGCCCACCTCAAGGCTGGGCGTGTGGGAGGGAGGACTGAGGTGTGCTGACTTTCCAGACCCTGGAAGAGTTCAGCTGAAAGAGCATCTCTCCAACCTCTGCCTTCGTTCGTTTACTCATCCATTCATAAACCCTACCCGATGTGACTGTGTGCCAGGCAGCCTTCATGCTGACAGTGGCCCTGTGGGGGAGGGCTACCATATCCTCCCTTTGCATCTGGGGAAAGCCAGGCTCAAGGCCCCACAGCCTCTTGCCCCAGCCCCTGGGAACCAGGATGTGAGTTTTATCTCCAGACTCCAGCCCCAGCCTGTGCAGTCCTCCTCCAGGTTGGCCCAGCAGGCATGTGACTTCAAGGAATCTGCTTGGACCAAGTACTCCCCACCTTTAGATCACTTGTGTGTTCTCAGCACCCAGCCTAGGGCTGGGCACAGTCACAGTCACAGTCCTGGTGTGAGAATGGCTATTGGAAAGAACCAATTTCATTTCTTGAACAGACCACGGGAAGAGCTTGGTTCAAGGACCTGTCCCTGTCTACGCCCCTGTCCCATGCTGAAATATTGGAGGGTTCTACTCCCTAACACTACCTACCATACCACCCATGCCAGCTAGGCCTGACCTCACCTTTTCTCGAAGTGTGAGGGGGAGAAGCCACATGTCTCCACATTGACTACTCCTGTGACCACAGGGAGGGAGTGGGGAGGTTGAGGTTGGGGATGTACTTGAGCAAAATGTATTGGGATATTCACCTGGGCTGGAGGGAAGATGTTTCAGGAAGCCCACTGCAGGGAAAAAGAGGAACTAGAGTCCCAGGATCAAGAATTTCCACTCAGTTTAAGGGTCTTTTGAAGCCTTACCCAGTTCTTCCCCAGTGGACATAGCTCTTGCCGTTGTATGCTTTCATTCCTTGATTTATTCCACCTGGTCCCCAGCATCTCTCTCTGCCTGGCCCTGCCAGGCATCGGGGATTCCATAGCCCCACCCTGGGGAGAGCATGGCTGAGAGGGGTTGATGGGCAGGGGGGAGGGAACCACACTCTCCACAGCTCAGTCTCCACATCCCCCATTCCCACCCCCTCCACCCTGGGGCATCTCTGGGGCACTGAGGTGAGGATCGAAGATGGATAGGAGGAAGGGTCTCCTCATTGATTGAGGAGGGACCAGCAGCCTGAGATATTGTTGATGATAATGAAGGAAAGGAGAAGGGGCAGGGAATAGGCAGCAGCTGGGTGGAGAGGAGGGCAGTTCAAAGAGAGGAAGTTGCTTCTCTCAGCTGAAGGAAACGAAGTCTCTACACCTAGCCAGCATTTGTGGAAGGCAGCCCCTTCATGGAGGTCTGTCGCACTGTTGTCAGAGAACTGATCCCTGCCACTTGTGCAGAGGACAGCAGAAGATAGAGCCTTGGATAGGGAGAGATAGGAGACCTGGCTGCAGGCCTGGCCCCGTGATCTTTCACCATGGGACTCGATGAGTCCTTTTTCCAGTGGGGCCTCAGCTTTCCCATCTGAGATGGACTCTGTGCTTCAGAAAACTTTGGTTTTTCCAACATCCACTGGGGTGTCGTCTGGGTGCCTGGCCCTCTGCTCCCACTCTCAAGAGGGGAAATAGACAAAGGCCACTCAGATTGGTCTGTGAAGGAGGGAAACCCTGGGGCTGGGAAGCACAGTGAAGTCAGGGGAGGCTTCTAAGAGGAAGTGCCGTCTCCATTGATCCTGGAAGAAGGACGTGATTTCTAGCTTGTCTTCTGCTCACTAAACCAGGCCAGAGGCCGTATGGAGAGGGTATCTCTGTAGAGGTCAAACAACTCTGCCTGGAGGGTGCAGGTGTGGAGGGAGGAACAATGTTTTCTGTGAGGCCACACCTGGGCCTCCTTGCTCTACCCACGGTAGATGGGACTTTGAAGTGGCTTCCCAGGGAAAGCCTAGGGAATTGTTTTTACATTAAATTGAATCCATTAACATTTATTAAGCACCTACTGGTCTGGTGCTAGACACTAGAGCAGGGGCAACGTTCAGTAGACTTAAGATGGTTTAATAATTGTTTTGTGAAAAGGAAGACTTCAGCCCTGCCTGAAAGGTGGCAAGACAGAGGTTGGTGGAAGAGAATGAGGAAACCACGTGGGTAGGAGATTTTTTGAACGGGGACTTTAAAAGTGGGGTGTTTGATAGGCAGACAGAAGCAGGGAGGGTGCTGGAGAACACAGGGCAAAGCTTGGAGACAGGAATGTGTTTTGCTTGTTCAGGGAGCAGTGAGAAGATGGGAGGAAGAGAGAAGTCAGATCACAAAAAGCCTTGAGTGGTGGAGTTAAGACACCAAGGGTCTCAGGCCTGGGCTCAGCTGAGAAGTTGCCTCCTCTGACCCCCAGGCGAAGTTGTTTGTACCTGTCCCTTTGTGAGCCCCCCAAATTCCCCCATCTGATTCACTGCTGCTCAGAGCCTGTCCCTGAGGAACTGCCAGGAGTTTTGATATTTGGAAAAGAATCTTGTCTAGCCCCTCTATTGGGCTAGTGAGCTCTAGAGCCCCTGGGCTAGACCGTGGGGGTGGAGGGTCCCTGTCTGTGGTTCTTGTGGGCCTGTGGTTCACTTCTGTAGCCGGGTTAGAGCAAGGGACTGGGGCATCCTGGTCATAGTCAGGGCCTTGGACCCCAAATTCCAGAGAAACAAATCAGTAGATTGAACAGGCAACAAAGCTGAGCTGCAGTCCAGAAAGAAAGGCCAGGGCAGGAGCCTGAAACATGGGAACCCTGTGGGGGCGTCCGGCGACACCTTGCTCCAGGTCCCAGCCCACACCAGTGGAATCCATTTTGGAGAGGCTTGGCCGGGCGAGTGCAAAAGGCCCCATTCCAGACACTGTTCCCAGCCGCTCTGGGGTCTGCAGGGCCTGGCTTGTCTCCGGTCCGGGTCTCCTAACCCAGGAGGGCACTGACATAGGGGCAGCAGGCAGGATGGGAGGGCAGGGCATGGGCAGCCGCTCAGACTTTGCCTCAGCATTCCTCAGCCCCCCGGGTCCCCGGCTTCAGCTTCTCCAGGGTCCTGCTCACGGTGGACAGGCTGCTGCGGGCTCCTGGGGGAGAGAACAGGGACGAGGACTGCCTCCGTAGACAGGTCCCCATGGAGTTGTCAGGGTCAGAGGAACTCAGAGGGACCCAAGGCCGGGGTGCCTGGTTGACCCCAGGGCAGAGCTGGGATAGAATGGGGAGAGGGGAGCATCCCAGGGGACAGTTTCAGCCCAGTTTAAAGAGGTACCTCCAGTCAGGATGGCTTTCAAGAGGGCAGCAGCATAGGCCGGGGGTAGAGGCGGGACCCCGGAGCCCACTGCCTGGTTTGAGCTTTGACTGCCGCACTTCCTGGCTGTGTGGTCTTGGGCATGTCACTAAATCTCCCTGTGCCTCGGTTGCCCCTTATGTAAAATGAAACTAATGATAGTGCTGCCCTCATGTGGTTGTTGTGAGACTTAAAAGAGCGAATAATAGATGAACAGGGCTGGGAACAGTGTCTGGAATGGGGCCTTTCACTGAGTATTAGGCATCCAACCCCTGGTGGCAGAGACTGGGCTGGGACCATCTTTGAGAAACTCCTGCCCTGGAACTTTCCAGGTGTGGGGTGGAAGAACAAGGAGATGCCCAGTTTGGGGTATGAACTTTAAACTGGGGTGGTTAAAGCTAGTACCCAAAGCTGGTACCCATGGCCTCTTTAAACTGGGCTGAAACTGTCCCCTGGCATGTCCCCCCCTCCCCATTCTATCCCAGCTCTGCCCTGGGCACTGGGAACCCCAGCTTGGGTCCCTTTGAGTTCCTCTGACCCTGGGAGAGATGGGAGAGGGGAGTGGGAAAATAAACTGAGGTATAGGACCTGGGGGAGGGGAAAGGGAGGGAGGGGAAGGGGCAGGGAGGTGCCCTCATTCCAGTGTCCACGCTGGGCAAGACAGAAGCCCTCAGAGTAAGCAAGAGGAGATCAGTTCAGCTTGGAGCAGCAAGGGTCTGACTGTGCACCTGGGGAAAGTGCCAGCAGTACCGTCTCCCCGCACTGGGGAGGCCCCTTCGGCATGCCGCTCAAGGCTCCCGGGCCCCATGGAGCTGCTCAGTCAGGGAGGGGAGATGAAAGATGGATTCAGGCTGGGCACGGTGGCTCACGCCTATAATCCCAGCACTTTGGGAGGCCGAGGCGGGTGGATCACCTGAGGTTGGGAGTTCGAGACCAGCCTGACCAACATGGAGAAACCCCGTCTCTACTAAAAATACAAAAATTAGCCAGGCGTGGTGGCACATGTCTGTAATCCCAGCTGCTCGGGAGGCTGAGGCAGGAGAATTGCTTGAAACCGGGAGGTGGAGGTTGCAGTGAGCCGAGATCATGCCATTGCACTCCAGCCTGGGCAACACGAGCAAAACTCTGTCTCAAAAAAAAAAAAGAAAAAAGAAGGATGGACTCGGGAATTTCTGGAACTTACCTTCCTTGTTGCCATTGGTGCTGGATCTTCCTTCCCCGTGGTCTGCCCCTGGATGGGGATGGATTCTTAGGCTCCCTGCAGGATGAGACCACCCCAAGCCCCCTGATTACTGAGCCATTCCCCAAATCAAGCCTAGGTTGGGAAGGGAAGTCCTTCTTGCTATCTAGTCTCCATCCCTGATGCTGTCTTTGCTCCACTGCATTCCTTTAGGTCTCACATGATCTGGGCTGATTTGGGCAGGAGAAAAAGAACTGGGCCCTTGAAGGAGAAAATGGCAGATCTTTTAGGGAGGTGAGGTCCCGGGGAGAACTGGGGCCATGAGAAGCCCCATAGGATTGGTGGAGATGGCAGCCTGTATGTGGGGAGCTGAGATGAGGTGGGAGCTGTGCAGAGGCTGTGGGGTCTTAGGGGAAATAGAGGGTCTTTCATGGGGGCTCAGGGATGGAGAGGGAGTTATTTAGAGATGTTGGAGGCTTTGGGGAGTCATAAAATCTCTCAAGGGAGATGAACTTCCCAGCTCTGAGCTGGTTCAGGCACCTTTGCTGCAGGCTGGATTCTGCCGTTCTGTAGTCATGGCAACGCCTGCACAACACACACACACACAGCAGCTCTAACACAGACAGCTAGCGCGGTCTCACACATGGGCTCATCCCAGCCACACAGTGGGTCACAGACGAGCACACAAAGGGTCTGGAACAGTCCTTGGCAGAGGGGTCTGCTGGGGTCAGGGAGAGGCCTCACCTATGGTAGGCAGGATGTGGTCCAGGTTGAACCGAGCCTTCAGGAAGGGGTAGGCCAAGATGAGGAGCCCTGAGAAGAGACACAGGGGGTTCTGTGATGGGGAGGAGCCTGGTGAGTGTTGAGGCTGTGGGTGGGCTGGGAGCCTGAGGGGTGGTTTGTGAGATATGGGTGTGCATGGGAGGAGCACAGTGTGCAGACTTGGGACTGTGAGTGTGTAAATGTGAGCCTGTGGGTGTGTGCATCTGGGTTGGTGGGGGCAGTGCCTGTTTGGGGAAGAGGCTACAGACTGTGAAGGCCCCACCTGCCTGGCTCCACCGTTCCTAAGTGAAGAGCAGGTTGCTGGAATGAGCCTGGCTGACACCACCACTGCGTCTCTGCTGTCCCCACGCTTCCCCAGGGCCCCCAGGGCCGGACTGGGTGCTTGTCCTCAGCATGTTCCTCCCCACCCAGACCTGGGGAGCAGGAGCAGTGGAGCCAGTCCTGCCTTGCCCGCCCCCGCTCCATCCCCCGATGAGCATCTGTGCCAGAACCCGCAGGTGTAGATACCTAAAGCCCCCTAGCCTGATGCTTCTGGTCCTGCCTTTGGCCTGGGCGGGGGCGGGGGGTGGGGTGAGGTGAGGTGAGGTGAGGGATGGCATTCAGCGTCACTGCGGGGCAATCAGTGGGCGTGGCCCCACACAGATAGATGGACACAGCTGCTGTGGAGGCAAACAGGGAAAGAAGACGAAACCCTTTTTCTGAGCTGGAGCCTGTCTTGGCTCAGAGAGTCCTCAGGAGCTCTGTCCTTTTACCTGCCGCCATCAACCCCCTGTTCCGCCCAGATAGGCTGATGAATCCCACCACAAATCCAGGAGCCTAGAGCTTGGGGCTGGAGAGCCAGTGGGAGTAGCCAGAAAAGAGTGTGACGGCCAGCTCTCCTTCTTTTCTCCTCCCTGTGGCTGGAAGGAGCCCCAGCGCGTCGCTCCTCTCCCGCCTGTGCCCCTGATGGCGGCCTTGCTCACACCTCTAGCTTCCGTTCTCCCCAGCTGATTCCTGCTGACCCAGCCCTTCCCTGTTCCTTGTTCACCTGACGATGCCCCTGCCCCCACCTCCAGAATCTCCCTTCCCTATCCCAGCCCAGCCCCTGCTCACCCAGAACAGCAGCGCCAATAAAGACACCGCCCATGGCAGCTGCAGCCTTGGATACGGAGATGCCGATAATGATGCTGCCAGCCACCAGCCCGAGAGCCACGCAGGCCAGCTGCAGGCCGCGGAAGTCTCTGCTGCTGATGGGGATGTCCATGCAGGCCCACCCGGGGCACTGCCTCCAGCCGGTGCAGTCTGGCCCCAGAAAAGTCCTGGAAGTTTCTGGGCTCTTGGATGTCTCCTTGTTGGCGCTCCAACTTCAGGGTAGGAGTTTCTGGGCAGTAAGATGATAGGTGGGGAACCCTGGGATTTATCTGCAGTCCTATTCCACTGCTCCACTACGGGCCCCCCAGTCCCACCTTGACCAGGGATCTGTACGAGGTCACCCAGCTTACTCTTCCTCTCTCAAAGCCCTCTGAAGCTGAAGCCCACCCTTGGGACTCCTGTCTGGCTACATTTCTGCTTTGGCTGCCAGAGTTCTAGGGAGCTGGGCCTGTTCCATAGGATCCTTCCCTGCCAGCCTCCACCCAGGAGAGTTCAAGCTCCCCTGCCCAGGACATCCTGCCCCAGCTTCCTAGAGCCACTTACTTGCCACTGAACCTCAGCCTATGAAAATTTAAAGCAATGAGAGGCAGGGTGAGGGGGGAGTTGGTCCAGCGGCCACAGGCTCCTCAGAGATGTAGGCAGCAGGGAGGTGCTGAGTTATTCATGAGGTTGCAATGTGAGTGGCTGTCTGGGTCCCAGGGCCCAGCGGGCAGTCAGCCCAGGTTCCACTGCTGGTTCCTGAGGAGGAAGAACGAGCTGGTGGCTTTGCATGTCGTTCAGAAGCCAGGGATGTGAGGAGACTCCTGATCACATGCTCAGGGCCCGCTGTAATGTGCTCTGCCCTTTGGCCTGGAGGTGCACCTGGGGTCTCTGCTTGGAGTCTGAGATAGACACACAGCAGGAGGCTCAAGAGACAGGAACTGCACCTGGTATGGAAAGCGGACAGGGAGAGGCATCCCTCCAAGTCTGCTCCCTACCCCTGCCCATCCCATCCCCATCCTGTCCACCTCTGGGCTCCCAGGTAGGGCTGAGGGCGTCCTAGTTTGAGGCTTGATCTCAGGGGACTCCCTTGTCCTCAGGTGGGCTTGGTACCCACCCCCCTTTTAGTGGCCAGTGGAATGGAGAGTGAACCCTTCTAGCCACCTTGGGGATCCCGACTGGGAGTGAAAGGGAAGAGCAGTGGTGGTGCTGGTGTGGGCAGGAGGAAAACACCTAAGGGGTAGGGTAGAGAAGAGGACTTGGTAGGGGCTAGGTGCCGGGAGTGGGAGGCTGGGTCATGGTTGGTGCCTTCCCATCCGCTGAACTGAGCACCTGCACCCAGCCTGTCTGAGTTACTTGCAGGATGCCCCACCCCAAGGCTGGGCAGTGGTCACCAATGCAGCCTAGCCCTGAGCCCTGCCCCGGCCCCCAGTTCCAGCCTTTATCATTCATTGCGTTATTTGGCCCTTTATGGATTGGGGACCCCCCAGTCTCAGAATATGGCCCCGGCCTGGCCCTGCACCTGGGCACAATTCCTAGGGTCCCATAATCCTGCTCGGAGTCCCGTCGCCAGCCTCCCTGGCCTCTCTTTGGATGCCCCCTCTCTGCACTGCATCTGCAGTCTCATATTGCCAGGCTCAACTTCTTGTTCCTCCACCTGCCTCCATGGCTGCCCTGTTCTTGTTCTATCTCCTCTGTAGGCTGAGAGCCCCTTGAGGGCAGGTTCCAGGAGTGAGCTCCCCAGAATGCTGTGGCTGGGAGGGACCTGAGCTAGGCTTCTGAACATGAGGACAGAGTTCAGGGAGAGGGCTTGGACTGCACAACCACCTCCAGTCATCAAAGAGGAGGGCTGTGGACACAAGGGAACCTCTGTCTCTAACAAGAGGCATTCCTTGTATGTGGAGAAGGGGGCCTGAGAAGGCCCAGGGTCACCTGAGTTGGAGCTTCGGCTCATGATGAGTCTGTAGAGAGGGGTGACTGCAGCACACAGATGGGCCCTGGACTGTGTTCCTGTTCCCCACAGAGGGAACACCCCTGGAGCTGGGCATTCCCCAGCCACGGTGCTGCTGCCAGCATCTGCTGTGCCTCCTGCCTGGATGAGATCTGATTATTCCTCTAATTAGGCATCAAATCATAGCCCATGTCTCTGTCACACATAATTGATCCCCCACTGACTTAGTTTTAGAAGGAGCCACCAAAATAATTGTCCATGAAACGTGTTCCTTGCTCCTCTCAAAGTCTAAGGCTGAGGGCGACTCTCTCACACCCTCACCAAGATAGAAGCTCTTGGGGCCGCGTTTTCCACCTCGCACTATGGGGCTCGGGCCAGCCATTCCACCTCCCTGAGCCCACTGCCTTGTCTGGTGATGGGGATGGGGGTGGCAGAGGCACCTGTGCACTGCTTCAGATCTCAGAAAACACTGTGATCTCAAAGGAGAGGCACGTTAAGCCTTTTTCAGTTCCAAGATCACAGAACCAGGGCCGTCCCAGCTCTTCATATAGGTGGGGAATCCAAGACATGGGGAGACAGAGGAATTGCCCCAGAGTCCTCATGGATTCTGCCCCTCTGGGAAGTACTCTGGCCTATCTGCCCCTGAATTTCAACACTGTCTTAGTTGAGGTGGGAGGAACTGGCAGACCCACCTTCAGAGGGAGACATTGAGTTAAAAAATTAGTCAAGGGACCAGGCACTGTGGGATTACAATCCCAGCACTTTGGGAGGCTGAGGCGGGAGAATTGCTTGAGGCCAGGAGTTCAAGACCAGCCTGGGAAACATGGTGAAACCCTGTCTCTACAAAAACAAAAATTATCCAGGCACAGTGGTGTGTGCTTGTAGTCCCAGCTACTTGGGAGGCCGAGGTGGGAGGATCGCTTGAGGAGGAGGTTGCAGTGAGCTGAGATCACACCACTGCACTCCAGCCTGGGCGATGGGTGTGAAATCCTGGCTCAAACAAACAAACAAAACAAAACAATGAAAATCAGTCAAGGCCTGCCTCTTTCCCTCAGGACCAGGAGTGCATCATTAAAGGTTCCCAAAACAGTTGTGATGTAGAGAGGGAGGCCTGCCAATTCTTTCCTCAGTTTGGGCTATATCATCTCTGAAAAAGAAAATGTGTGTCCTTGAGTGACGTGCTCAGAGCAATAGGTAAGTGAGTTCAGGAACCTCTCTGTGAGCCATGCTGAGAGGGAGGCCCAAGGCACCAGGGCTCCATCGCCCCACCAACCCTCCACCCCTCCCAAGGATTGGAGCCTCCCCGCTGAACCTGGGTGCTCTTGGAGGCCACAGTTCTCAGGCATGGCAAGGCCACGGGCACATTGCTGAGTTCCATCACCCAGTCTCTTCTCTCTGTCTCCTGCTGAGGCAAGGACTGTGGAGCGTCTGCCCATGCTCCTTCCTTCTCAGTGCACCAAGTCCAAGTGTGGCGTGGGGGTGGGGAGGAACAGTGGGCGAAAAGGCCCCAGTTTGGTTTGGTTCTGTTTATTTTCCTTGAGGGGTGAGAACCCTGGAAAAGAGCGTGATTAATTCACCAATCCCCCGGGGGACAGGTAGCTTTCTTGGACCATTTGGAAGCTGAAGTCAGGGAAGTGGCTTCCAAGGCAACTGCTACCATGGCAACAAGAGTGCCAGCCTTTGGGGGACCTTGCTCCTCAGCCCCCTCCAGACCTGAAGCGGCTGGAGTGCTGGCATGGGACCAAGGCACCACTATTCATGGGGCTGGGTGTGGGAGGGCAGTCGGCCAGGAGGGAGGAGGCGCCCCCAGAGCCCAGGCAGGTAGACACACAGAGGGACAAAAACTGGACGGTCCCTGTGCCCAGAGGCCCTCAGACTGGAGTCCTCAGGATCCAGCTGAATCAGGGCTGGGGCTGGGGCTGGGGCCAAGGCCTGATCACTAGGTTTGAGAAGAGAGACCTGAGGTTTGAGACACTCCAACTGGCTGGGACCAGTGCTCTCCTTCTAGGCCCCGCCCACGCATGAGCTCTGGAGCTGGGGAGCTGCCTTCCATTATCGCAGATCCTATGCCTGGAAGGGGCTCTGTGGTCTCAGAGCCTCCTCAGTGCATCTGCTGGATCTGCCTCTGTCCAGCAGAGCCAGGACTTCCAAGGTCACCAGTGAATAGTGGCAGAGGCAGTACTGGAACCCAGGGCTCAGGTCCGAACTTCAGGCTCTTCCTGTTGTGCCACAGCTGCCCCTCTGGGCCAGGGACTGCATCCCGGAGGGGTGGAGCAGCCTGTCTGCCGGAGGATCCTACAGAGGGACAGAGTCCTGGCTCATCTTAAGAGGCCCAGACCTACCTCCACAGCACACAGTGCTTCTGTAGAGTGCTCCCGGAGCCAAGGACCAGGGAGGGCTCGTCTCTAGCACTGGGACCATGAGTTGTGTAATTCTGCCCTGGTAGATAACAGTAAATACAGGAGTCCCCCATTATCCCTCGGGGACACGTTCTAAGGCCCTTGGTGGATGTCTCAAACCGTGGACAGTACCAAACTCTATATATACTATCATTTTTCCTATACATACGTATCTGTGATAAAGTTTAATTTATAAATTAGGTATAGTAAGAGATTAACAAAATAGAACAATTGTAACAATATATTGTAATAAAATTATATGGCTGTGGTCTCTCAAAATATCCTATTGTGTTGTACTCACCTATTTTGACCACATAATTCACTTAATTATGGAATTAAGCGAAACTGTGGATCAATGGGGACTACTTGATTAGCTAAAACTATAATAGCTAACATTTATGGAGCACTTACTATGTGGGCCTGGAACTGCTCTCAACACTTTGCATTCATTAATTTGTAACTTTCACAACAGTACCATGAAGTAAGCACTATCATCCCCATTTAGAGTTGAAGAAACTGACTCTCAGAGATTAACTGGCCCAAGCCCCAGAGCTAGTAAGTGGCAGAGCTGGGATTTGAATGCAGGCAGCACAGCGCGGCGTCCCAAGCCTTCCTGGAGGGAATTCCAGTTCCACCATTCCTAGCTGTATAGCCCTGGGCAAGCTATTTTTCCTTTCTCTGCTTGGTTTTCATGTCAAGTGGGATAAAATAATAGTACCTACCTCAGAGGACTGCTGAGAATTAAATGCTAATGCCCGTAAACTTCTTAGAAAGTACCTGTTACTTAGTAAGTGCATGACAATGCTGGCAAAACCAAGGTCAGCCAAAACCAAGGTCATGGCGTTTAAGCAGAGCCATGCAGGATGAGAGGGGCCTTGCCAGGTGGGCCAGGCTGGGGAGGTGGGCTGAGAAAGGGCACAGCTTGAGCCAAGGCACAGATGGGGAGTTGCAGCTGGGCAGGGTGTGGGCCAGGGGTGGAGAGTGCCTGACCCAGGAAGCCCCCTTGAAGACACGTTCCTGTTGGGCCTCCCACTAGGCCGGGCTGGGGTTCAGGGTTAGAACTCACATCCTGGTTCTGGGTCTCCAGGGGCTGGGAGTCTGTGGGCCAAAAGGATCAGATTTTGCAGGTCTGTTTTCCTCACCAAGCCCACTCCAGGTAGATGAAAAAGGGATGTGAGGGTGTCAGGGTTACTGTCAAGGGAAGACTGTCAACAAACAGTATGTATCATCAACGGGGAGGCATTCATGGCGTAGGACAGCTGGGGATGTGGCCCGTCACCTGCCCCAAGTGAAGAGCCCCTAATCCCATCTCCCCTCTCTGCCATCCCGAGGGAGAGCAGCTGTCATCAGCACCCAGTCCACTGCCCACTCAGACCTCCCTTGCCACCTCCTTGGGAACTTATAAAGGTCCTTTCCACCCCAGTCCTCTCCTGTCTGGCTCTGATGATCGCCTGGGACAATGGGCACTTTAGTGCCCACTTTAGTCCTTTGCGTGATGTACATGAGGGCTGTGGATAGGAGGTGCTATTTTTCTTTGTTGCATAGTCCCGGGCACATGACACACCCTTGATAAAGGCTTAGTAATGCTTTAGACAGAGGAGAAATTTGTTTCCTGCTTGTGGGCTGCTGGGCACAGAGGACATCTATTAAAGTACATTCTGGTCTCCTGTGTCATGGTTGCTGACACCACCTCTACCACTTGATGGGGAGATCCTAGAAAGCAGAGGCTGTTTCTTACTCATTTCTGGGTCCTGGCTCAGAAGAAGCAATTGATAAAAGTTTGATGAATTTCATTTCCTCACCTAGGAAAAAAATAGCAATTTCTCCTTCACTTTGTTTTTTGGGTCAAATACGGTTTTTATTCAGGGGTCCCAATAAGAGATACCTTCTCCCCACCTGGCTGGACTTAGACCCAGTTTAGAAGGCCAGTCTCCTCCTCAGGTCTGCAGGTAAAAAAAAAAAAGGACCACCAAATAGGCCACACATAGAATTTCAGTTTTATTAAAATAAGCACAATGTATAAAAGCACCGTGGTGTTGTATAAACGTCTGCCTGACAAATGCAAATCTATTTTCTTTATGTAACTCAATAGTTCCACTTATCTGAATGGCTGTACCTTCATGCACACGGGCAGCAGGCACTGCATTGCTCAAACAGGGAAGTGAGGCTTCACCCTAGTGTGGCTTCACCTTAGGCACAGAGCACTATCTAACTGCCCAGATCTGTGCCACCCACACAAGACCTGGGGACACAGCAGCAGACACCGATGCTGTCTCTAAGTTCATCACAGGAACAGCTTAAAATCAGAATAATAGGGAACTGCTGATTAAAACCCAAGTGCATGGACATTCTAGAAAGAAGAGCAAGCCGTTCCACTCTCTGGGAAGTTCATGGGCTTGCAGTGGGAGTTTAAGGTATCATCTTTGCTGGAACAGCATGGTTAAAAACACCAAACTTTTTTTTTAAAAAAACGATACTACTGACTTTAGCAGCAATCACAAACAAAGGGGATGATAAACGAGGGATACATTTCAGTCACAGCAAAGAAAGATTATGTGCTTTTCCGTGCTGCAGACCGGAAGACTGATTTGATTTCCTGAATGAGGAAGGCTCCTTGCCCTTCCCTGAATTGAGGGGATGGCTTTGCTCAGCCAAGGGAGAAGACGGGCAAAGAGGACATCCGGAGGACAGAGGAAGGTGGAAGGACCGCCAGAGGAGGGTGACAGAGAAGAGAGGGAAGAGGCACGTGTCGGCAGCCTCTGTCAACTGATGCTTCTTGCTTCTCCCTGCAGGCTGCAGCCCCAGCCGCCACAGCTACAGCGGTGAGAGCAGGCTGGATCCCAGATCTGCAGGCGGGTGAGCAGGTGGAGCCCAGTGAAGAGATGTTCCTGCTGCAGGCAATTATGCAAAGTGAGAAGTGATTGCTTTCCTTTTCAAAGACAACCCCTTTGGAAAAAGCTTTTTCCTCCAGGACCCTAGGGAAATGGGGGTTGATGGGAACCTCAGGGCCTTCGTAGATGAAAAAGCCTGAATGGAGCCACAGAGCAGAGGCTGCTGCCTGCTCAGCAGACTTTAGCCACACAGGTTTCCAGGGGACAATGCCTGGCCAGGCCTAGGGCCTATAAGGTGTGACTGGAGCATTTCAGAGTGCTGTGGGCGGGCTCCTGTCTTCACCACGGCCTGCCTGGGCCAGGGCCCGTCTCCGGGCCAGGCGTGACTTGCAGGGAGGGGAAAGCTTCATGGAGCAGAGGCCATCAGCTAGTGCCTCTGGCTCCTCTGCTAGTTCGTTCTCTTCGTGCTGAGATAGCTGGCGGTTAAGGGCGATGGCCTCAGCTGCGAAGAGCGTCAGGTCCATTGTGCTGCTGTTCCTGCAGGGCCAGGGGAAAGCACAGAAAAGAGGGTCAGGACTCTAGGGTCAGCCAGGCCAGCTCCGGGACACTCCCACTTGCTGCTGTGGCTCTACGCTCCCACCAGATTTCCCAGAGCTGGGACGGGCTGCTCTCTCCAAAGTAGTTCTTGCCTAGGTTTGGAATCTTTCTTGACTGAGGGATTTTAATTTGAGCCCCAAGTACCATCCCTGGACTTGATGGTAGGGGCAAGCTCCCCCTTCTCCTCAGAGCACCCTCCTCTGAGCTCCCACAACTCTACATACAGGTCTACCAGAGGCAGAGACTGGGCACATGAAACACACCTGTCCCTCCCTCTCCCAGCCTGCGTGGGGAAAAAGCTCCCAGAGCAAGGCCTGCGCCGCTTATGCCACGTCCCCAGCACCTAGCTCAGGGCTAGCGTGGACAGGCACTTTGGGTTTGCAGAATAAATCTTCTAAGGCGGATCTGAGGTTTGGCATCTAAAGGCATCTGGAGGCTGCTCTAGAGAGTCAGGTAGGAACCCAAATTGGGCAATAGCAACTGGGTCACACGAATTGCGATTATGGAGGTGTATGACTTCCTTGTGTAGCTCCTAAAAGCTGGCCATGAGGCTGGTGCCAAAAAGGTTTCCCACACTGCTTAGCCCTGGCTCTTTGGGAACAGGGCAGTCCAGCTGTAAAAGGGCTCCAGAGTCAAACAGCCCAGGGCTGCTGTGTGGCCTTAAGCAAGTTAACTTGATTGCCACTCCTCACCTCTCTCATCTAGAACACCTCTCTTAAATTCATCGTGAAGATTATGGATATAATTATATCCAGCCCTTAGCACCACGTCTGACATGTGGTAAGGACTTACTATTTTTTTTGAGACAGATGCTTGCTCTGTTGCCCAGGATGGAGTGCAGTGGCGTGATCGCAGCTCACTGCAACCTCCGTCTGCTGGATTCAAGCGATTCTCCTGCCTCAGCCTCCCAAGTAGCTGGCATTACAGCACCTGCCACCATGCCTGGCCATGGTAAGGACTTAATCCTGGTGGCCACTATTATCACTGTCCGTCTAGTACCGTACGTGCCCCTCACTTCTGCTCCTTTCATTAAATACAAGGGCAGAGGGAAGCCTTGTGTGAATAACCCATGGGTAAGGTCTGTCTTTGGGCTGTAAGTTACAGTTCAATGGGCAAAACAGGTTTTTTTTCCTGCCAACAGTGCTAGGAGGGGCCTTAAGGTGCTGGAGGGCAGAGGATCCAATCTAGGTGAAGGAAGGGAAGGGTGGGAGATAGATCCAGAGTAGAGGAAAAGAGAGTGAGGAGGGGAAATGGGCAGGGAGCCCCTTTGGAGAAAGCTACCTGAGCCTAGAGATGGGCTCCCCCGGCCCCCACCCCCATGGTGGCTGAGAGCTTGAGGAAGAGCATGGCGTGGGGGTGGTCAGAGCATTTACCTCTGGAGGACTTGCGGCGTGGGGAGTCCCTTTTCTGGAGCTTGCTAGAATGGGAAGGACAGATGTGTAGGTAAAGCACTGCTCCCTCCTTTCAAGAACTGCCCCACCCAAGCCAGCAGTGGGTAGGTTACTATAGGCTGCTGGCGCAGCACAGGGAAATGGCTATGCTTGCTTGCAGGGTCAGGCCTTCCAAGCAGAGAGCAAGAAAGGTACAATCTGCAGCCGCAGCCCCCAACATAGCTGCTTCTGCATGGAGAGCCCCTCTTTCCCTTTGCCTGGCAAAGTCCTAATCATCCCCCAGGACCCAGCTCAAGGGTCACTTCCCCTGTGACGCACATTTCCCCTTCCCTGCCACCTTCCTGCCTCAGTCTCAGGCCCGGGATGGGGAGTGGGGTCTTGCTCCCTTTGTGCCCCTAGCACTTTTCAGAAGCCTTTATCATGCTGTAACTTATCCCCTTGTCTACTTCTCTCCACTAGAGCACAGAGACAGGGACTGGGTCTCACTTGTCCCTCTGGCATGTGGCAGGTGCTCACTTATGGGTCTGGGAATGAGCCAGTTAGACACTCAAACTGGGTCCCCATCTGCAACATAGGATGGCAATGCTTGCCTCCTTCCACTGGTAGGGTCACTGAGGCTGGCCAGAGCCTGGCACACCAAGGAGACCAGAAAGTCATGGGAGCATCTGGCAGACCCCTTGGAGGGCAGAGGTCAGGTATTGTGAGTAGCCAAGGAGGATTTTTAAAAATGTTTTCTAGTGAAGACATGAATTCTAAGCTTAGGGAAAAAATACGATCATTTGCCTTTCAGGCCAGCTGTACCCAGACTCCCAGACCATGAGGAGAACCTATGTGCCCCAACTCGGCCACACAACAATCAGCGCAGCACGGCCTTGCTCACTTCTGGGTGTCCTCAGCTAATGATGCTTCTATATAAGAGGAGGATGCTACAGACTTCAAATGACAATAGGATGCTTGCGGGGCTGGGTGCATGTACCAAATCCCCAGAGGACTCTGTTGGGGCTTAGTCTGTGGCCAAGTTTACAGCCAACTCTATGGCCTATAAGGGGCTCAGTCTGGGGTAACAGGAGGAGTCGATTCACTCTACACACTCAGGGATAGACGCTGTCCTCTTCAGCTGCACCAGCCACAAGGCTGGTGCTCAGCACTTGCTGGCATGACAGCTTCCTTGTGGCCATGCCACAGGCCTGAAGTGGTGGAAAACACCCCTCCCTGGAGTCACTCACCCCCTGCACCCATGGGTGCTGCAGAACTTGGGCGGCGCTAAGTCTCTGCTTTGCATCTCGCACCAGGAGCTTGGAGATGAGGTCTTTGGCTTCACTGGAGATGTGTGCCCAGTCCTTGTCAGGAAACTCATACTTGCCTTCCTGGATGCTTTCAAACAGCTTGTTCTAGGTACAAAAGATTCCTCCTGAGGCCACACTGCCAGGGATGGGCAGGATGTGCCTGTCATTGTTTTGATCAACCGGCTTCAATTGATCTCAGCTGTAGCTGCAGCTCATGGCTTGGGGATGCCACAGACTGGGGCCTCTTCCCAGACTCACCCCGCACTGTCCCCTAGATGATCAAACTATATAGAATGCCCTTGGCAGGCCAGGATGGCTATGCCCTTGGTGGGCTGGATGGGTGATGAGTGGAGATCACCCATAGAACAAAGCCCAAATTCCTTGGCTCTTCCTAGAGGACTCTCTGTGAACCTCTCAGGCCTCATCTCCCACTACCACCGACCTACTACTCCACTCTTCCTTCCTAGACACTCCAGCTATTTCATGTGCCCACATCTATGCCCGTGCTGTTCCTTCTACTTGTGATTCTTGTCCCTCTTCCGCAGGGCAGGATGCACCCTTTAAGAGTCAGTTCAGGGCTGGGCGCGGTGGCTCACGCCTGTAATCCCAGCACTTTGGGAGGCCGAGGCGGGAGGATCACAAGGTCAGGAGATTGAGACCATCCTGGCTAACACGATGAAACCCCGTCTCTACTGAAAATATAAAAAATTAGCCAGACGTGGTGGCCGGCGCCTGTAGTCCCAGCTACTTGGGAGGCCTAAGGCAGGAGAATCGCTTGAACCCAGGAGGCAGAGGTTGCAGTGAGTCGAGATCGTGCCATTGCACTCCAGCCTGGGCGACAGAGAGAGACTCCATCTCAAAAAAAAAAAAAAAAAAAAAAAAAGAGTCAGTTCAGGCATGATCTTCTAACAATCCTGCCCTGAACTCCCAGCTGGGCGGAGTGTCTGATTATCTCTATTTTACCTTGTGGCCACCGTGACAGGAGCGGGAGAGGGCACTATGAGCCCCCATCCCGATCAGGAACGCTCTCCCAGCCCAGTCCTGCTTGGCATCCCCCAACCACACTGACCCCTAGCAGGGTCTACGCAGTGCTCCCTGGGGCCGCACTCACCTGGCACACCCTGCAGACCTCGCCCCGGTCCCAGCCACAGTCGGCCCCGCAGTGACCCACGAAGGGTGGGTAGCCACTCAGCATGATGTAGAGGACCACGCCCAGGCTCCACAGGTCACAGCGCTTGTCGTAGAATGTGGCCTGGTCCGTGAAGACCTCCACTACCTCAGGGGCCATGTATTCTGCAGAGCCACACTGTGGGGGCCAGGGTTGGGGGAGGGGGAGATGGCAGAGAACAGAGAGGCTTAGTTACAGCAGAGGGGATGGCAGAGAGCAGACTGTGATGGGACTGGAGCAGGAGGCTGGAAGGATGAGATACAGATCAGGAAGGCCAGCCAGTGAGCCGCCTGATGCCACCAAGGCATCTGCAGACTGAGCTCCATCATTTTCCATCATCCAGAGGAGCAGTTCAGGTCACCTTATCCTTCCAGTTCCTCCTCCAGTAGGCAAAGACCCTTGGCCAAGAAGTTCCAGGAATCTCCCCCTGCTTCAGCTTCCTATAAACAGATATTTCATGTACAGGTACTTAAATGCACCAAGAATGTGGCTCTGGAAGGAGATCCAGTTCCACACAGCAAGATTTCTTAAAGTGAATCCTGTCGTGCTCCCCTGCTAGCTCAGAGCAGGAAGTGTAACAATTAAGAGACCGTCAAAGCTACAAAGCTCTTAGAACAAATCCAACCTTCCCACCCCTCCCATTTATAGATGGCAAGGGCAAGGCCAAGAACGGGACAGGGATCTGTTTGAGCACATCAATGGCAGCCCTAGGACCAGAATCCAATATTCCTTTCTCTCACCCTTGTGTAGAAAGCGGCTGATAGGAATAAAACACGTTCTTTTTGCTCCACTCTTCATTATTTCAGGCTCACCAAGAAACAACCACCTCCCGCCTCCACACACCCTGCAAAACTAATTTGACTGAAAGATGGTAAGTGTTCTCAAGAGAGGATATTTTCTTTGTTATTGTCAATTAGAATTAATGACTTTGAAAACAAGGTAGTCCAGTGTGTTAGAAGCTAAGAAAGAAACATTCCTGATAATGTTGTTTAGAATAAGATACAACACAGGCATATTAAATATGCCCTTAAAGGGCATGTCTTAAAAGGGTTATTAGGGGCCAGGCGTGGTGGCTCACGCCTGTAATCCCAGCACTTTGGGAGGCCGAGGCGGGTGGTTCACAAGGTCAGGAGATCGAGACCATCCTGGCTAACATGGTGAAACCCCGTCTCTACTAAAAATACAAAAAATTAGCCAGGCGTGGTGGCGGGCGCCTGTAGTCCCAGCTACTCGGGAGGCTGAGGCAGGAGGATGGCATGAACCCAGGAGGCAGAGCTTGCAGTGAGCCGAGATCACGCCACTGCATTCCAGCCTGGGCAACAGAGCAAGACTCTGTCTCAAAAAAAAAAAAAAAAAAAAAGGGTTATTAGGAAAATTTACTTGTGAAGCATACAAATCTCAAAAGAATCATAATTATACTCTATTAGTTATACAAGAGATGTTTTAGGAAGAAGTAGCTCCAAGCAGCACCATCTGGTCATGAAATGTGAAATCAGAGAAGCAAACAGGCTAACTTGGCCAAGCGATCCCATGTGCATATAGCCTGAGACCTCACAGTTCCCACCACAGAGAGACTATCCTGTCCAGTCAGGGAGAACAGCTCTCCATCCCCCATTACAAGGGGGCTGCGCTGTGCCTTCAGCAGTGGGAATAGGACTTACAGAACTACCCAAATGCTCATATGCAAAAGGGCTGGCCTGGGAGTAGGGTCCATTTTCACCTGGGTCAGGAGTCAGGGCTCAGCCTGTGTTTTTTTTATTGTTTTTTTTTTTTTTTTTTTTTTTTTTTGAGACGGAGTTTTGCTCTTGTTGCCCAGGCTGGAGTGCAATGGTGCTATCTCGGCTCACCGCAACCTCCACCCCTCGGGTTCAAGCGATTCTCCTGCCTCAGCCTCCCAAGTAGCTGGGATTACAGGTGCGCGCCACCATGCCTGGCTAATTTTGTATTTTCAGTACAATGGGGTTTCTCCATGTTGGTCAGGCTGGTCTCAAACTCCTGACCTCAGGTGATCTGCCTGCCTCAACCTCCTAAAGTGCTAGGATTACAGGCATGAGCCATTGCAAACGGCCAGCCTGTGCTTATAGATATAATTTGTCTCTTCATCAGCAGAGAGGACCCAACCCAACTAACAGTCCAAGTGTCAGTTTCGTTAGCAACTAAGGGGTCAGGGGAGGCTTGAGAGCCACGAACACAGAGCAGCAAGCAAAATGATCACTCAGGCAGCAGGAAGATAGGTCCACTTGGTTTTCCATCCTTAACCCTCTGTTCTGGACCTCCCAGCTCTGGATCAGGGAAACACTCCAAATACTTAGGAGCCCAGAGGAAGCATACGTACTGGGGTGGTCAGCTCTGGTGTGGTTATGGGGGTACAGGAGTTGTTCAGTTTCATCCCACTGCCCAAGTCAAAGTCACAGATTTTCACTGGAGACACCTGAAAAGGAAAACAGAAGACAGGGTCACAGATATAAGAAACTACGGGGCAAGAGGAGCCAGGCATGGCTGTACGGGTGCATGGCTCCGTGGCTGTCACACCGCAGCTGGTTTTGTCAGGTCATGTTTGCTCTCCGGAGGTTAACAAGAAGTCCCCTGAGGATTTCTTCCCAAGTGTCTTATTCCCTGAGCTCTCTTATTTCCCATCTAAGGGAAAAATGGGTGGACTATTTGGTGTCAGATTATTGTGAACTCAGACTAAAGGAAGTATGGAACTCTTGCTGGCAAATGATGGTACAGGTTGCAGCACAGCAGCTAGGGAAGTTACTGTGTACTCCTGAGAGACAGACTTCTTGCAGCCCATTCAGTGGAGTGTAAAGGAGCTTGCAGTAAAACCTCTGACCGCCTCAGGTGGCTTAGGGTGACCAACTTGTCTTGGGTGGCTTGCTTGGGACTTGATCAGTTTAAACACGGAAACTCCTGCGTTCCAGGAAACCCCTCAAGCCTGGGAAAACTGGGATGGTTGGTCACCGTAGGTGGCATCAACACAGTAACCAAGTCCACCAGAACTGGATGCTGTGCCTGAGACCACAGACAGGTGCCTCATCTCTGGAGCCAACCAGGAAGGCAGTTTGGGTGCACACATGAGAATGGATGAGAATGGCCTACATGGCATGTAAGCAGCACAGCGAGTGAACTAAATGCTGGTTCTCTGAGACCCATGTCCTTGCCGGGAAGCCTGGGCAAGTCCCTCGACTTCTTTCTCCCCTTCCTTCCTCCCTCCCCTTTTCTCTATTTTTTCTTCTTTTCTTTTTCCTTTAGCCTCTTATTAGTGGTAAAATATAAAGCATAAAATATGAGATTTTAGCCATTTTTAAGTAGACAGTTTAGTGGTATTAATTAAGTACATTCACAGGGTTGTGCAACCATCACCACGATCTGTTTCTAAAACTTTTCCATCACTCCAAACAGAAACTCTATACGCATTAAGCAATAACTCCCATTCTTTCTTCCCCTAGCCCTGGGTAACTTCCAATCTGACTTTATTAATTAAGACTTTCTGTCTTTATTAATTTGCCCATTCCAGATATTTCATATAAGTAGATTTACACAATATTTGTCCTGTTATGTTTGGCTTATTTCACTTAGCATAATGTTTTCAAGGTTCATTCATGTTGCAGCATGTATCAAAACCTCATTCCATTTTATGGCTGACTAGTATTCCATTGAATGTATGTACCACATTTTGTTTATCTGTTCAGCTGCTGATGACCACTTGAGTTGTCTCTACCTTTTTGGCTGTTGTGAACAATGCTGTAATGAATACTGCTATACAAGTATCTGTTTTCAATTGTTTTGGGTAATACCTAGGAGTGGAATTGCTGGGTCATATGGTAATTCTGTGTTTAGCCTTTGAGGAACCGCCAAACTTTTCCACAGAAGCTGCACCATTATATAATCTCACCAGCAATGTATGAGGGTTACGATTTCTCCATAACCGTAACAACACTTACTATTTTCCATTTTTTAAATTACAGCCTACCTAGTAGTATGTGGTGGTATCTCATTGTGGTTTTGACTTGCATTTCCCTAATGACTAAGGATGTTGAGCATCTTTTCATGTACTTGTTGGACATTTGTGTACCTTATTTGGAGAAATGTCTGTTCAAGTCCCGTGTCCATTTTTAAATTGGTTTGTCTTTTTGTTGTAGAGTTTTAGGAATCCTTTATATATTTTGGATATTAAACCTTGACCAGATATATGATCTGCAAATATTTTCTCACATTCTGTAGATTGTCTTTTCACTTTCTTGATAGATAATGTCCTTTGAAACTTAACCTCTCTTTTTCTTAAGAGACAGGGGTCTCACTATATCACCCAGGCTGGCCTCAAACTCCAGGCTCAAGCAATTCTCCTACCTCAGCCTCCTGAGTAGCTGGGACTACAGGCATGCAACCGCTGTGACCAGCTAATTTTTAAATTTTTTGTGGAGATGGGGTCTCGCTTTGTTGCCCAGGCTGTTCTTAAGCTCCTGGCCTCAAGGGATCCTCCTGCCTCAGCCTCCCGAAGTGTTGGGATTATAGGCGTGAGCCACTGCCTGGTCCCAATTATTCCTCTCTTTCGCCTTGCCTTTCCTCACGTTCTTGTTATGAGACAGAATCTCTGCTGCCCAGGCTGGAGTGCAGTGGTGCAATCATGGCTCACTGGCTATACATGTTTCCTAACTTGAGTTTCAGTTTCCTCGTCCATAAAATGAAGGTAATAATAGTATCTACCTCATGATATTTCATAAACACTAAATAAATATAAGTGCCTGGCACAATGTAAGCACTCAAGAAGTGTTCACTGTAATTATTAGTAGTAATCATCATAATAATGATAAATTATAAAGGTCTACGACAGAATCAGTGACAGAAGTCACAAGATCTTATTTGAGCGAATCCATTATTATTCCCCATAAAAGAGTTGTGAGTAGCAGACTGACTCATTCATTCAAGGCCACCCCTTATTTATGAGCCGCGGCTTCATCCAGACCACAATATATATGCTCTTGAATACACACATGTATATACACGCAGAGCTGTGAACGTGGGCCCCAACACCACCAGTGCCTAAATCTCTCCTAATAAACACAGAATTTGTCAAATTCATACACTTCCGTTTACTTAAAGAGATCTGCTTCACATAAGATTAAGTTGTTTGGCTGGGCATGGTGGCTCACGTTTGCAATCCCAGTACTTTGGAAAGCCAAGGCAGGTGGACTGCTTGAGCTCAGGAGTTCGAGACCAGCCTGGCTAACATGGTGAAACCCCTGTCTCTACTAAAAATACAAAAATTAGCCAGGTGTGGTGGCACATGCCTGTTGTCTCAGCTACTTGGGGGGCTGAGGTGGGAGAACCACTTGAGCCTGGGAAGTCGAGGCTGCAGTGAGCTGTGATCATGCCACTGCATTCCAGCTTGGGTGGCAAAGTGAGACCCCGTCTCAAAAAAAAAAAAAAAGTATTTACGACTTCCATCAACTGATATAAAGATAGATGCATTGGACTAGAAAATATTAATTTTGTGCAGGTCTCATATATTTTCCAAACTCTCAGGCTTACATCAATCACACTGATGATCAAGAGCGAAGAAAGGACGAGGATGGGCAGAAACATCACACAGTAAGTGTAACATTCTCACATGTCCAAGACGATCAGTTCAAGTTGGTGTCTGAGGCCAACGGAACTGCTAACAATCCATCCTGAAAGCAAGGGTGGCTTCCTCGGTAAGTATAAACTATAACATTCCAAATCAGGCCCAAAGTACCTTTTCTGGAGATTCACACAATATATTTTCTGGTTTCAGATCACGATGAGCAATGCCTGACATGACAAAGAGCAAAAAAATGGTTAACATATGCAGATAATTATCAAACATTCCACACACAATTAATTTTTTCCAAATGCTGTAGTTCGCAGATTAATTCCCAATTATGGTACATTAAAAAATCAACGAGCTGCAGGAGGCAGAAGTAACCAGCGACACAAACCAAAAGCACAGTTGATTCTGCGGGTTCTTTTGAAGAGGAGGCTTTAGAAGTCTGGCAGGGATAAGAAGGGCTAAATGAATCCCAGCCAGCCTACCCCTCAGTACCACAGTGACCACCAAGAAGAAGGCCTAATGCAGAGCAGAGCAGAGAGCTCTGCAAACGGCAATGCTTGGAACAGCAATGCAGAAATAATTAGTGCCTTGTTTAAGAGCATCTCAGGGGGCTTAACTGCTCTACCTCATTTCTTCTTGTGTGGCCGATTTAAAAAAAAAAATTCCTTCAGTGCGACTGTCTGAATGTTCAGAGGAGCAAGTGTTAGTTACCAAATCTCCCAAAGTGACCTATTCCCTTCTCACCTGCTTTGCATGTCTAAGGCAGCCCTGCCAGCAGCAGAGCAAAGACCGCTTTGGCACCAGGATGCTGTTATTTTTGTTTTTTAAAATAGAGATGGAGTCTCGCTATAGCCAGGCTGTTCTTGAAATCCTGGCCTTAAGCAATCCTCCTCCCTTGGCCTCCCTAAGCATGGGGATTACAGGTGTGAGCCACCTCGCTAGGCCCACTGAGGGTTGCTGTTTTTAAGAGAAAACCTCTGCACTTTGGCCAGGCCTCCTGAAGGCGACTGGAGATAGCAGCTTAGCCCATGAGGGGTTAACCTGCTGACCTGGCCAAGAAGGCACCTCGGGGAGAGCCCTCTTCTAACCAAAGAAAGGGACAAAGAACTAACTCTGGGTCATGGTGTTTTGGTGGAGGACACAGAAACCTCCCTTTTGTCTTTCCTTCCACAGCACATGCAGCACAGAGACAGGGCTGGAAGGCTGAGCAAGAGTCAGAGCTACAGTTGGAAGTATTGGAAAGCGGCAGCGGATTCTCGGGGTGATGGGAAAAGCAAAATCTGCTTCACTAAAACTCCGTCGGTGATCAACTTTTTCAGCAGTCCTCCGATTCCCGACTAGAAGGCAAAAGCCTGGCCCAGGCCACGGGAGGCACTTCACTAAAGAAGAAAAACCTGAGCTCCAGCAAGCTCAGTAACTTCATCAGTCACCTAATTGAACGAGAACCCAGAGCAACTCAGTCCAGGCTGCACAAATTGAGTAGCACTGCTCTGCAGCTCGCTGCACTAAAAGTGGAAGATATTTTCCATTACAGCAAGTGCTCCCACAGAAGGATCACGAGCCACACACGGAGCCTTACTCTCCAAATAGGCGCCCATGGCCCAGTCGTCCCTTAGCCTAAGAACTCAGAGAGCCAGGCTGTAATAATGGGGCTGCCGTGTGAGCACAGCAGCCATCGAGCTGCTCCGGTTCATTTCCCAGAGGTTGAGCTGCAGTGTGTCCAGTATTTAAAAGTATGGAACTTGTTTCAGGGCTGACCCATTCTTGCCCAATTCATCTTCCCCGTGTGAAGTTATTTAGCAAACAGCCAAGTTCAGCTGGAAATCGTTTTTCATCCCCTCCAACTTCTAGTCACATGGGCAGCTGGCCAGCTACATGTTAACAAGCGCCTCAGAACTCCTAAGACACCACCGGCCTCTGTTCCCTTCAGTGCATTCTTGTAAATAAATAAATAATAAAACCTGCCTTTACCACCCCCTCCAAGGTGTGGATCTTGTAAAAAGCGTGACCCAGTTTTGCAATCTACAGAGGCAGCTTGGGGAGCAGTTGTAAATCTTTGTCAGGCAGGTGTTACCTCTATGCATCCCAGCTTTCAGAAACAGAGCTGATGCTATTCATCATGCTGCGGAAGGTACAGACACCCCCTTCTAGTTTTCATCCTAGGTGCAAGTCAGGGCCCCAACATGGGCACTGTCAGTATGCAGACCTCTTTCAGCCACTGGAGGAGGGAGGTGGGGTCAATGAACCTGAACCTCCTGGACATGCGCCACACTGGTCTGCACCGGATTGTGGGCACCAGGTGGGATGTGTGAGTGGCATGCCTACCACTGGTCCCGGGCACCCACAACCAACATGGCTGGCCAACATCCGCAACAGCAGAGGGGGCAGACCTAAGTCACAAGTTATTCATTTCACTCCCACCCCCAACAGGCAGAATGCTTTAAGGGAATTAATATTAGGAATAAAAATGCTTTCTTCCTGGTGGGAGGTGAGGATGGAGGAAATCGTTATTTATTGAAGAACTATGACATACCAGGAACTATGCTCCATCTATGCTGCACATATACAATACAAACACAAGATACACATTTTTCATCTATAAAAAGCTTAGAATAGTGCCTAGCACATACCAAGTGCTATATAGTGTTAACTACAGTCGATGATGTTATTATCTCAAATTCTCACCATAGGGTAGGCATTATTACTGAGAGAACACATAGCTAGAAGAAAAGTGAAACCAGAATTCATTTTTTCCAGGGTACTGCTGTTAGGCAAATTTAAAAAAAAGTATGTAATAGTCAAACAGATTTATGGAAATGTAAAAACAATTTGTGGAAAGATTTAATTCACTACAAAAGTTCCTGAATAATCAGTCATAGGAAAGGGGCTGTAACCTGAAGCGTAAATCAAATACTAGTAACCTGTGAGTTACCAATGTGCTTTTCAACAGATACCTCAAATGTACATGTTAATAGAAAAGTATAAGCTGGGCACAGTGACTCACACCTGTAATCCCAGCACTTTGGGAGGTTGAGGCAGGAGGATCGCTTGAGCCCAGGAGTTTGAGACCAGCCTGGGCAACAGAGGGAGACCCCATCTCTACAAAAAAATACAAAAATTTCCAGGTGGTGGCACACACCTGTAGTCCCAGCTACTTGGGAGGCTGAGGTGGGAGGATCACTGGAGCCCAGGGAGGTTGGGGCTGCAGTGAGCCCTGATGGCGCCATAGCACTCCAGCCTAGGTGACAGAGAGAGACTTTGTCTAAAAAGGAAAAAAAAGGAAAAAGAAAAATAGATTTTTCATTTACTGTGAACAAGATATATTAAACTACATATATCCTATCATGCCAATTTTGAAAAGAGACAGAGGTGATGTATATTTTAAGACTAGAAGGAATAACATCAAGATATTCACACTAAGAAGGTTGTATTGTGTATGAGCTTTATATTCCTCACACGATAAGAATCTAAGAAAAGAAACATCATCCACACACAGTCACACATACCCTGTTCAATGTGAAATTTATTCTTTCTCCTCCCTGCTCTTTCTCCTGTATCCCTGTGCTGCTCAACAGCTTCACCACCCACCCACCATCCGCAGCATAAGCCTAGGAGCCATCCTGGACTGTTTCTCCCTCAACTCCCATGGGTGAGCATGTTCACACCTCAAGCTGCCTTCCAGCCACACCATCTCCTGCACCAGCCCTCTGCCTGGCCTACCACCTCCCTTGGTACCCAGAGGCTGGCCAGCCCAACCCACCCACCAAGGCAAAGGCTGGGTTCACCTTTGGTATGCAGGAAGTCAAGGGCAGCAGCAACGTCCCGCACCACTCGGCTGGCTTCTCGCTCATTGAAGTGCTTTTGCTTCTGGATGTGGGCTAAGATGGAACCTGGGGAGCAGAGGGGACATAGAAGAATGCCTTTTTGGGCTCTAGTAAGTATAAGTTTTTTTTTTAGACGAAGTCTCACTCTGTTACCCAGGCTGGAGAGTAGTGGCACGATCTCGGCTCACTGCAACCTCCGCCTCCGGGTTCAAGCGATTCTCCTGTCTCAGCCTCCTGAGTAGCTGGGATTACAGGCAGGCACCACCATGTCCAGCTAATTTTTGTACTTTTTTTTTTTAGTAGAGATGGGGTTTCACCATGTTGGTCAGGCTGGTCTCGAACTCCCGACCAAGTGATCCGCCTGCCTCAGCCTCCCAAACTGTTGGGATTACAGGCGTGAGCCACTGCGCCTGGCCGTATAACTTCTTAGAGGCCAAGTTTTCCCAAGTTTGGAAAACTTGGGGTGGGGACATAGGGATTCATCGCTGACTCATCACTACCTGTCCAGCTCCAAGTGTGGGGCCTGGTACGGAGGAGGTACCAGCTTGTATGTCTGTTAAACAAAACTGGACTACTCTCTTCTGTACCTGTCTATGAGGAGCTCAGAAGCGAGAGAGAACAACTATAAATAGGGCCAAAAAACACTAATGATGCTGAGGCTGATTTGGCTTCTGCAATCAAAAGGAATAAAACTGAAGGCACTTGGAGCTGAGGGGGCCTTTCTGCAGCAACGTTTTCTCCCCTGCATCTGATCTCTGATCCAAACAAGAGCACAAACTTTCAAATGGAAATGCCACACCCTTGCCAGACATGTAAAGGCCTGGGAAAAGGGGGGAAAAATGGGTTTTCCGCCTGAGCTTTCCCATTCATTATTGTTTTGTTGGCAATGGCTAACATTTACTGAGTAGTTACTAGTGCCATGTGCTATGGAATACTCTTGAAATAAACTGTCTTATTCTCACCACAATTGGACAAAATGGGTAGTACACTTATTCTCGTTTTACAGAGGGAGATCCTGAAGCCAAAAAGAAAAATGGTTGAGCAACTTGCCCAAGATTACGCACCAGTAAGGGGTGAGGCCAGGACTTAGGCCCAGGGCGTCAGTCAGGCCTCCGAGTCTGTGCAGACATCCCCCAGCAGGACTTGTGGTCTGACTGCTGCAGGGATGGACTCTCTTGAGCCAACCACACTGGGTCTGGCCTCAATAAGCTACATTAAGTTTACTGATATGGCGACAGAGGATCCCATCTGCATGTAGCATTTCAAACATGTAATTAACAGTCAGTCATGTGTTATTGGGTGGTGCAGGGGCAGACACAGGCAGGAACATGTGGCTTGGCTTCATGTGGTTTATGTTTACTACTAGAAGCCAGCATTTCTGGGCTGAAGGTATTATCTCTCTGTCCTAAAAATGGCACATGTCTACTGTTTTTTAGGGGGGATGGGGAGGGCATGAGAGAAGGGGAAGAACTGCCAAAGATTGTTCGCTTGCCAGATTAAACAACGGATCCCAATGTGCTAGGGAACATTCCCAGAAAACCGGCTCATGACTAGGTCCTAGCTTGCTCTGCTGTAGTGAGCCTCGTTTCCAAATCTGTTAAAAGGAAAAGCAGAGAATAATGCTTTACATACTTTTTTTTTTTTTTTTTTGAGACAGAGTCTCACTCTGTTGCCCAGGCTGGAGTGTAGTGGTGCGATCTCGGCTCACTGCAACCTCTGCCTCCCAGGTTCAAGCGATTCTTCTGCCTCAGCCTCCTGAGTAGCTGGGATTACAGGCATGTGCCAGCACACCCAGCTAATTTTTGTATTTTTAGTAGAGCCGGGTTTCACCATGTTGGCCAGGCTGGTCTTGAACTCCTGACCTCAAGTGATCTGCCCACCTTGGCATCCCAAAGTGCTGGGATTATAGGCGTGAGCCACTGTACCTGGTCTACTCTACATACTTCTAAGACATCCCCCAGCATACCAAATTGTTTTAATAATATTAGCAGCCAACATTTATTGGGCCCTTAGTGCCTACCAGACACTGTCCTAAGCATTTCACATGAATTATCTCATTTAATCTTCACAGCAACCCAGTGAGGTAGGTGCTATCAATATCTCTATTTTATAGAAGGGAATATTGTTTAGAAAAGGTTAAGTGACTTGCCCAAGATCACATGGCTAGTAAGTGATGCAGCTAGACATAACATAAGCTTTAGCTGTGTTGGTTTCTAAAGCACGCTCCCTCAACCACCAAGCCCCTCCGTGTGGCCCTCCATGCAGTTCCAGACATCCCTGCAAGTGTGTCCTAAGATTGGGGGAGTGATGGGAAGGGAAAGGGTTTCTCTACCCCACCTCATTATGTCAGAAAAGCAACTTAAGTATACACCCCAGTGATTATGTGTGTGGGTGATGGCATCTTTCCATCTGAAGGATGGCACATTCTCAGGCTTCCCCTTTATCCTGGGTCTGTGTCCCAAACAATAGGACCCTCCTCTCCTCTGTTTTAGCCTTTCTAGACTTCGCAATGTATTTGAGAGCTTCCACCCCATAATTAATGTAGTTAAACAGTGAACATGTCAAAACGGGATTGATAAATCGATGACTAAATGTATCTATATATGACTCCTATTATAATGAAAAGGCATTTATAAAATACCCACACAGGTGACATTCTAAGCTCTGCAAAATGCTAATTATCATCCTTCCCTCCGGCCTCCCTTCTCCCAAATCAAGGGCAGTTTTTAAGTCCTTCATCCTTTTTATTAGCTTGACTCGTTTTGGAAGTCTCTGGGATTCATGATGGATGATCACCACCCTGGGTCTTAATCAGAAGTCCACACACATACTCAACGGTAAGTACCTCCTTGCAATTTCTCAAAGACCAAGTAAAACCTTGTGTCATCTTCAAAGAACTCAATCAGCTCCAAAATGTTCCTTAAATAGGGAAAATAGGAGGAGAGGGAAAAGGGGGGAAATGGTATTATATATTAAAGTCTACTTACAAATATACAATGAAAAAAATATACAACACCTGGTAGTGGGGCAGAAACCAACTTGAAATCAGAATGCTTATTAAAGACCCGCGTATGGAAGCAGCCAATGGTGTTAGCAAGATTCAGGTCACCTTATCTTTCCATAATGTTTAGTCTCTGGTGTTTTCACCAAGTCTGTGCTGTCAAACCCCAGCCCTAAAACCCACTAGGTAGAGTTATAAAAAAGTCCCGGTCACATTAAACTGAATAAAATCTGCAGCCGACTGGAAGCAATTGCGGCTAATAACACTGAATACTAGGTGTGTGTCCTGGAGGCAAGCAGCAAATAATTACTTGCCCTCCCTCTTGCCCATAAATCACGGGGCAGTATTTACATTGCCTGGAGAAAATGGAAACATCTGTCAAATGGACTTGGGGCCTAACATGGGCACCGCTAGACCCTAACTGCTAAGCGCTGCTTAATGAAACGGCCGCGTTCCTGGCCACTGTAGCACTTGTGGCCTTCCCCGGTGAGCACTCTCTGTCTGCCCGAGTATTTCAGTGCTCTGCCAACAAGGTCGTCTTGTAACTCAGTAGGGAAGCCACCAGCCTGGATATTGGAGGTGTTGTGGGCTTTTTTTCTTTTACAAAATAAAATAAACCAAGTAGAGTCTCTAATGCTGAACTAAGAAGCTGCAGGGCTGAAAATAAAAATCTGTCCCTCATAAAAAAAATGCTGACTACTTTGGGAGATATGAGGCTTTTACTAGTGTGAAGGCATCCAAATAAGATGGGCAAAATGGCCTAATTTGAAAGAAGATTGTGGAGGCAGTGCCTGGAGTTAAATCAACAGCAGCCCCCGTCCTCCAATCCTCCAAGCTTAATGACAAAGCCATCAATACCAGGCCACTGGCTCCCTGCTGACCCTACCGTGGAGGGAGAGAGGGGGAAGTGGAGTCTTAGAGGTGCCCCTGATTTAAAGCCACAGTGGGAGAGCTGCTCATTTGGAGCTGGTGGTGGGCAGAATGAACTGGGGCTAGAGATGAGCCGGACCCAGCTATCTGGAAGGTTCCAGGATCTTAGTGGTATCTGCACATATGTAAACATTCTAGGAGCAGAAACAGCAGCAAATATTCTTAACAGTTCTCCTCATCTTGGTATTAAGGCAAGTCCTTAAAGATTTCTACCAGGCAACACTCAGTCAACCTAGTTTCCACAGGTACCGAAAGAAATAAAACCCCATTTCCCCCCAACAACCACTGATTCAGATAGTTCATTCTTCTAACTTGCTTGAATTGATGATATTTACAGTATTTCAGAAGAGATAATAGCTCCTTTGCTGTTACTGCTGCTTTTCCTTTCTCTCCCTAACACTGAAAGGGGCGGAAGGAGGTACCTGCCTTGTGGGGACAGGAGTGAGAGCTAAATGCTGGAGTCAGGAGATGGTAAGAAATAGCCTCCTCTTCTGTGGCCAAGCGTCCCCCCAGAGAAGCAGCGAGAATCACATGATACTCACTTGTTTCCCTGACACTGATACAGCGTCTCCACCTCTCGAAACACCCTACTCCGACTGTGCCCTGCTTGTTTCTCGATGATCTGTGGGAAGAATAAAATCTGTCATGTACACCCACCTGACTTCCAAACAGCCCTTTGGCAGGAGTCCTCTGGGAGAATGCAAGGCCACACTCAGTCCAAATCCAGTGTCCAGCAGAAGTCTGGCCTAGGCCTTGGTGACACCGGCACTGTGGCTCTGTTGGCAAAGCAGCAGACTGGCCTCAGGGCTTTCCAGCTCAGCTGAGCCCATTCCACTCTGGCCAAGCACAACACCAAGGAAGTGAATGAGGCTGCTGCCCCCAGCTGCCCAGGGGAGACTGAGGCAGCCGGCAAGACAAAGAGCTACCTTACTCAGCTCCACCTCCTGTGGACACCTCTTTCTGCCTTAAGGGTAAGCATTTACTGCATCTACTGAAGGATCTTCTCATGCTGGAGGGAGAGGCTGATGCAGGACACCGTGGCGAGGAGCTAAAGCTTTGACACCCAGCTCAGAGGCTGCCTCCACGATCCCCCTGGCAGAAGTAGGCTCTTCCTCTTCTGAGAACTTACTCTCTGGCAGATACTGTGTTAAATGATTTATTTACGGCCGGGTGTGGTGACTCACACCTGTAATCCCAGCACTTCTGGAGGCTGAGGTGGGTGGATCACCTGAGGTCAGGAGTTCTAGACCAGCCTGGCCAACACGGTGAAACCCCGTCTCTACTGAAAATACAAAAAAATTAGCCAGGCGTGGTAGTGGGTGCTTGTAATCCCAGCTACTCAGGAGGCTGAGGCAGGATAGTCACTTGAACTGGGGAGGCGGAGGTTGCAGTGAGCCGAGATTGTGCCATTGCACTCCAGCCTAAGTAACAGAGAGACTCCATCTCAAAAAATAAATAAATAAATAAATAAATAAACAATAATAATTTATTTACATAATCTCAGTTGACCTTTATGACAACATCAAAAGATAGGGAGGTATGAAACATTTGCCTGCAGTCCAGAGCTGACTCCTAAGCCCTTGCTATCCCATACCTGCTTAGATGCTCTAACTTCTTCGAGGACCTGGAGGCTTTGTCTCTCCTGTGATACGGTGGGCTGCTCCCCCTCCACACTTTTACCTGAGATGCTTGTCAAATGCTGACTGAAGGAACAGATAAGCCAACAGATGGGAGGGTGGTTTCCAAAGGGACTGGCTGCCTCTGCAAAGCTCTCTGGACCCATCTGGAGCCTCAAACCACTGCACACCGAGCCTGTGAGCAAATCTGCAGAGCCTAGCTCTGCCTTACAGCTCCAACGTGCACAGTGGGCAGCACAATGACATCCTCTTCCTTCATTGAGACTTCAAACTTCTCCGATATGATGTGGCACAGACATCTGTGACCAACTGCAATTTTCTAAATAAGTGTGTCTGTTTGTAAACCACAGTGGGCCCATTATCTGAATGGAGAGGTGTAGTGCTGGGGAACAGAAGTGATTCAACTTCATTCCCCAAGCATTTCAGATCAAAGTCATGAAGAACTTTCTAGCAGGCAAGCCTTCCACAGCACAGTCTTCTCTGAGGAAGTAATGGGCTCTTGCTACTAGAGATGGGGGAGCAGAACATGGACAACTATCTGGGGAGTCAGAGGAAATTCAGGGTTATCTTGAAATTCCATCCCAACCTTGAGAGTCTAGGATCAGCTGGGTGCCTATAGGAAAAGCTGTAATAAGCTAAGTATTGTGGGGCCATGTTGGGAGAAGTAGCCCATCTCTAGGGAGCTTTGAAAGAGTAGGGGAGAGAAGAAACATGGGCAGAACTGCTGAAACCAAGGAATTGCCAAGCCAGAGTCCAGTGTTTGCCTCAAAGATGCCAGGGGGGATGTGGAGGAAGGGCCAGGTTTTCCTCCCATTATCCAACCTTGAAGAAATATACCTCTCATCCATAAATGTATTGAAACCTTTGAAAATCAGTTTATGTTTGTGGTTTTTACCGCATTTAGACAGATATATCAATTTTTTTTTTTTTTTTTTGAGACAGAGTCTCCCTCTGTTGTCCAGGGTGGAGTGCAGTGGCACCATCCTGGCTCATTGCAACCTTTGCCTCCTGGGCTCAAGTGATCCTCCCACTTCAGCCTCCCAGGTAGCTGGAATTAGACGCACATGCCACCACACCAGGCTAACATTTTTTTTTTCTTTTTGTGACAGAGTCTTGCTCTGTCGCCCAGGCTGGAGTGCAGTGGTGTGATCTCGGCTCACTGTGCAACCTCTACCTCCCGGGTTCATGGGATTCTCCTGCCTCAGCCTCCCAGGTAGCTGGGATTACAGGAATGCACCACACCCGGCTAATATTTTTGTATTTTTAGTAGAGATGGGTTTCACCATGTTGGCCAGGCTGGTCTTGAATTCCTGACCTCAGGTGATCAGCCCGCCTCAGCCTCCCAAAGTGCTGGGATTACAGGTGTGAGCCACATGCCTGGCCTAATTTTTCTATTTACACTTAGGCGTATGTTTTAAAAATCACTTGTAATTTATACTGAGCTGTTTCCCAAAAGAAATTAAGACAGTGCTCTTGTTACCATGTGAAGCAATACTCCAGCTGAAAGGAACGTGGCTTAGCAGACTTGCTCAACCTTCTAACCCGCAGCTGGGACTGTGGAAAGTTGGTTCAAAGAAGAGAAAACATTTCCTTCAGGAGCCCACTGGGCTGGGATTGCCAATGTGAGGTGGCATTTGACCTGGTGGCTCAGGTGGGTGATTTGAAATCAGCTTGGATTTAAAAAGACCCTTTCTCTAGGTCAGTTAGTCCTCAAACTTTGGTGGCTATGAGACTCAAGTGGGGAATCTGGTCAAGCCACAGAGATCCAGACCCTATCCTACATCTGGAAACCTGGATCTGTGTGTGCTTTGTTAGAGCTCTAAGGGCTTCTAACACATAGTAGCATTCACAACTGCCCTTCCTACAACAGTAGTCCTCAAGGATTAGTGAGTGTCAGAGTCACCAGGAGAGTTTGTTAACATTTGTATTGCTGGGCCCACCCCTGTTTCTGAGTTGGTACTTCTCAGGTAGGGCCAGGTAGCTTCTATTTCTAACAAGTTCCCAAGCGATGCTGAGGCTGGTCCAGGGCACACATTTTGAGAACCACTGCTCAAGATCCAGCTCTTCTTCCATGTGGAGAGGGCAAGTGGAGGCACAGAGGGGTGACATGAGCCACTCCAAGGCCTTACAGCTAATTAAAGGCAGCAATGAGGCCAGAAGCCACTTCTCCTGCCCCAAAACTGAGTGCTCAGTCGCTTTAGTTTTGTTTTCTTCTTTTAATTTTTTTTTTCTGAGACATCATTCAGATGTTACCAAATCAGTCACCTTAGTTTTTAATCCTCACTATCATGCTAACATCTAACACTTGGATAGCATTTTGTGACGTGTAAAGTGTTTCCACCTCTCCCAGGATATTTTAATTTTCATCTTCATAACTGCCTCAGGAGACTGAAGGGCAGGTATCATCATTTAGAGATGTAGGAACTGAGGCTTACGGACATTTGATGACTTGCCCAAAGTCAAACAGTTATAGTTTGTCAAAATAGATATTCAGGTAGGCCTTCTAATTCCAAATCTGGTTGTCCACTCCCTGAAGCTGACTTCATTTGTCAGAATAATGAGAAACTTACTATGAGCCAGGCATTGTGCTAAGCACTTTACCTATATTAACTTATTTAATCCTCACAACAATTCTACATAGGTTCTAGTATTATACCCATTTTACAGATGAGAAAACTGAAGGACAGAGAAGTTAAGTAACTTGCCCGAGGTACACAGTAAGTAGAGAAACCAAGATTTGAATCCAGTGAATACAGCTTCAGAGTCCCCATTCTTATGGAATATAACATTTATTTGGTTCAAGATGAGCTAGGAATGACTATTTGCAAAGTAAAGCCTGGCATTCAGCTGAGACACTCACTTTGACGGCATACTCTTTGCCATTCTGTAGGCTCACGGCACCTTGAACTTTGGCATAGGCTCCCTCTCCAAGCAATTCAGAGGTCAGCTTGTACATATCTAGAGGTGAAATGGATGAGAGGAATAACAAGATGAGTCACCCTACTGCAAGCTCAGATGGGAAGAACTTTTGTGGCTCAGCTTCCCTGATCAGACGACACAGGCACCCAATGACTCTAGCACTCAGTGACAAGGAAGACAAGTAGCTTTCCCAGCCACCTGAGGACCCAGTTTCTCAACAACAAGACCACATACAAGGCATCCTGTTCCTCATTTTAGCGATGAGGTTAGCAAAAGGGTCTCAATTCGGCACATACTTCCTGAATATCTACTATGTGCCAGACAGCATAACAGAGTAAGGAATAAAATAAAGGCCAGGTGCAGGGGCTTACACCTGTAATCCTAGCACTTTGGGAGGCCAAGCCAGGAGGATTGCTTGAGGCCAGGAGTTCAGAACCAATCTGGCCAACATAGCAAGACCCCATCTCTAAAATATATATACGCATGATCCCTCTCCTCTAAGGGTCGCAGTCCAGTGGGGAAGACAGACACATACACAGGTGACCCCAGAATAAACCAGGCATTGGTAAATACTATCACAGAGGGACAAAGTACAGTTAAAAAAAAAAGTTGGGGGAAGAAAGGGTTAAATCTGTTCAGAGAGGCTGGGCATGGTGGCTCACACCTGTAGTCCCGGCACTTTGGGAGGCCGAGGTGGGCAGATCAAGAGGTGAAGAAATCGAGACCATCCTGGCCAATGTGGGAAACCCCGTCTCTACTAAAAATACAAAAATTAGCTGGGTGTGGTGGCACGCGCCTAAAGTCCCAGCTATTTCGGGGGCTGAGGCAGGAGAATCGCTTGAACCCGAGAGGCGGAGGTTGTAGTGAGCCAAGATCGTGCCACTGCACTCCAGCCTGGTGACAGAGTGAGACCCCATATCAAAAAAAAAAAAAAAAAAAAAAAAAAAAAATTGGTCAGAGAATCTGGAGGATCATCAGAGGAGAAGTGGTATGATTTGAATGAATATTCATTTACTCATTTACTGAGCACCTATTATGTGCCAAGTTCTGTGTAAGCACTGGCTATACAAAGGAGAATAAAACACTGTTCTATTTTATACCCCATACATGGAAGTCATTGGAGGCTTCTGAGAAGTCTCCAGAAGTCACCCACAGGAAATAGAAGTAGGATGCAAAGGACACCTTGAGGTTTTTAGGGTACTGAGTCATAGTTGTTCTAACAGAGTAATAGACCTGGGTTAAAGGAACATCTAGATGACCTGCCCAAGCTCACAAAGAGCACAGCTCTTTGAGCCCCTTCCAAAGGAGGCTACATCTCCATCACAGCACTAGCTGCCTGACCTCATCCCCACTCGGCCTCCATTCTTCAGCCTTTTCCTCTTGAGGCACCTAGCATTGAAACCCACAGCCTGAGCAGAAGACATTTCAACCATGAATTAGATTTTATCACTCTCAGTCAGGAGAAGTCCTGTCATTGCACAAGCTGTCCTTAAAAATAGGAAGTACTCTCTTGTGTTAACTGAAAGAGCAAAAGAGCTGTTGATTAGGAAACTATTTGAATACCTTGGGATCTTTGTCTCTCCCCCATCCCCATACCCTGACACACACAGACACACACACACAGACACACACCCCTGCTGTTTGAGTTAAAGGCAAACAAAAAACCCCTGCTGAAAGTACCTTCTTGGTTCCATCACGGTTTGGTCTTTCAGTTGTTTATAAGAGCAGATGGCACACTGTTATTCGTAAGTGTTTTAAATGACATGCTTCTCACAATGGACACATTGGCATTAGCCCTTTACACATATCAGGATAGGTGGGTGGCTGGAGGTCCCATATTCCCAACCGATAAAGTGCTTGTTATTGGAACCACTTTACAGAACAGCCAATTCACTAGTGTGTCTGGAAGGCTGGAAGGAGGGACCAAGAGGCGAAGCTACTTCAGACCTCACAACGAAAGAAAACAAAACAGATGAAGTGGGGCACGTTACTCCTAGGAGTAGCTACTGATCCTCTTGGTGCTTTGCACAAGTGTCCAATCACCCCATCACATGCCCAGTGATAACAGGACCCACACTGAGCCTAGTGCCTCGCACACAGAGAGTGTCAAAAAATGTCTGATGACCCAACATCGTTTCTACTGAACACAACACGTATTCTTTAAAATGTAGTCAAACACACACAGCATAAGTAGCTACAATCTGAGAGACAAATTCTCTGCTTACAGGAGACTGAAGTTTCATTTGCGGCCATGGCCTTTGGTGTTTCTCTCTTCCTCTTATATAGTTCTATCTCTCAGCAGCCCCTCCAGGAATAGCTGAGGGAAGAATCACATCTGAAAAAAGGAAGACCCCAGGCAATGCCACTGATAGATGGGTCTTCCTGCTCCCTGAAAAGGAAGCAGTACCTGAGCCATTCACAGGAGGCCAGTGCATCATCTGAGAGCTTTTTCCATCCCTGCTCTCTTTCTGTAATGCCCTGTGTAAACTCCCTCATCCCCATCTTATCTCCCTACCACACAGATAACCACCATCTGGCTCTAACTTGACGCATTCTGTGATCGGACCTGTGGCTCCCGGGATGCTCCTCCCATGCTTGGGAAGCTGCAGGCCCAGATATAGGGAAGTTGTGTGACCAACCTTCAAACTTTCCTGGCAAGGAGTCAGTGGCCCGGCCCCTCCGCTTCTTCTTCCTCCTCCTGTCACCATCTGCGATGGGAAGGGGTTCGCTACTGCCCATCTCTAGGAGATAAGAGGAGATGTAAGGGAAACATCACTGTACTGATCAAGCTGTAAATTTACCCAGAAGGAAAAAAAAAAGGTAGTGGGGGAGGACCCAGGAGGTTTACACTGATGGTTTTTAAATATCTGTGAAGACTATTGATTTGTTTTGACCTAGGAGGAAAAACTAAAGGCAAAGCCATTATGGGAGATCATTAACTGTGGAAAGGAGCTCAGACAGGCAGGCTAGATTAAAAGAGGCCAGCGGAAGCCTGCTTTAACCAAGCTCATTAGCGCGTGGATTTAGATCTGCCACTGGTCAAACCATATTCCCCAAACAGAACAATGACTCCATAGGCAGAACCCCACCTGTGACATCCTCCAGCCTCAGCATCAGAAAGGCAAAACCGAGAGAGCTAGGCAAGAAGGGGGTTGGGAGTGGGGGACCATGCAGATGAGTCATAGGCTCAGCAACATCGCTATGGATGCACACAGGGCACAAATGGCCTGGAGTGGAGACAGCCTCTGTGAAGGTAGCAATAGGGCTGGGGTTCAAAATAGCCCCAAATTACTTCATGTCCAAGAGCACGGACTTGAGTGCCTATGGAGCCTACGGCATCCTCTCCTCCCATAGCTCCTCCATCGGAAGGGCTGCAGGTAGTGCCCATTCAGAAGTCGGCAGTTGACAGGTCTGTGCCAGGCTGCTGGATGAGGTCACTTATTGCAAAAAACCTTATTATCTTTCATTGGCAAGCACCTGGCTCCCAATCTTAAAAGGAGGATTTGTGAGGCAGGCATTCAGACACTGCACAGATTGGGCAGAAAAAGTCCGGATGGAAAGAATAAGCAGGACACTGAGATAGGAAAGAGAAAAGGAGGAACAGTGAACCAGTGCCCAATCACAGTCCTGTTTCTAAGACACTCTAGTATGGGCCTTTCCCTGTTAAAGATAAATTACTTATAGAACATGTCATGCCCCTGATCCAGAGTGGAGCTTTAATACTCTTTGCCTGCAGTTAGAAATAATAAGATTTCTCCGAAGTCTCTGGGTCTAAATCCCCACCAGCGTGATTAAACCTTTACATCCTTCTAAAATAGAGGCACTCGAGTGCTGATGGGGCATACGATGTGAGAGACTTTTAGACCAACCTTCAATAAACACAGGCTCTTGGTTGTTGGTGTTTTTTTTTTTTTTTCTTTCTTTTTTTTCTGAGAGCTTTTAAAATGGAAGCTGGTTCTTTGCCCATTGAGGGGAAAGGCCCACTCTCTTCTCAGAGGATCTGGCGGCATACGACCAGAGAAAGAGCAAGTCTGCTAGGAAGACTGATTAGTGCTCATGCAGGTCCATACACTGTTCTCAGACGCAAGTACGTGACAGCCATCCGGAGAGAGCACACAGGATGGCACTTTCAACACCACAATCCAGAAAGCATGGTTACGCAGCCAAGTGCCTGACAGCTCAATTTAGGCGCATTCTTCCATCCATTTTGGGGATCTGATGACAGCACATTTTAAATTATAGTTTAGAATGGGGAACAGATAAACACACAGATAAAAGAAATCCACAGAGCATCTCAAAATATAACTCTAGCCAAGAGCTTCAAACACAAGATATATCTGGGGACTGCAACACCCTATGAATTGAAAGAATTAAACATCTGGCTAGGCACCATGGCTCACGCCTGTAATCCCAGCGCTTTGGGATGCCGAGGTAGGCAGATCACTTGAGGTCAGAAGTTCGAGACCATCGTGGCCAACATGGTGAAACCTGTCTCTACTAAAAATACAAAAATTAGCTGGGTGTGGTGGCGGGTGCCTGTAGTGCCAGCTACTCGGGAGGCTGAGGCAGGAGAATCGCTTGAACCTGGGAGGCAGAGGTTGCAGTGAGCCGAGATCACGCCATTGCACTCCAGCCTGGGTGACAGAGCAAGATTCCGTCTCAAAAAAAAAAAAAAAAAAAAAAAAAAAAAAAAAAAAAAAAAAAAAAAAAAAAAATCAGCACCTCAACACCCACCCTCACCAAGGTAAATTAAAAGGAAAAAAGCTGCCCAAATGTATAACATGGTGAGAAATTCAGCAGAAATAAAACACAGGGTCACTCATCTTCAGGAGCTCAGGGAGGGGGTGCTGGCCATCGGGGCAGCAGGCTGAGAAGGAGGAACCATTGTCTCTCTCTCTTGCGCTGACCTTGAATGCAGTCCAGTGGCAACCCGTGTCTGCATCTATTTTCTCATCGGCACCGCAGGCCCAGTGCAGAGGAAACAGATTTGGGTTTCAGCTCTTTCTCCTTCCCCTGTCCACACTTTGATGGAGGGCCCCAGGACAAGCAAAACAGCCAAAAGACAGGCAGAGCAGAGGAGCAGCAAGAGGGCTGGAGGCATTATAATTCACAGGGGACACTCAGGCACACGACTCTAATGAGAAAACCCTGTTAGCGACAATTTATACTTGGTCTTTACCACAGCAGGGCTGAGGGAGCCGCTTGCACGAGAAGCATACCTCACAGCACCACCGCACACGTAACATTAGATTTTATGGCTTCACACACACACAAAGACAGAGTACCTGGTATATTCTGCATGGATTTCAATGAAAGAGGGTACGCCAGAAGGGACAAATGGTTAAGACTTTCCTTGGAAATGGAACTTGGAGAGTTGTTTCTGAAACTAGGAAGGAAAAAATGTAGGAAGATGGGTGAAGTGAAAGAAACATGCTTAGCTTCCCTGGTTACACAGGGGGAAGCGAGAGGTGTCATAATCTCACCAAGGGGTCGCTAGTTGCCCATGTGGAGCCTGGCCACACACTATTTTCATCACAGAGTCCACTAGCAGGTCTGTGGGGCCTTAATTCATCATGCAAACACTCATGGGATAAATGCTGCCTCAGGGAGTGGGACCCCCGCAGTAAAGCTGCACCTTGGCTCACCTGCTTCCCTTGGCCTAGGAATTCTTCTTGGTCATCAAAAGCCGGCTCGATAGTCCCAACCCTTTTGCAGCTCCCTGATAACTCCAGATGAGTTAAGGTTTCTACAGAGACTCTGGAAGTCAGTTAGGTGCTATGCAAATGGAGGGTGTTACTGAGCAGAACTAGTAGTTGGTGCTCCATCCTCTGCTCCCAAACACCCTGCGAGAAGCTCCACGAGGGCACTGATTTTATTTGGCCTTGAGTGCTCCCCTGTGTTCCTAAAGGCTGAGATTGTCCCCTGTTCACTTGTTTCTCCTACAGATCATGGCACAGTGTCAGACACATAGCAGCCATCAGAAATTGCACTGAAATAGAAATGATATGAAATGACATGCATACTGTTAGGTGTGGGGTATGTCACACTGGCCTTTTAGGTACCCAGTGCACATCCTGAAAGAAACATGGGTACAACTTTGCCCTGTAGACAATGCAGAGTAAGGCTACTTAGTTTTATGAATCCAGTTCAGGAATTCTACTAATTCCTGGATAAACTCCCTTTCGAAAAAGGGTCTAGGACACAAAACGTCCTTCACTTTCTTATCTTTTCTTTTCTTTTTGAGATGGAGTCTTGCTCTGTCACCCAAGCTGGAATGCAGTGGAGTGCAGCTCAGTACAACCTCTGCCTCCCGGGTTCAAGCGATTCTCCTGCCTCAGCCTCCAGAGTAGCTGGGACTACAGGCACATGCCACCATGTCCGGCTAATTTTTTGTACTTTTTAGTAGAGACGGGGTTTCGCCATGTTGGCCAGGCTGGTCTCAAACTCCTGACCTCAGGTGATCCGCCTGCCTTGGCCTCCCAAAGTGCTGGGATTACAGACGTGAACCACTGCGCCCAGCCAGGTCCTTCACTTTCTAAACAGAAGCCTGGTTCTTGCTATAGGATTGGGCAATGTGTCTGTTATTACAGAGGAAGAAGTGAGCACTTCTTTTCAGTTTCAGGCAGATCCCAGCTGGTCTGGAGGCTCCCAGCACTTCCGCTGCCTCCAGCCCTTGCCTTCCTCTTGGGAACGGCTCGGCGGTCCACCACATGTGTCTATTAGTGGAGGTGGAAGTGGAACTGAAGAAGCAGCATGCTGCTTGCTGACAGGGAAGGCACACAGGCTTGGCATCAGGCGAGCAAGGCAGAAGCCCTGGTTCAGATATTATAACAGAACCAAGGCCAAGTTACTGTGCCTCTTAGAGTCTCAGTTTCCTCATCTATCAAATAGGTTTAAAAACACACCCGCCCTGTCTACCTCACAGGTTGTTGTAAAGACCCAATGATGGCCAGGTGTGGTGGCTCACACCTGTAATCCCAGCACTTTGGGAGGCCGAGGCAGGCAGATCACCTGAGGTTGGGAGTTTGAGACCAGCCTGACCAACATGGAGAAACCTCGTCTCTACTAAAAGTACAAAATTAGCCAGGCATGGTGGTGCATGCCTGTAATCCCAGCTACTCGGGAGGCTGAGGCAGGAGAATTGCTTGAACCCCGGAGGCGGAGGTTGCGGTGAACTGAGATCGCACCATTGCACTCCAGCCTGCGCAACAAGAGTGAAACTCCGTCTCAAAAAAAAAACAAAAAATACCCAATGATATACTTCACATAAATATGTTTCCAAAAACATATGCATATGCACAGGTATGTATGCCCATATATGAACCCAACAGAGTAGAAAGACTAGACAGAAATACGTAAAACTGCTAATACGCTACAATTTTAAAAAGTGCCAACTACATGGATATTCTGTACATATTATCTCTAATTCTTATCATAATCTCAAAAGGTAAATATTTTTGCCATATTTCAGGTAAGGAAAGAAGCTCAGAGCAGGCAGCCAGTAGATTAAATAACCTACCCAATGCCAAACATCTAGTTAGTGGTTTAACTGGGATTCAAACTCAATGCTGCTCTTTCAAGTCCAGACCATTTCTAATCCATAAGAGTTTTCTCTATGTGATGGGGTGATTTTTATTTTCTTTTTTATATTTTCAGTATTCTCTAAATTGTACACAATGAAATTTATTTTTCCTGCTATTATTGTTTAACTCACGTTTTATTTTTAAATAAAGTACACCATAATCTTTCTCTAATACACATTGGAATTTGGTATCTGATTTTAGTTTTTAAAAATGTTTCTAGATTTCTCTGTATTAAAATTCAACATTCAGTGATGAAAGAAACATTTTAGGAATATTGGTGCCATGAAGATACTAATTTCGCAATCATTCAAAACAACCAATGTTATTTTTATTTTTTAAAAAATGCTACTTCTTGGCCGGGCGTGGTGGCTCACGCCTGTAATCCCAGCACTTTGGGAGGCCGAGGCGGGCGGATCACGAGGTCAGGAGATCGAGACCATCTTGGCTAACACGGTGAAACCCCATCTCTACTAAAAATACAAAAAATTAGCCGGGCGAGGTGGCGGGCGCCTGTAGTCCCAGCTATTCGGGAGGCTGAGGCAGGAGAATGGCGTAAACCCCGGGGGGCGGAGCCTGCAGTGAGCCGAGATCGCGCCACTGCACTCCAGCCTGGGCGACAGAGCGAGACTCCGTCTCAAAAAAAAAAAAAAAAATGCTACTTCTTAAAAGTAAATATTTTATAAAAACAAATGAAAAAATGTGCTGAACATTGGAGCCTGAGAGCTATGGCTCTCCTCCACTGCACGAACTGCAGCAAGCTGCTTAGCTTCTCTGAGGATCAGTTTCCTTGTATATGAAATGAGGTAAGCAGAAGGCCTGGGCTGCCCATGCCACAAGGCTGCTGTGAGGATCAAATAAGAGACTAGAAGTGAAAGCACCACTGACTTACTCTTCAATAATGCTATATTTATTGGGCACCTACTGATCGTCTGGTGCTAGACAGTGAGAGTATAAGAGAAGACACAGTCTCTTCCCTGATGGCGTTTAAATCTGCTGCTGACGCTTAAAACAATTTCAACATAGTAGGACAAGTGCTGGGACAGGGAGGTACCAGGTGCTGTGGAGCAGGAGAGAGGAAGCTAACCCAGTTGGGTAACTAGAGGAAGACACAGCTAAGCCTCAATACCTGAGGGATGAGTGGGACAGGGCTGAGGCCTGGAAGAGAGTGTCCCAGACCAAGGAAGGGCACAGGCTGAGGCCTGGAGGAGGGACACAGGGCCGGTGGGGGCCACTGGTGATCACTCAGGCTGGCAGGGGCACAGAGCACATGGGAGGAGGGATGACATTAGCTCACAAGCAGTCTCATCGTCATCGATGATAATAAATGTCTCCATTCCTAGGCATACGTTTATCTTGTTTTCTCCATTAAAATAGGAATGCATGTTTCGTCTCTTTGTAAAACCTGTGAGTGAACGAGCACTGATGGTACTGAAGGTATAGTAAGTGTGAAGGATACAGATCCAGGAATCATCCTGGTTCCTGCAGGGGAGATTTACAGAGAACTCATAGAGCAGATGAGGAAGGGTTATGGAGGCTCCCTAGAAGGACTACTGCAGCACAGAGATTCCTGACATGCAAGCATCCATCCACCATTCTGCTCCAGAAAGTGACCTCGAGGCCCACCCTCTGGAAGAACTGTGTTACTTCTCCATAGTCTTATGAGCCACATTGTCCCCAAAGGAACCAGATCTGTACTCCAAATTTTGAAGAGCCTGCAGAGAACTCATCAGCTTTCATATCTGTGCATGAAACCAGAGATGATCCTCTCCCCACTGAGAACCCGACTTTGCTGGCTAGCTCAGCTCTGCAAACTTAGCTCACACTCCTCTCCCAACCACTTCAGAATTCTTTTCAAGGTCTCCCCAACCTTTAAGAGCGATTTCCCTCAGCCACAAGAGCTTTCTTGAGAAGAAATAGTGGTGAGAGCAAGCAGAGAAGTGTAATTACCAACCCAGCTGCCTTCTCGGGCATCAGCTAGCTGAGCATTCCAAAACAAATGGAGAACGGAGAAAATGATCAGGAACTGAGGGACTGAAAGGAAGTGTCATGGGCACTCTTAAGGAAGTGGCCAAGACTAAGAAATGTGACAGAGGAGGCAATGAGGGGGTACCTGGGGAGACTGACCCCAGAACATTTACATCTTTGAAGTAGTAGCCGGAGCAGTATTAGAGTCCACATGACTACTCCTAGTAGTGACATTACTCACACACACACATGCTGCTTACTGTAGGCCAGGCAGCATTCTAAGCACTTTACCAACGCTACACTTTACATATACTAACTTATTTAATCATCACTACTTTATGAGCTAAGTATCCAGATTTTACAGATGAAGAAACTGAAGTACAAAGAGATTAAATGATTTGCTCAAGGTCGCATAGCTTGTAAGTGGCAGAGCTGAGATCTACATCTAGATGGTCTGGCTCAGAATTCAAGCTTTTAACCATTACACTGTATTTAAACCTTAATGCTGAAAGGCAGAAGGGGTAGCTAGTAAAAGTAGCCAGGCACCAATGAGAATGCTTTTGTTTATAAACCTTAGCACAGAGCTTCCCTGCTGATGTGCTGTGAATGAGGTATTGATCCCCTCATCAGGCCTCCAGTCACTCACTGTTACTTAGGTGTGCAGAACAGTATCATTTTCAGCGTGTGCTATGATGTGAAAAGGTTGGGCAGCACTGCCCTAGCTTCTGGAAATATGAAGGCATTATTACCACATTATCATCGTCCTATTAATCAAAAACTTCATTTATCAGAAGTTTCTTCTTCTTGCTCTGAGCTTGCCTTGTATTTTGTGTTTTGTCATCTTATGAAAGATGAGCTACCAACCAAAGTCCACCTACATTATTTCATGGCAGTTCTGGTGTCAGGGACAGGCTACGTTCTTCTGTCTGACCCATTAGTGGGAAGATTTGGTTTTGTGGCATCATGATTATGCTGGGACAAGGAAAGGGTACACTCAAACAGACACTAGTCAGATTTAACACATGATGGATGAAAGGAGCCACTTGTAAAGTCAGCTCAATCAAAGGACCGTCTGTCCATAGCGATACTGCAAGGGGCTAAGGTATTCTTTCCCCAAGAGTCTGGTGTGAGGGGAGGCTGGGCTGCAGCATGCAGGTGGCAGCATTTCACTCCGCTGCAATGAAACTGGCAGGTGAGGCCTGCTAGGGTGCCAGCAAAGGATCCCCCACAGGCCTCAGACAGGACTGGGGGCCTGAGAGTCCTAGAGACAAAAGGTCACAACTCCAGTCCATCTTCTACCTCTGTTCTGATTCTGGGATCACAGGCAGCCTTCAGAGCTGTCACTGCATCTCCTGGTGGAAGGAACAAGAGGAAGGACATGGAAGGGGAGAATGAAGTGTGTGCTGAAGAAAGAGCAAGCAGGAGGAAAGGGCTGGATGGGAGTGGGGAGCAGCGTGTAGAAAGCTGACAAAGGTGGGCTGCGCTCAAGGCCCCCAAGCACAAACGCAGCCCACGAGGCTCTCCAACCCCAAGCCCCTGTCTACCTTCCAGCCTCAGCACCCAACACAGCCATTGTTTCATGTAAAAATGAAACTAGTGGCTAGTTTCACTTGCCATTCAAGGGATCCCACATGTGCTTTTCCTTGCTTTTCCTTGAGTCAGGTGCTATACTTTGGTTTGCCGCAGAAGTACTTTATGAGCATTTCTATTTTGTTACACAGAATATTAAAGAGATCCGTACTCAGGGTTGGAATTCAATAAAACTGACAATTTTTGCTACTTCATCAAAGACATTCTTGTGTGAAAATGGCATTAAAAAAAAGCTGGGTGTGATGGCTCATGCCTGTAATCCCAGCACTTTGCGAGGCTGAGGTGGGCAGACCACCTGAGTTCAGGAGTTCGAGCCCAGCCTGGCCAACATGGCAAAACTCTGTCTCTATTAAAAATACAAAAATTAGCTGGTTGTGGTGGCAGGTGTCTCTAATCTCAGTTACTCAGGAGACTGAAGCAGGAGAATCACTTGAACCCGGGAGGCGGAGGTTGCAGTGAGCCGAGGTCATGCTGTTGTAGTCCAGCCTGGGTGACAAAGTGAGACTCTATCTCAAAATAAAAACAAAAACAAAAACCTGGGAGTACATAGCAGTGGAGAATATAGTGGCTACTGGCACAGTTCAGCATCACCACCTTGACCAAGGCACCAACAGTCTTACTCATTGTTGCTTTCCAGCAACAGACAGCATCTTAGTACGATTACAAAAATCATTTTAACTGTGCAGATTCCTAAAGGAGTTTTGGGGACCCCCATGGTCTGCAGTGTATGCTGCGAACCACTGGCCTAGGTGATGGGGAGGGACTGGGTGTGACTGGAGCTGTGCCTGGGGGCCACGGAACTGACTGTGATGTGAAGAACAAACTGGAGGCTAGAGCAAGAGGGCTGAAAGAGGCTGCTGGAACAGCCCGGGGCAGGGTGAGAAAGGCCTACAACAGAGACAGGGAGAGCAGGGAGAGCAAGGAAGAGGAGGTGAGGTGTGTAACAGAGTGAGGGAATGAAGTCATCGAGGCAGAACTGGTTCTAGTCCTACCAAATGACTGAAGAAGGTGGGGGCAAAGACCACAGCCCTCCTTGAAGGAAGGGACAGTGTTTAATTCCTCTGTATCCCCACTGCCTAGCATGCAGCCAGGAAGAGGAGGGCCTCATATACTTATGATTACATGTTTATTAACCAAAGTCAGGTCACCATAACAACAGTAGGACCATCAAACAGGGGGAAAATTCAGGAAGTGGAGCTGGCTGGGGACGGGGAGCAGGGAAAGACAATGGCACCACCGGGGACCTTCAGATGAAGAAGGGTGACACACAGCCACCAGGGACTATGAAAACTCACCGATCAGGCTAAAACCACTCTCACTCAGCCCTCATCTGACCCAAATCTGCAAATGAGGCATTATTCATAATCTCCCAGGCATGACAAAACCTCTGGTGACAGTGTAACACAGAACACTTCAAAATGTCATCATATATATCATATATACGTTAAAAAAAACCTGAAAAGACACATCTCAAATTATTATTATGTTTTGAGCTACGGTCTCGCTCTGTCATCCAGGCTGGAGTGCAGTGGCACAATCTCGGCTCACTGCAGCCTCCGCCTCCCGGGTTCAAGCAATCCTCTTGCCTCAGCCTCCCAAGTAGCTGGCACTACAGGCGTGTACCACCATGCTTGGCCAGTTTTTAAATTCTTTGTAGAGACAGTCTTGCTATGTTGCCCAGGCTGGCCAAATTATTAGCAATGGTTATTTGGGGAGGGACAGTGTCTAATTCCTCTCTATCCCCGCTGCCTAGTATGGAGCCAGGCAAAGAGGGGCTTCATATACTTCTGCTGTATTTTATCTTGTTTTGTTATGAAGTAGTTGTTTTAATTTCATAATTAAATAGATCTGGCCAGGCGCAGTGGCTCATGCCTGTAATCCCAGCACTTTGAGAGGCCAAGGCAGGCAGATCACTTGAGGTCAGGAGTTTGAGGCCAGCCTGGCTAACATGATGAAACCCGTCTCTACTAAAAACAAAAATTAGCTGGGTGTGGTGGTGCACGCCTGTAATCCCAGCTACTCAGGAAGCTGAGGCAGGAGAATCGCTTGAACCTGGGAGGCAGAGGTTGCCGTGAGCGGAGATTGCACCACTGCACTCCAGCCTGGGCGACAGAGGGAGACTCTATCTGAAAAAAAAAAAAAAAAAAAAGTAAATAAATATGTTTTAGTTACATGTTTTCCTTATGACCCTTCCATGTCATTCTGTAGAAATGTGTTCCTCCTACTAAGCGTTATCTGAGTCGTACCAGGGCAGCTCCGCTATTCCTAGCTAACTAACTAAGTGCTGAAAACCACGGTCTCTTACCCGCCCTTTCCTCTGGATGTATCAGATCATTTCAATTTGAAGTAATCTAAAAGGATAACTAAAATGTACACCCAATCTTACCTATAGGTTTTTCCAACTTTTGAGAAGATACCATCTGTAAACTTGAAATCCCAAATGAAATAAAGCTCCTGTCAGGAAGTTGGTGTCTTCCAGCTACACGAAGTGTCTCAATGGCCTTTGTGCGTAGGTGGCAATCTTCAGTTCTCCATCGGCCTCTGACATGGAAACCTTGAAAAAGCAGAAATAGAAAGGAAATCAAAATGCTGACTTCTTTAAAAGGACCAGAAAAGAGAAAGATCAATCTGAACGTGCCCCAAACCTATGAGTTACCCCACTAAGTAGATATACACGCAGCAATCACAGGTTTCCCATCTTTAAAATCAGACATTTGAATTAAATTTTTTGTAGAGATAGAGTCTTGTTATGTTGCCCAGGCTGGCCAAATTATTAGCAATGATTATTTGGGAAGGGGTGGCTTCTAATTCCTCTCTATCCCCACTGCCATTAAGCACTGGAAGATTTAACAAAGGTCTGAGTGAAATTTTTCAGATTCTGTTTCCATTATGGGATTCCAGACCCAAAAAGATGTAACTGGACCTGGATGATAGAGATAAGACACCTCTGCTCTGAGGAGTCTCAGGCAAAAGATAAAAGTTGACAGGCCAGGTGTGGTGGCTCATGCCTGTAATCTCAGCACTTTGGGAGGCTGAGGCAGGTGGATTGACTGAGCTCAGAAGTTCAAGACCAGCCTGGGCAACATGGTGAAACCCATCCCTACAAAAATACTAAAATTAGCCAGGCATGGTGGCACACACCTGTAGCTGCTTGGGAGGCTGAGGTGGGAGGATTGCTTGAGCCCAGGAGGTCGAGGCTGCAATGACCCAAGATCATGCCACTGCACTCCAACCTGGGTGACAGAGCGAGGCACTCCTCTGCTATCCACGTTTTTAGAGAAATGAGCTGGGCTCTCTCTCTTAGTGGCCAAGTCCAAGTCTCACAGGCAAGAGGAAACAGAGCCCGAAAGATAAAGTAGATGCTGAGAGCAGGAGGTGGCATGAATGGGAACAAGGTTTTGTGTCGAATACATAATTATTGCTAGTTTTCAATCTGATGACTTCATTTTCTCTATGTTCACTGTTATTTTAATACCATGGCTCTAGCTATACAAGTCAAAGTTGCTTTGTCAACTTCCCTATGAAATAAATATGCATTTCCCCTTTTCTCGGTGGAAAAGCCCTGAAAATGCAGTTTAACTCTGAATTCTGAGCCAAAATTTCTAAAAAGGCTTTCTAACTGGAAGTTGGGTGTGTTTCACCATGACCTCAAACCACATGCCCCAAGTGGGACTTGTGCCCAACCCCCACCCACTGCCTCCTTCCTCTGACTTCTCTTCTTCCCTATCAGATCACGTCATCCTGCCAGTTATTCCTCAAAGGCAAGCACTTACCTTTTTCATCTTTGCATTACCAGCATCTAACATAGTATCTGGCAAAAATGGGCTCTAGTGAATCTGAATGAATTACTTAATACACGAAATATCTCTTTAACATCCAATAAAGATGTTAGCACATTGGACAGTCCTTCCTACTATGCTCTTTATTCCCAAACAAATCTGAAACCCAGTAAAACTGTTTCCAGGGCCTAAGGAAACTCAGGGTATGCTCTCTTTCTTCACTTCTACTACCACACTTCCAGGGACAGCCTTGAACACCATCCAACGACAGGATCTGGCTCCATTAGCCAGGCTGGAGTGCAGTGGCATGATCTTGGCTCACTGCAGCCTCCACCTGCCAGGCTCAAGTGATCCTCCCACCTCAGCCTCCCAAGTAGCTGAAACTACAGGCACGAGCCACCACGCCTAATTTTTGTATTTTTTGTAGACACAGGGTCTCACCATGTTGCCCAGGCTGGTATTGAGCTCCTGAGCTCACGTGATTTGCCTGTCTCAGCCTCCCAAAGTGCTGGGATTATGGGCGTGAGCCACCACGCCTGGCCTTGAGCTTCCATTCTGTCTTTAGTCTTGTCATAGGTTTAGACCCCCACCTGGTCCCTTCTTGTTACCTATGGTAGGAGTTGGCAATTTTTTTTCTGTAAAGTGCCAGATGGTAAATATTTTAAGCTTTGTGTGTCACATGATCTTTGTTATGACTCAATTTTGCATTTGTAGAGAGAAAGCAGTAGACAATATGTAAATCAATGATTGTAGCTATATGTCAATAAAACTTTATTTTTGGACACTGAAATTTAAATTTCATAGATTTTCATGTGTCATAAAATATTGATCTTTTCTTGATTTCTCCCCAACCACATAAAAATGTAAAAAGTACATTAGTTTGCATCCACACTAAAACAGGCAGTGAGTCAAATATGGCCTGTGGGCCATACTTTGCCAACCCTTGGCCTACAGTAGAAAAAAAACCCCTCAGAATTCCTTATGGGCTTTGTGTTATTTTGCCACGTGGAGCCACCTTAGGCTGGGGAAGTAGAAAGCACAGGGCTTTTGGGCATTAGGTCCTAGGTTCCAGTTCTGGCCCTACCATCTACCAGCCGGGTAGCCTTGGACATAAAATTCAAACTCTCTGAGCTTTACTACCATCATCTATAAAATGGGGCAATAACACCTAGATCACAGAGTTGTCATGGCAATTAAGTGAGCTAATGTATATAGAGCTCGTGGCACCAGTATCTGGCATACAGTAGGCACTCAATAGTAACTCTTATTCCAGCTTCTGACATGGCTTCTCCAGATCAACTGCAGCTCTGGAAAGCAACCCAGCCAATCTGTGAACCACAGTTGGCCGCAGGAGGGAATAAACTGACAGCAAATACAAAGGCAGAGAGAGAATGTGGAGGTTTTCAGATACATGTCACAGGATTCTAAGTGCCTGGTTAGCCCTAATTCCTTCTGGCACCATTTAAAATTCCTCTGGTCCCTTTTTCCTCCTCAAAAATTACTTCTGACTCTCACAGTTCTTAAAGATTCTTAGCATTCTTTACCAACTACCCAGATGGACCCTGGAGCCCTCTCCTCATTCCTGTACCTCCTGCTGGTATAGGGCTGGGGTGGGGAAGGGTGACCATGGCCAGACCAAACCTACACAGATCCATCGGCCTGCAGCTGGGTCTTAAGTAGGCTGGGCCTGGCGAGGCACCCAATTCTCTCTCAATTGTTCATGAATTTCTTGCTGTACTGGGAATTAAATTTCTTCAGTGCTTAAGAACTAGACCTTCTACAGACGTTTTAGAGCAAAAAAAAAAAAAAAAATCACCATGTATACAAACAAAAGATCCATCACATTACTTTCAAGACAGAAAACATCAGTGAGGCACAGGTAAGGCTAAGGTTTATGGCATCTCTACCCTTGGTCCAAAAAGCCAGATCTCGACCTGTTACTTCCTTGCTCTAAAACTTCTAATGGGTGTCCACTGCCTCTGGAGTAACCAAGCTTCTGTGCTGTCACTCACGGCCTCCATCAACTTGTCCCAGACCAACCCTCTATGGGAGTCTTAACCTGCAGTCTCGTCAAAAGGGACTGTATTTCCACCTGATTGCTCTAACCAATTCCCAGCTTCCTACACTTGTGCATAATTAAATTACCTGTAACATTTTATTACGCATCTTCCCCTAGACTGTTAGCCAGGGACAGGGTAGAGACTATGTCTCCTTCATCTCTGGGACCCCTACACCTAGCAGAGGCTCTGGTATGGGGCAACCACTTCATAATTGTTAATGAATGGATGGAAACAGCTGAAGTTATTCTTCCCTTAAGCTGTTTTAGCTGGACTCTTATTAGAAGACCGAGTACAGTCTGGGTCACTGCCACAAAGCAGAAAAACCGAAGAGAAAGAAAAGAGGCATGACCAATGTGATCCAAGCAATGGAAAACAGGTTTTAAGAGTGAGGTTAAAGAGACCAAGGCTGTTTAGCCGGGAGAAGAGAAGATGAGGTTTAACTGGATTCTGGCTTTAAGTACAGAAAAGGTTCTCATGAGAAAATCTTGATCTCATCCTCCCTTTAAAATCAGAAGAAACTTTTCCATATTCATGGAAAATGGAACAAGAAGAAATGGCTTAAGTTAAGGCCTGAAGGGTTTAAGCTGGACAGAAAGAAGAACCAAATTAGGCACCACTTTTCCAGAGATACTGTTATTGTACTTTTGGCAAGTGAATTGGAGGAGTCTTGCTTGGCACTCTTGTTGAAGGCTGTGAAAAAAGTAATATATGTGCTGCTCTGTTCCTGTTTACTGTGGAGAGAGGTGAAAACACAAGTCAGGTAAGATTTTCTAACGAGCCACTGATTTTTATTGACCCATTTCCTACAGGCACTTTCTGCCATGTTATGCATTGCAACCATGTGCTGGAACAATCTAGTATCTCAAAGGTTCCTGACAGGGCAATGGAAAGAAAGAGAAGGTAACAATGCGGGGGAAGGGAAAATGGCCCTAATAAATATACTTTCTATAAAAACAGTACCAAACTGGGCATTCATATATTTATTAATATTATTACTATTAAAGCTCACATTCATTGAGCACCTACTGTGTGCCAGGCACTGTGCTGTTGTATCTCAATTCTCATAACAACCCCATGAGGTAAGTAATATTTGTATTCTCATTTTACAGATGAAGGAACAGAAACTCAGGAAGATTAAATAACTTGCCCAAGTCACACAGGTAGCAAGTGACAGAGCCAGGACTCAAACCCAGATAGCCTGACTCTAGAGTCCACATACCTAACTACTGTCTCTCTGTAAGGATGAGAGGCTGGAATATAAACTCTAGTCTCTCTGAATCCTGTTTATATTCTCAGTTCTTCCTCATACAGTCCCAAGCCAGGACATTAGCAAGAGTTGAGGCCTCAGAAGTGAACCAAAATACTCCTCTGATTATCAGCATCTATAAAATGGGGGCAATTACACCCACATCACAGAGTTGTCATGAGAATTAAGTGAGCTAATGTATATGGAGCTCATGGCATCAGTGCCTGGCATACAGTAGGCACCCAATAACTAGTAACTGTTATTCCCGCTTCTGATATGGCTTCCCCAGATCAGCTGTGGCTCTGGAAAGCAACCCAACGACTCTGTGAACCATAACTGGCTGCAGGAGGGAATAATCTGACAGCAAATACAAAGGAAAGAAACAGACTGAGGACTCTCAGATGATAATGAGCAGGTGCAGGACTTGAATGCCAGCCTCTGCACTCCAAGTTAGTGCTCTGTCCTACTTACAGACTCTTGTTGAATTTGAGGGTGAGAAAATGAAGAGACAGGATGTGCCAAACAGGCTGCCTCCCCCGACAGACCCTTTTGTAACGTCAATCTCCCATCAGAACCCATGCCTGAAATACCAGGGTCCTGCAGCTTCTGTAAACTGGTTCTAAGATTCTACTAGCTAAGGATGGCAATGCACTGATTTATGGCACTGTGGGTGCTGCCAAAATGATCACCTATTAAACCTATCAAGCAGACCTAGTCCATGCAGCTTCCAAACTAGGCCAGTGATTCACCGTTTAAGCCTCTTCACTGATGTCCCCATTCTGGGACCATCTTTGCTCCAGTCTAACCTCCGTCCTGCTGCCAGAGAAAACCGAGCGCCAGTCAGGGCATTTGGAGCCTCTAGCATAAGGAAGATAACATGGGCCTTTGAACTCAGCACTGCTAGTTTTGAACCAAGCTGTGCCCTTACTATCTATCTAACCTTGGGGAAGTCACTTTAATCTTTCTGAGGTCTGGTTTCCTCATCTTTAGATTGGAGATAAATAGGCCTATATTACAGGATTAAATATAGTATGTAAAGCAACCAGCATACTGCAAGCCACAAAGCAAAGGAGACACTTTATAAATGCTAGTGTTCTGCTCCCTACTCCACTCTCTACATTTTAGCCAAAATCTGCCAATTCGGCTTACTTCTTCTCCTCACCAACTCCTCTCCCCTCCCACAACACACACACACACACCCCTACACCTGAGCATTTCTGCCTCTCAACTGTTGCTCAAGCTGTTCCTTCTCCCAGGAATAAACTCCCTCCAAGGCCCAGCATAAATTCTCCACCTTCAGGAATCCTCTGGTCATGCTGGGATTGATTTCTCCTTCTTCCAAACTCCCACTTTGTTTACATTCCTTACTACATTTACCATAGTCAGTCTGATTTCAGTTATTTATGTACTTATCTATCTTCCCAACTACACTGGAGGGAGAAGGTTCTGAGAAGACAATTATTTATAGGAGGGCAGGAAATGTGTTGTTTTCCTCTGTGTATATTTCTCAATACCAGGGTCTTGTACATAGCAAGAGCTCAATATGTGCTTACCGAATTGAATCTTTCCATCCTATACTGGGAATCTTTACAGAAAGATCCCAGACTGAGTTCATTCTAAAACTGCATTTACTGCCTAACTTGATAAATAGGCAATTTTTGAAGTACATGAATATTCCTAAACTAAGATCCGCTAATACTCATGTGGGCTTGTTTCATTCCTTCATCCATTCTTCCAATACACTCTGGACTCTTCTTGGGATCTCTCTCCAGCATATAAGGAGACATTGCTGGGACAACACTTCTCACTCACGGAGATCTGGGAGCAAGCTCTTTGGAGAACTGTTCCACCCCACTGGGTAGGAGGTGACTGCCATTAAAACCACACTAAAACCCAGAGTTGTGGAATTGGAAAATAGATCTGAATGATCTGCCTTAGTTTCCAAGCTATAACACAGAGTTAAAAACACTTTTAAAAACAGTGTCTGGAACACAGCAAGTGTGCAATAAATGTTCGATGTTGTATTAACAACGTAGTAGACTGAAAAAACAGAGTCATGACATTTCACTTCTAGAACTATCTCCACTACTGACTGATTCCTTGTGTAATCTTTTTTTTTTTTTGAGACAGAGTCTCACTCTGTCGCCCAGGCTGGAGTGCAATGGCACAATTTCAGCTCACTGCAACCTCTGCCTTCTGGGTTCAAGCGATTCTCCTGCCTCAGCCTCCCAAATAGTTGGGATTACAGGCACCCACCACCATGCACAGCTAATTTTTGTATTTTTAGTAGAGATGGGGTTTCACCATGTTGGTCAGGCTGGTCTCGAACTTCTGACCTCAGGTGATCCACCTGCCTCGGCCTCCCAAAGTGCTGGGATTACAGGCGTGAGCCACACACCGGCCTCCTTGTGTAATCTCAATCAAGTCCTTTCCCCATCTATAAAATGAAAGTGGCGGAACCAGATGGTTGGTTTCCAAGCTCCTTCTACCTTCAACCATGTAAATTTTTCTCTGATCAAGAAATAACTTTCTCTTCCACATGCTGAGGCTGTTGGCAAGGGAAAATGTGCATTTATAGCTGCTGGTCCCCAGATGGGAGGAACCACTGTTTCCCAAGGCCAAGGGCAGAGTAAACTGATTAGAAAACCACCTGTGAGCTTTCCCCTGTTTGAACTGTACTATTAATACACCCAGTGCAGGTCTCTGAACACAGCATTACCTACCTTCCAACAAAACTCACGGTCAAGGCAAGACAAGAGCCTGAAAACAATGGCTGCAATGAAGAATGCCTGCTTGTGCAGAATTCTTGTACTTTCTTGTTTTTGATGCCTGTAATTAGGGCATCAGTCTAAACTGGGGCCCTCCTTAGGCACAAAGAGGAGGAAAAACACAAAGTCCCATTCTGAACCTGACAGCTCATAAAACAAGGGCCAAACCTAGTAAATAAAAAATGTCACTGACTCACTTAACCACAAACACTGAAGAGGCCTACTATGTGCTGGCCCTATGCTGGACAGAGGAGGAAGGAAAGAGACATGGTCCCTTGCCACCCACGTACTCAGAGTACATATGGAGTGTACATATCCCTAGGCAGACTATGATGAGAGCTATATTAGAGGGTCAGCCTTTGCTACAGAAGATGGAAAGGGGAACAACTAATCCAGCAGAAGGCTCAGAAAAGCTTCACCATGGAGGCCACATGAGATGTAAGAGATGTAAGCCTTGAAAGATGAGGAGGAGGAGGGAAATCCAGGAAGAGAGAATATAAGCAAAGGCTCGAGCAGGAACATGCAGGGAGTGTTTGAGAAACAGAGATTTGGCCGGGCACGTTGGCTCACATCTGTAGTACCAGCACTTTGGGAGGCCCAGGCAGGCGGATCACCTGAGGTCAGAAGTTTGAATCCAGCCTGGCCAACATGGCGAAACCCCGTCTCTACTAAAAATACAAAAATTAGCCGGGTGTGGTGGCTCATGCCTGTAATTCCAGCTACTCAGGAGGCTGAGGCAGGAGAATCACTTGAACCTGGGAAGTGGAGGTTGCAGTGAGCCGAGATTGTGCCACTGCACTCCAGCCTGGGTGACAAAGTGAGACTCCATCTCAAAAAAAAAGGAGAAACAGAGACAACTAGTTTATTTTGACTGAAGCACAGGTTGCAGGTTTGGGAAAACCAAGGGAAACAGGGAGGGGAGAGGTGTGGGAACAAATTGTGCAGGAACTTGTCTGAGGCTGGAGTCCAAACTCTACATCCAGCTTGTCCAACCCGCGGCCCTGGATGGCTCTGAATGTGGTCCAACACAAATTCATAAACGTTCTTAAAACACTGAGATTTTTTTGCAATTTTTTTAAAGCTCATCAGCTATTGTTAATGTTAGTGTATTTTATGTGTGGCCCAAGATGGTTCTTCTTCTTCCAATGTGGCCCAGGGAAGCCAAAAGATTGGACACCACTGCTCTATATAGTAGGCAATGATGCCCACCAAGGTTTCCGAGTAGTGTCTCAGGAAGAGCACAAGGGCACCCATGAAGAGGATGCAAAAGGAACTAAGTAATTCAATTACTCTGGGACCACATTACAGGAGACCACATGCACTTTCTAAGCACGTGCTGGGCTCTGACAGCTCCTGTTCACAGAGCTTCCCTCTCCCATGGCTTCGCTTCATGCAATCTGAGTTGCCATCCCCCACAACTGTCAACATCTGCAAAATACCAGAGTAACAGGACTCCTAACCAACTCTCTGGATTACAGAGAGAGAAGTGTTGAGGTGGGAGCAGATGGGCAGAGGGGGCACCAAAGCCTCTAGCTGGCTCAGTTCCATATAAAACCCAACCCTGGATTTCCTCTTCACATCACTTCCAGCCCAGCCCTCTAATGAAGGGCTGAAGCTAAGGAGAGTGGGCTGAAAGCACCTGGCTGATGGGTGGTGATCCAGTGAGACATTACACCTACTGTCCAGCATGTGCCTGGCGCATGGGCAGTGGTGCCCTTCCCATTCTGCAGGGTCAGTTCCATCTGTAAATCCCACTGAGGCTTCAAGGCCCAGGTCACAACAACTCTTCTCTCAGAGCCTTTCTAAAGTACCCCAATCCAAAATGACCAAGCTCCTAGAAATCACAGCTACCATGTATTCAGCACCCATTACATGACAGGCGCCATACTAGGTGACTTCCATATAATCCTATTCACCCTTCACAATGACCCTATTATGGCCATTTCCTAGGGAAGAAAGTGAAGCTCTGGGAGGGGAAGCAGACTTGCCCCAGGACACACAGCTAAGAGGTGGAAGAGATGAGATCTAAACCCAGGACTCCCTGACCCTGAAGTTGAGCACTTCTAACAACACTTCATTCCTGTGAGCCTGCCTGCCTCTGATCTGCCACTGTCAGGGAGCTTGGAGCTCTCTAGAAGACAGGGTGCACCTGACACTCTTATTACCTTTCCCTGTGGACAGCCATCCACACAGGCAGGAGCCTTTAAATACTGAAAATAAATGAAAACAATTAACTTAAAAATAACGCAGTACACAGATTTCACAAATTCCTCACGTGAAAAACTATTCATGATACTGGACTGCCTGAGCCCTGCGCCCAGCCATAGCCTCGGTCCTGATCCCTGGGAGAGACTGAGTCTCAAACGGGCCACAGAGTAAGCGCCATCTCGGACACCGGCCACGCCCCGACCCCAGGCACAGAGGTCGCAGACAGCTCGGGACAGTCCTGAAAAGCGTCCCCTTAGGCTGTCCCTCCGCAGCTGAATCGCGTCGTGACCTCGGGCAGCCGTGAAGGCCCTGACTGCCCCCTTCCGGGCACACGAGCTCACTCACAGACCCCGGCCCCATTTAGCTCGGAGGAATACCTCGCAGGTCTCGCTTTTACCTTCGCTGGCTCCCGCCGGGGAGCGGTCGCGCGCACCCCTACCTGCAGATCGCTCCTCCGAGAACGCGGAAGAGGCGGTGCTAGATCCAGGGGGTGGGCCCGATCAGAGAGGAGGGTGAGGGGGCGGAGCTGCGCCTGCGCCCTGATGGCTACCCAGGGCCGCCTGAGGGCAGGGGGCTCGAGCTGAGCGAACTGCGCAGGCGTGACAGGGAAGAGGCGGGGAGAGGGGAGATTGCTGGCAAGCGGGTGGGGCTTAGCTCCTCCGGCGCTTTCTTTTCCGAATGGAGGGTGGAGAAGCCCGGGAAGGTAGGAGGCCGGGCGCGACAGGTGTAATTAACATGTACTGAGAGCTTCTGCAGGCCAGGAAGGAATTTTAAAATGCCTTTTATATGTGGGGAAATGCTGCTAGTCTTTTCTAAAACGGGGGCCAATTCTGTACAATTTCTTTAAAAGTCTGAGTGCCTAGAATTTCACCATAAGAGTTTCTCCTTGAGTACAACATTATCCCCAGTATTTCAAAATTTTTAAAACTTTTAAAAGTTCATTTCTTGGGGAAAAACAACTGTAAATAGGTTAATGCCTCAACCAGTCTCCCCACATCCCCTTCCCAAGTCTGCAGCTGCGATGAGAAAGGATGAGAGTGTGGACTGGGATTTAATTCAGGCGCTGACTCCGAGTGATGGAGGTGAACATCCCTTCCCTGCCTGTCTCAGGATTATCGTGAGGATTTGGTAAGCCAAGCTAGTTAAAGAGCCCCAGGGACTTGCTTCCCATCATCCACCTGACAAACATTTGTTCCCTGTCTTGTCGGGGCTGTCTTTTCATCTGTATGATGGAAGGAGATTGGGAATATTAGTGAACATTCAGGACTTTGCTAGATTTCCCAATCTGGGTGAAGGCCGGAGAGGCGGAAGATCAAGCTTCTGTGTTCATTCCCTTCTGGAATCCTGCGGTCCAACCTGAGGGCCCCGATGTATCCTGACTTCTCCCACTCATTACCTTCCGTGGAGGCCGATCCAAGCTTCAAGTCTTCAGAGGCCCTGCTGGCCTGTTCCCTTCCCTGTTGCCTGTGGCAATAGCCCAAGAGATTCAGGACCTATGTTCCAGGTTCTCAAAGTTGCTATGTCCCTCACATGGCAATCAAATTCAGTTAACATCTTTGAGGGCTCTGGGGGTGCTCAGAGGAAGGAGGGCTCCCCCAAAGCAGGTGGAGCTCTAGTCATGACTGTGGCTTATTTCACCACATATTCCACAGCTTGCTGTGGGGTAGGGAGGAGAGGCAACAGGAAACCTCAGAGGCTGCAGTGTTTATGGGAGCCGAGGGTGATGCGGCATCCTTTACTCAATAGGTGGATGCTCTGCCCCAGGCTGGAGAGGATGGCTTACTACCTAGGTCCCTGCTCCAAATATTGTTTTGGAATTTTTTTTCTTTTTTTTTTTCTGAGACAAGGTCTCACTGTGTTCCCCAGGCTGGAGTGCAGTGGCACCAGCTTTGCTCACTGCAACCTCTGCTTGGGCTCAAGTGATCCTCCTGCTTCAGCCTCCTGAGTAGCTGGGATTACAGGCATGCACTACCATGACTGGCTAATTTTTGAATTTTTTTAGAGGCAGGGTTTTGCCATGTTGCCCAGGCTGGTCTCGAACTCCTGAGCTCAATGATCCTCCCACCTTGGCCTCCCAAAGTGCTGGGATTACAGGGAAGAGCCACTATGCCCAGCTTTGTTATGGACCTTGAGCCAACAGGAAAATAAAGCCCAGCCTGACTTCTCAACCAAGCTGCCACTCTACCTCCCAGGACCCTTTGTTACTAGGTTTTGCCCCATGGGAGTGTGCTCTTTTATCTGCATCATTGAGGCCCTATCTCTTTCTTTTCCCCTTCTCTTCCTTTCTGTCTATTCTTCTTTAAGCATCCCTCTGTGAATCTCTCAAAGCAATTTTGTGTCAGCTTCCTAATGTATTTACAGATATTCTCATGTAAGGTGCAGGTCTTGGGTCACACAGTTCTAAGATAAATCTACTCTCACTGCCATGGTCATATTTCAAAATGACCATGAACCCAAAGCATGGGACTTGTAACAGTCTGAGCTGTCCAATGACAGAGGAGGTAGTGAGCGATCTGTTATAGGAGGTGTGCAAATAGCACCCTTTTAGAATGCTGGGATTGGGCCTCCTGTGGTGAGCCAGAGGAAGAGGCAGCAGAATGGAGGGCCTTCCAGATTCTAGAGGAGTGACTAAAGGCAGGGATATTGGGGGCTGGAAGGGAAGCAAGGCAGCTGGCCAAAGACACACTTGATTCAACAAGCTATTATATGTCAAGCACTTAGAAGTGTACCTGACACATAATGAACATTAGCTGTTATGATGACTGTGAATGATTCATAGACTATATAATGAAGGAGCTGAGATCAATCAGTCCTTCACTCCCATCACTGATAACAAAATAGATGAAGGGTTGGGGTCTAGAGGGGGAATGGGCTTGCAATGGAACTTCAGGAGCTGGGCTGGGGCTACAACCTATGCCTTTGCCTCCCAGGAGAGCCTCTGCACAAAGCCAGGCTGGCTCCTTTGCAGGAAGAGGGAAGAGCTCTAGATGGGCCTTTGTTGACTCTTAAGAACCAAGCTGCTTTTTAATTCCTGCCCAGGCAGCTTGTGAGTTGGGGCAGTGGAATGACAGCAAGACCTGAGCCAATAGATGCAGATGTCTACTGGGGAGTAAGCTCAGGAGTCAGGCCCATGTCCTGCCACCCCCACCGTAGCTCCAGCCAGCAACAAGTATCTTCCTCTTCAGGATGGCCTCCTGTCCTGTAATTAGTGTTGGGATTGTATTTCCACTCTGTCCTTTTATCTACTACCTCAAAAAAAAACCACCCAGAGTAAGGGGCTGGAGTGAGAATAGCCAATGCCAGGCCAGGCGTGGTGGCTCATGCCTGTAATCCCAGCACTTTGGGAGGCCGAGGCGGGTAGATCACGAGGTCAGGAGATCGAGACCATCCTGGCTAACGCGGTGAAACCCCGTTTCTACTAAAAATACAAAAAAATTAGCTGGGCGTGGTGGTGGGTGCCTGTAGTCCCAGCTACTCCGGAGGCTGAGGCAGGAGAATGGCATGAACCCAGGAGGCGGAGCTTGCAGTGAGCCAAGATCGCGCCACTGCACTCCAACCTGGGTGACAGAGCAAGACTCCATCTCAAAAAAAAAAAAAAAAAGAAAAAGAAAAAAAAGAATAGCCAATGCCAGGCAACCTGAGATGAAACAAGGAACGATTCCTATCAGACTGAGTTCCCGGAAGGCAAAGAAAAGCCAGGCTTCTCCACCCCAAGCGTCCTAGCCTAGCTCGGTCTAGAATTTCCAGAGCCCCAGGAGAATCTTTGTGTCCCCACCCTAGAGAGCTGGGCCAGACATGACCACACCAGCCAGCCCTCCACATGGTCCAGTATCTCAGGACAAAAAGCCTTCCCAGCCCCATTCTGGCTCAGTTCCTTCCATGGTCTGCCAAGAGCCATGTGGCACCCAGATCACCGCTTCCCACCAGTGGCTGCTTTAGTTTGCCTTTTATTTTACCAAAAATAACAACAATAAAGTCTTCCCTCTGTTTCATAAAAATAAATTTTCCAACCCTCCCCCTATCCCAGAAATCAGCCCTTGCCACAGCCTAGAATCCATCATGCAAGTCACAGCACTCTGGGAAAAGCTCCTACTACCCTCGCTCCACAGCCTCTGGCAAAGCTGCCAGGCCACTCTGGAGGCGGCAGAGGCAGAAGTCCCAGGCCCAGCTGGCTGGGCCCAAGAGCTCCATCTGTTTCCCCAAAGTACAGGCAGCTTCTAGGCCATTGAGTGGGGCATGATATTGGATGCTTGGCTCAGGAAACAACCCCAGCCAACCCAAGGGGCAGTGGGACATGTTGGCCTCAGGTTAGAAATTATTGCTCAAAGCAGAAACAGTTGTGTCCTAGAGAGGGTCTGTTAAACCCTCTTTCCATGTGTATCTCTATGTAGCAATTGATGGGCCCTGCGGTCAGGATCCCTGGTTTCTCCAGCTCCATGAATGCCTCCCTGTGAGGCCCTGGACAGTTTCTCCCTCTTCTTCTCCTGGCTTCAGTTTCCCCGTATGTACATTGAGACAGTAAGACTGGATGATTCTCAGGTTCCCTCTGGCTTTCCATTCTGGCATCCCAGAGTGGAGGCTCTGGGAGGGCAGAACCCTGTTCCTGCCTCAGTTTCCCCACCTGTGGGTCTGCGTATAGGGCTGGGTATGGAGGTACTGAGTAATGGAGTGCTGCGTGAACATCCCAGTCTCCCTGTGGATAGCTGTGCTGTGAGATCCAACTGGCTGGAATGTGTCAGGGATGGCTGGGAAGGAGGCAGGTACTTTTAGGATGGAGGATCTCCATGCCTGGAAGAGTCCATTCACCAACTACATCCTCAATGTGCTGGGATGGGAGACAAGACTCCAAAGTTCCCAATTCAAGTTCCACAAGCTCCTTGGACGGGGAGATTATTTTGTGCTGGGCTTCAGATCCGAGGAGCCAGGTCTGTAGATTCTGGGAGCTAGAGTGGAGTATATGATTCCCAGATGAAGGGCCAGGGGACCTTTGTGTACTTGAGGGATCATCTCCAACCCCCAGGAGGACACGTATAATACAGGCCTTCTTGGAGGCAGAGGGATGAGTAAAATGTCAGCTCATGGGCATCTCTGGGTAAGAGAATCAGAGCCTGTGTCTGCAGTGGGTCGGTTTAGGAACTCAAGGCAAGGCTCCTCTTCCTACGTTCCCCCAGCTCTCCAGGACTCATGCTGATGGAAGAGTGTAGCCTGGAAGGTTTGAATGTAGAGCAACATCTACAACCACATTTTTGTGCACTTACACACATGGTCAGATACACTGAGTGGGGACGCTGAGCTGTCATCACTCCTACAGTGGTCATGGTCTGATGGTCCCATGGTCTGATGGTCCCAATCTATTTATCCATCCATCCAACATTTATGGAAGGCCTACTATGTGCCAAGGAGGGGTAAGGCAGCTAGCTCTCACAGACACACCCCACAGTGAAAATCACACACACACACACACACCCCGGCATCTGTGCTCACTCACAGGCAGACTGCTCACTTTCTTGCACCTTTCTTGCCATCACCTCGGCCACACCCACATTCCTCCAATAGGCTTGGGAACCAGCATGGAAGGGTCAAGTGTCATAGAAGAAACCCCCTAGCCTACCCTACTCCCAGACTTCATGCCAGAGGTTTAACTCCACTTCCCTTCTGTTTGCCTGCCTAGATGCTCTCCCCTTCTCCATCCACAAGCGGTCAGGGCGACAGGTAGGCAGACTCCTGAGAACCAGAAGTCCAGAGGCTTTGGGTGTGTGGAGTGATTCCAGTGCCTTCAGATTCCTTCAGGCTCCTGGGGGTCCCCTCTGCCAGCCACCCTATGTTCAGATCGTCCATCTGATGGCCAAAAAAGTCCAGACCTGGGCTCAGTGGCAGATCCGCTCTGTCATCTCCCTCTGTAGAGACACAAGGTAGGGAGGGGTCAATTAGAGCTCAGCCTACTAGGCAATCCCTTCCCAAACCATAGGGCCTAGCTGCTCTTCTGTCTGAGCCTGGCCTTCCCCCAGCAACCCCAACTCTTAGGCTGCAGATCTGGGTTTGTAAACCAACACTTGAATGAATTCTCTATTGAAGTACAGAATTCACTGTTAAATGAATTGCCTTCCCCTAATTCATCTACTTGGGCGTTGGAGTTACTTAAAGCAGGCAGCTTTTGGACGTGAAAACTCAGAGGCTAGCCTTGGTAGGGGAGGGTGGTAGGGCTTGGCCTCACCAGTGGCTCCAGCTCCCGCTGGTCCACCAGACTGAACTCGCGGATGAAGTAGTAGAAGTGCTTGTAGCAGGTGTTGACGTGCGCCTCTGCCCCCATGCTGAGGATGCTATCGAAGTGGTGGATGTAGACATGGACAAAGACTCGGAAGAGGCGGGTCAGGATCTTGGTGCAGACCTGCTGGAAGTTCTTAGGGAAGGGAACTCCTAGAGGGCAGGGGAGGGCAGAAGGGGATCAGTATCCTGGTGCCAAAGCTCTGCTCAACTTTTCCCTCCCACACACAGGCAACCAGGATGGCTTTTTCCCCAGCACACTTTTTAGTACACTTCCCTTTGGAAAACAGAGAGTGGTTTGACTTTCTCCCATACTTTTCTTTCTTTCTTCCTTTCTTTTTTTCTTTCCTTTTTGAGACGGAGTTTCACTCTTGCCCAGGCAAGTGCAATGGCATGATCTCGGCTCACTGCAACCTCCACCTCCCAGGTTCAAGGTATTCTCCTGCCTCAGCCTCCCAAGTAGCTGGGATTACAGACATGTGCCATCATGCCCAGCTAATTTTGTATTTTTAGTAGAGACAGGGTTTCTCCATGTTGGTCAGGCTGGTCTTGAACTCCTGACCTCAGGTGATCCACCTGCCTCGTCCTCCTAAATGCTGGGATTACAGGCATGAGCCACTGTGCCTGGCCATACTTTTCTTTCTAATGAAGCACAAATCTGACTGTGGCTCTCCCCTGCTGGAATATACATCATCTTCCACATTTTCCCATTACCTAAAGCAGGGCTTTGCAAACTTGTGGGGGTCACTGACCAACCCTTTTTAGACTATGATAAAAGTTACGACCTAAACTCTCCCCAGAAATATGTGCAATTGCAGAGATGCTCACATCACACTCTTGTATACAACTCCAAGGAGAGTTCAACAACTGGGTCCATTTAAAAAATCCCTGGGCCTTCAGGATTAAGTCCTAACTTTCCAGCAGGACGCTGCTCAAGGCCTTTCATGATCTTATCCTGACCTCCCTCTCTAGCCCCACCCCATGTCCCTCCTCTTTTCAACATTCACACAGAAGTCCTCAGACCCCCAATCCTGGAAATTATGAATTCTGCAAGAGTTAGTTCAGACAGCCCTCATTCCTTCAAATATTCAACAACACGAAGAACCTTCCATTTATGAGCAAGGCCTTGTGCTGGGCCCTTCACACCTTTTGCCTCTAATCCTTAGAACAATTCGCCTGATGTGTCTGATTGTCACTTTAGATATGATAAAACAGAAGTGCTTATAAAGGTGAAGCTGCTAGCCCAAGGCCACATAAGTATTAATCAGTGCAGAATGGAGACTGGATTCAGACCCTCTTTGCAGTGCACTGCAGCGACCCTCACAGATATTGGGACCCATGAAAAAGGCCCCGCTTCTGCATAGTCCCCCATGCTCAAGGCAGAGATCTTGGTGGCTTATGCCCTCTTCTCTGTGTGGCAGTCACCCAGGGTTTTAGGCATCGATACCTGGAGTCCCACAGGCCCAGGGAGGTATGGCCAGCAGGGACTATGAATCTACATTCAGGTCCACAGCTGGCCCACCCGGCTCTGTAGACCCCCTCCTCTTCCTCACCATTCCCAGGTGGGGTCGAGCCTTCCCTCCCTCTGAGCCCCTCCAGCCCAGCCCAGATTCCTCAGACATATCCTGCCCATGTAGACTTGGGGTCCTGGGCTCCCACAGATCTGAGCCCCAGTTCGGAATTCCTCCCAGTTCAGTGCACTTTCCCTCAGTAGCCTCAAGTTTCCTCCTATGTAAAATGAAGGTGCTCCTTGTCGGGCATGACAGTGCAAGAAACAGCAGGCCACTGGCTGGGGAGGAGCCGTGGGCATTGAATTGTGACTCAGTGCCCAGCTTCCTTCAGCATTCAGACTTCTCCCCTCAGGGCTTGACCACCCTGCCCCACCCACCGCTGATCCACACAGCCTCTGCAGAGATGAGCTCCAGGCCAGGTGGGGGCTGGGCCCAGCTACAGGTGCGGCTGGTGTGATGAACACAGTGTCATGCCTGCTCAGCTCCTGGACCAACAACCCCCTCCTGCTGCCCTCGGGTGGGTAAGCAGTGCCTGGGTGACATCACTCATCTCCCCTCCCTACCCTCACCCGCCCAGGCTGCCCAGCTGAGATAAGAAAAGGCCCCACAGCCTGTGCCTGGCAAGGGAAAATTCTGTCCTCAGAGCCCCAATCTGAGGTGATGATACCACCAGGGCCCACCCAACCACCAACTCCCTCCTTTTCCTGAGGCCAGGAGTCAGAGGGAACCCCGGGAGGCTGGAGGTCAAATCAGCTATGAACACCTCGGGGCAACTGTTCTGGAAGGTTCTGAGAATCACAGCATCTGTGGTCTTGCCAGAGTGGTCCTTGGTGGGACCACTTATGCTTTAGAAAAGAAAAGCCCTCTGAGGTGGGTGGATCACCTGAGGTCAGGTGTTCGAGATCAGCCTGGCCAATGTGGTGAAACCCTGTCTCTACTAAAAATACAAAAATTAGCCAGGCGTGGTGGTGGGTGCCTATAATCCCAGCTACTCAGAAGGCTGAGGCAGGAGAATCGCTTGAACCCGGGGGGCAGAGGTTGCAGTAAGCTGAGATCTCACCACTGGGTGAAAGACCGAAACTCTGTCTCAGAAAAGAAAAAAAAAAAAAAAGAAAGAAAGAAAGAAAAAGAAAAGAAAGAAAAGCCCCAAATTGGGAGTCAGGAAGTCCTAGCAAATGCTTGACCTTGAGCAAGGCACTTAACCTGTTTCAACCTCGCTTTCCTCTTCCACAAAATGGGGATGAAAATCAACCCCCAACCCTGCAGAGTGTCTATATCAAACTAAATCCTCATCTGTGGAATGGGCTCCCAGTGGCTCCCTCCCCGCCAGGTGACACTCACCAACACGCGTGGGAAAGACCTCTTCGTCGTTGATGAGGCCTTCGATCCAGTCCATGAGCAATGCCATATAGCGCGGCGCAGAGAGCTTGGCGGGCCGCCGGTACTGGCGCTCGTCCTGCCAGCGGTACTCGTAGCGGGGCCCGCCGGCCATGACCGGGCAGCTGGTCTCACTGCAGCGCTCCGCCATAGTGCCGTAGATGAGGTTGATGCGGTTGAAGAAGTCCACCACGTGCACGGCGATCCAGTCGTCGATGTTCTCCCCGGGTGGTAGCCTCACCACACTGCGCAGGTCCAGGCCCGACTTGAGAGAGGCCTGTGCCTTCTTGTACAGCTCAAAGCGCTGTGTGCCCGGCTCAAAGCGCTTCCGCGGCCGGAACGTCTTGTCCTTGGCGAACACCTGCTTCAGGCACAGGGCCATGGCCAGCTGGGCCTGGGGCTGCTGTCCAGGGGCTCGGACCTGAGGATACCCTGCCAGGGACAAGGGCATAGGGGAGCTGGCGGTCAAGGCCTTATCATCTGGGCTCTGACTTCCCAATTCATCATTTCCCTGTCACCTCTCAGCCTTTGCTCAACCTCTGCATCCTCTGCCTGGAATCTAAGTCCTCAGCCCCTAGGTCCAGTGCCCCGCCCTCTTTCCAGGCTATGTTAGTCCCCCTTGCTAAGCCCCCACAGTCCTCCCATCTTGCTTTGTCTCTTTTCTGCTTTCATTGCAGAGCTGGGCCTGGGCTCTAAACAGGTGCCCCTCAGACTTGCTGTTGGTCACGAGAGAGGTCGCAGAGGCTCCCTGCAGGCCCACCAGCAGACAGGGGCTTGGACGAGATGACCTCTGGGAGCCCCCTTGGCCAGCTGGTGCAACGTGGGAGAGCCTCGCAGCATTGTGCTGGGGGCAGGGTGGAGGGGGGTCGGGGGTGGCTTTCGGCTTCCTCTGGGATATCCCGTAGTCCATCCGGCCACCGGGGATTCCCAGGGAGCAGCAGGGAACTTTTCTACCAAAAATGTCCTTTCCTTTTTTTTCACCCTGAAAGAGGAAAGGGCCCTCCCGCTGCCAGCTGGGCGGCTTCTGAGTGTGGCTGCAAGCACTGGAGGAGGGGGAGGGCGGCAGGCCAATGAGGGCGTCGCTTCCTCTGACAACAGCTGGAGATCCTTCCCCTCAAGCCAGCCTCCTCCAGCCCCAAATCTGAACAAGCCACTGGCTCCTCCCGTTGCACCTGACACTCAGTAGACATTCCTCTAGCAACTACTATGTGCCTGGCACTGGGAGGTAGAAGAGTATAGTCAGATGCACCCAGGAGGGCCCATCTAGAGCTCAGGCAAATTTACTTTGCCTCCTAGAATTTAAGGATCCCAGATTCAGAACAAATTTTGGGAGACAGTGATCAGGGCCCTAGGCTCAGAGGCAGGAGTCCTGGGTTCTAGTCCCAGCTCTACCACTGGCTTACTGGGTGACCCCTGTATCACCATGGATTTAGCCCATCCAGGTCCTGGGTCACTCTGCTATAGCTAGGTTTCTAAGACCTGAGTCATCTCATCTCAACTGTGAGTGTGTGAGCTACTGGGAAATGCAGACCCATGTACCTACCAAAACTAGAATTTAGCCACCCACTAAGCACACTGCCCCTGCCCCTAGACTGAGCACTAAGGCTGAGTATAAGCTAAGAATTGCATTCTGGTTCCTGGCTGACCTCTGACCTGGGCTCTGGCAAGTGTGAGCCCTGACTCTAGCCTTTAGCCCTACCCTGAGGCTTGCTTATGGCCAAAGCCTGGGCTTGACCTCTGACGCTGGAGCACTGTCCTTTCTCACATCTCTGGTAACCCTGGGACAGGATTGGGGAAGGGAGGGTGGGAACCAGGTGACACCTGGGTAAAAGCAAAGGGATGGCACATATTTCGGGGAGGGGTATTACTTCTGGCAAGAAGTCAAACTAGCTGGGGAGCTGTTTGAGACAAAGGTCCTTCCTTGAACCCACAAAGGCAGGCCAGGATGGGGGCAGTCTGGTAAAATGAGAGCAGCTTGGAGAGTAGAAACAGGCCATTCAGCAGGAACTTGTTCTCTTGAAAAAAACTCACAGATGTGAAAGGTCATCTCATCCATCCCGACTCTTCGACTTCTCACCCAAAGAAGTCCCCAGGGTGGGACCCCAGTTTCCAGAGCAAAGAGATTTCTGCGCTTCATTTGCCATCTCCATTTTAAACTCTGCTTGGGGCAAGTGCTTCCAAAATCCCTCACACTGCAATTAGGCGGGGCTCCTGGGCTCCCCACATTGCATGGCCCCCTTTATGACAGTTAGAAATAGGCCCCCACCCTGGCATTCAGCACCTTGTCCTACCTTTCCTGCCCCACTTCCCACCTCCCCACACCAACCACCCTGGGCTTCTTCCTGATTCCTGAACACGCCCCCACTCTTTTGCCTCTGCATGTTTTCTTATCCCTCCACCTGCCTGACCACACATCCTCAGATTGGCTGCTACCTCCTCCCACAGCCTCCTCTCCTGAACTCAGATCTCCTTCTCCTTGGGTAGAGGCTGCTTTTGGTCATTGCAGTCTCCACTCCATCCCCAACCCACCCCCAGCTTAGGACAAGGCCTGGCACAAAGTCAGTGTTCAGGCTTTAAGGAAAGCTTAGACTAGAATCTTAGAGTTAAAATAGCCCTGATAGATCAGCTGGCCCAACTCACTTGTACAGATGGGGAAACTGAGGCCCAGATGAGGAAACTGAGGCCTAAAAAGAGGACTTGAGGAGCCTGTGTCCACATAGCAAGTTACAAGCAGAACTGGGAACTGGGATAAGGTGGGGCTCAGCTCATGACCAAGAGTAAAAGACCATTTTCCTGCACTGGCTCATCAATGGTCTGGTGGAGACAGAGAAGAGGAGGGGAGTGGAGGGACAGTGGAAGCATCTTCTCCACCAAACAGCCCAACCTGCTTCCTGTCCCCAACACACTGACTCCGCACAGCAACTGGGGTGTCCTGACCAGTGAGCTAGAGTTCCACCTTACTCCTGTGGAACTTCAAGGCCTGGGTCTCTTTCCAGGAAAATGTAAGCTCAGGGGGTGGGTGCAGGGCAGGTGCTCTTCTAGCCACAGGGTTAACTCCCTTCACTCCCCACCCCCATGCCCTCACTGAGTTTCTATCTGTCACAGAACCTCTGTCTCTCCCTGAACCACTGCCGTTCCCCGTCCTAGCCCCCATTTCCCAGTGATGGCTATCCTTTCACTCCTGGAGTGGCAGTGCCTTGCTCGTTCCCTGGGTGCGGATCTGGGCTTCTCAAATGAAGACAGCAGGCTGACCCTACCTGTTTCTGATATTTAGCCCCCTGCTAGGCTACATCTACCACTCCTTGGGCCTGGCCCAGGATCTGGGCCAGAGGATGGCCCCAGTTTGAACCCAGAATCCATCCTGGGACTCTCTCTAGGACAGAGGTCGAAGAGAAAAAGTAGAGGCGAAGACTCCACGCTCTCCTCGCGGCGCGCAGCCACCCACGCCCACCCCCGGCTTCCCTGCAACCTCAAACCAGCTCCCAGGGCCAGGAAGGTCGTAGGACCCAGAGGAGCCCGCCTGACATTTCCGCTCCCCGAAAACACGCCCCCCAACCCCTCCCCTCTGCCCCGTACTCCCCCACCCCGACAATCCCCCCCGCAACTTTCGAAGCTCTGAGCCTCGGACGCCAGCCTCAGGACAGCGGCCAGCCTGCCTTCGGGCGGGACTCTCCTCCGGACTGTGCCACGCCAGGACGGCCGAAGAAATGAAAGTGGAAGCCAGGCGGGCGGGGTGCGCGGCGAGGCCGCAGGGGCACGGCGCACACTCACGGGTCCTCTTCTGGCCGTGGGGTCACATTCCCAGCCACAGGATCGCCTTTCTCCTGCAGGTCCCGCAGTGCCTGTTCTCTCTCCTGTCAGCCTGTCCGTCTGCCTGTCCTGCCGGCCGCGGCTGCCCTCCTGCCCCGGGCGACGCCAGCTCCGCCCCGGCCCCGCCACGCCGCGGCCACGGGGCGGGGAGGGGCGGAGAAAGGGGACTCCCCTCCACTCCAGTACACAGACGCACTCGCCCCCACCTTCCCGGAAAGTCCATATGGGGCTCCCAGCTTCCCCTTGGACAAAGGACTAACTGAGCTGCCCGCCCTCTCGGTGCTTCCTTGGACCTCCACCAAGGAGGCAGCCTCAAGTTCCCAGACAGTAAAATGGGAAAACGCTCGGCTTCTTCTGGAGCAGAAACAAGAGCTGCTAGATAAGGGTGGTTTCTTTGCCCTCCTAGAATCGTCTGCGTCACACTTGTCCCGGGACCCAATAAGGGATCGGGACCGTCCTATCCACTCCCATATCCTCAGCTCCTGGCACATAGCAGGAACTCAAAACCCACTTGATGAATGAATGAATGGGTGAGTGAAGGAATAAATGAACGCCTTGGGAATCATGAGCTGAGTCCTTCACCCCTGAGGGACAAGCCCCAGAAGAGCGCTCAAATCACAAACTTCATCTCCTCACCAGGGAGGGGGCCTGGCTCAGGTTGGGCTGATTCTCCTTGCTCCTTACCCAGAGTCACCCCATTTCTTATCTCCAGACCCTTATCCCAGCTGTTCCATTTTAGAATACCTTCTCTCCCTCCTTCCTTCTGACAAATCCAAACCACTCAAGATCTGATCTGCTCTCCCTACCACCTGGGTTCCTTCGAGGACAGACAGATATCCCACCAGCATTCAATGCACACCGTGGCCCCCAGGCCCAGGGACCAGTTGGCTGCTCTGTCTGGGATGGGAGGGAAGATTGGAGGCTTTCTAGGGTAGGAAGCCCAAAGCAGAGAGCTTAGCCATAGAAGCCACTCTGGAGGGGTGGGAGGTGAGTAGATGCGGGTAGGGGAGAGCTGGAGGCCAGAGGTGGGCATTTACCATGGCACACTGGACCTCCCTTGTGTCTGGACCTTCTGTTGCTGGATGACATGAGAACACGCTAGATCCTTAACCCAGATCATATCCTTTGCAGCAACATGGGCTGGAGCTGGAGGCCATTATCCTAAGCAGACTAACACAGGAATAGAAAACCAAATACTGCATATTCTCACTTACAAGTAGGAGCTAAACAATGAGAATACATAGATACTAGGAGGGGAACAGCAGACACTGGGGCCTGCTTGGGAGTGGAGGGCGGGAGGAGGGAGGATGAGACAAAAATACCCATCAGGTACTATGCTGCTTACCTCGGTGATGAAATTATCTGTACACCAAATCCCCATGACACAGAGTTTACTTATATAACAAACCTACACATGTACCCTTGAACCTAAAATAAAAGTAAAGAAAGAATCCCAGCTCATAGAACTGTGGGTATGTTCTTTTGTTGAGCACCAATTTTTGCCCCAGTCTAAAGTTCTCTGTATTTTTATGTCTGACTCTTAACTCTCTGCCCTGAATCCCCTATAAACAAACACTTGCTTATGGAGCAAATTAAACTATGCTTCTTTATTTATTTGATATCCTAATCAATATCTTTTATTGAGTATAACTCTCCACTCATATCAGATCAGGGGACTGGGTGATAAAGCTGACCTGGTTGCCGACCTCAGGTGCTGACAGGTCAGTAAAGGGGACAACACACAGAGATACACAAGGTCACAGCTCAGTCACCCAGAAGTGAGAATGTGGTTGTGGACTGACGGACTTTGTAAGAGTCGGGGTATTTGCAGGAAGCACATGGAACACCCAGAATGGGTATGTTTAATGAAGACATTATTTACAGGTATGGTCAAGGTGTAGGGAAACCACACAGTGTATCACCAAAGGGCTCACAAGAGCAGAGGCTGTCAACCCCAGGCTGCAGGAGTGTGGGGAAGGAATGGTGAAAGTGGGAGCTATGAGGAGGGCGCTGCTGTGGCCTAAGGTGGAGGGGCATACCCAGCTCACAGCAATCATACAGGGAAGGACAGGGGGCAAGTAAGAGGCCTCACTCTCCTCCCTCTCTCCCTCCGTCTGATCTCTGGCCAGGTTTCCCCCACTAGCTGAATCCTCCCAGAAGCTAAGAACAAGGGAACCTGTTGCTGCAGCCCATAGACGTCAGCCTCCTAGGGCGTAGAAATGGGTAGAGGGTGGAGAGCCATCTGAGGAGCCATGTGGGGTCAGGGCTGACTTCATAGGGGAAATGATTTGGAAACTGCTTGTGTTTTCCTTATCATTCAGTTCTAAATAGTTCATAAATTTCAGTGTAATTTCCTCTTTAACTCTTGAATGATTTCAAAGTATGTTTTTCAGTTTCTCAGCCTATGGGAGGTTTATGTTTTTCTTGTTGAGTTCTAATTATATTGCATTGTGGTCAGAGATCATGGTCTGGAAGATTCTTCAGAATTTGATGTGACTTCCTCTGCAGAGGCTTTGTGCAGGGTCATTTTCTGGACCTCTGAGCTGGGTTTTACAGGATAGGCAGGAGTTTTTCTGGTGAAGAGTGAACAGCACAGAACCTTACACTGTGGGAAATAGAGATGATCCATTTTGAAGGAACATCAGAAATTCCCAGCTCATCCTCAGAGTCCCTGGGTGTCTGTGGGATGGGAGGCAGGTGGAAGGGTTGGGGGAAGCGAGAGAGCCCAGATCTCTCAACTACCTGTACCCTCTTCCTGCCCTTCTCAGTCTTGGTTAGAGAGACTAGTTCTTCTAGGAGGCTCTGCTGGGGCTGAAAAGACCCAGACCTTGGAGAACAGTGTCCTGGCTTTACCGTAATTTAGCTGTGTGGCCTTGGGATGGTTCTGCCCTCTCTGATGAGACACTGTAACCCTCCAGCACTGGAGACCTACACAAGATGGGCTCTGTTCCCTGCCACTGTGTCTTGAGTATGATAAATGGCTCCAGAAGACTTCAAACAAGGCTCATCTCTGAAGCTTGGCGTGAGCCAGTGAGGACCTAGGAGAGGACGTGCCCTTTTCCACTACTCAGCCTGGGCACATGCCCCCCTCGCAGTGGGAACTCTGAGTGGCAGCAGGGTGGTGTCTACCTGCTGTGTGCCTTTGGGAAAGCCCTTGCCCCTCTCTGGGCCTTAGTTTCTACACCTCTACCATGAAAGCATCTTCTAGCCATACGAAGTACCACTCCAAGTACCTTATCAGAACCAGCTTCCTGTGCCTTCCCGCTGTAGGCCTGTATCCAGTGACTCTACTGATACAGAGTGGCCACTTCCTGGGGACTCCCCAGCCCTTCCTATGCCAAGAAAGCTCCCCCACTCCCACCCTGCCCCCCAGAATAAGATACTGCACCCTCAGTTCACCTTACCAGATGTCTGGCAGCTACTATAGCCTGATAGGGCCCACCCTCTACTCACTCTCTCCCAAGAAAGAGTTTCCATTTCAGCTTCTGCCCCTCCCTGCCCAGGAGGCAGGATCATCCGTCCTGGATTTTCCATCCTGGCCCATTGAGGAGAATGCCATGGGCACCCTTACGGCAGTCAGAGGAATTGAGGTTAAACTTCCTTTCACTTGAAGAAGACAAGGTTCAAGGGAAGATGGCAGGGGAAGACAAGGTTGACAAGGACATGCACTAAAATTCTGTGTGACCATGGACAAGGCACTTGTTCTCTGAGCCTATTTCACCTTCTCTAAAGTAAAGACAACAACAACAACATCTGCCCCACAGAAGAGCTGAGAGAATCAAATGTGATAGCACTTGTAAACAGTAGAAGGCTGTGGTCAGTCTGTTTCAGGGGTACTGCCTTCAAACACCCAGCAGGTGTTTGTGTGGAAGAGGGACTGAGCTTGTTCCAGGGTCCTGGAGAGCAGTGGGCAGACACCCAGGACAATATGAAGGGGCGCTTGGCACATCAGAGCTGTCCAACCATGCAGCCGGGATGGCTGTGCTGTTCTCTCAAGAGGGAGTGGTGCAAGCAGAAGTTACCAGTCCCGGGTGACATGGACTTCAGAGGGTTTCAGTCCCTCCAGAGACGGGGAGGGCCGTCTTGCCTCTAAGAACCTCAGGCTCCAGTGTTCTCTGCTCCAAGCTCCTCCTCCTTCCCAGCCATCTCCCCTTAAGGTAGAGGCATTCCTCTCATCTCTTCCATCTTGGGAAGGAGACCTCTGGAGGCTGGGTGGAAGCCTAGTGTGTATAAGTGCCTGAAGACAATTTCACAGCCCTCAGACCTCACCCTCAACATGGCCCCAGTAGGCATTGTCCCCTCCAACCACTTGGGTTAGTTCCCAGCCTGGGGTGCCCCACGAGTGGAGGTGATAGTTGTGGGGGAGGGGTGGTTTCACCAGTGTTCCAGGCTCAGCTTTCCATGGAACCCACTATGAAGGCTGCCCAGGAAATTCTGTCCAACCTAGCCCCTTCTCTGCTGCTGGGGTGCCTCCATGTCAGCCTCTGGGGCTGCCGCCTGGAGCAACCCCCACTTAGTTCAAAGCTCTTCTATAGAAAGCCCTCAGATTGCCCCAGTCTGGATGCACCCTCCTCCTTCCTCCACAGCACAGCATCCTTTCTCCAAGTGTGTTCAGTAACACCTGCCTCCCTGCCTCAGAGTTGCCAGCAGGGATGGGGGTTTCTTATGGTCCCCAGAGAGCTGGGTGTTATCTTTTAGCAATAATGGTAGTAAATTATGGCTGGGCGCAGTGACTCATGCCTGTAATCCCAGCACTTTGGGAGGCCAAGGCGGGCGAATCATAAGAGGTCAGGAGTTTGAGACCAGCTTGGCCAACATGGCAAAACCCTGCCTCTACTAAAAACACAAAAATTAGCCGGGCATGGTGGCTTGCACCTGTAATACCAGCTACTCAGGAGGCTGAAGCAGGAGAATCGCTTGAACCCAGGAGGCAGATGTTGCAGTGAGCCGAGATCCAGCTTGAGTGATACAGCGAGACTCTGTCTCAAAAAGAAAAAAAATAAAATAATGGTAGTAAATTATGATTTCAACTATTATGGTGGTGTGAAAACACATCAATTTCTTCTATTTGTTCATTCATTCTTACATTCCACAAGTATTTACTGAGGGCCCGTTAGATGTCAGGCACTGTGTTGGCCAGTTGCAGACCTTCCCCTTGCTTTGTGGGTGGTGACAAAGGCCTCGGTCTTCTAAGGAACTTCCACTGGGCCCACGAGTCCCACTGGCTACAAAGGAATATTATTGAACAACAGGTCAGGGAGGAGTGGCTTGTAAAAGGGAAAGGTTCTTGGATATCATTTAGTCTAATCTCCTCGAAGTATGTGGAAAACTGAGACATAGGGAGAGGAAGAGATCAGCCCAATGATGAATCATGACAATAAAAACCATTCAGTGAACCTTACGTATGCCTCTCCCTGAGAGGCATATTCTCATTTCTTCTTCTCAGCAACCCTGGGAGAGAGGGAGGTTTATCTTTCTAGAGCTTTTAAGTTGTTCTTCCCTTCAGAGAGGGACGGAGGGGCTGGAAAGAAAGTTCCACTAAGTAGAGAGAAGGGATTGGCCGTGTTTAGATGACGTTCCAAACTCTACACTGCAGCTCTCTTTGGGTCCCATCTTGGCTTCATGTCCAGGAGATGGGAGAGCTGTGTCTGCTGCAGCGGGAAGCAGCAATTCAGTGGGTGGAGTCCACTTCTTATTGGAGACTCATGCTGCACCCCGTAGAGTCTGGATTCCACACAAGTACAGCTTGTGACTTCCTGCAGAATGTCATCAAATTGCATTTGGGGCCTTTTCAAGAAGTAGCTGTAGGAGCTCCGCTTTGCCTAAGGCTAAGCAGACTAAGGGTATGCTCTTGGCTTTCCCAGGAAGTTTTCCTAAATTACACCAGCTGCCTGGAACCAACCCTCCTCAGGGGGGAGCCCTTGACACAAAAAGTTCTCAGTGGTTTGCAGATGCACTCCTTGGTTAAGCCCATGGAGGTTGTGTCTTCCCTTTTGGACTATAAGCCCTTAGAATTGGGTTTTTATTTATTTTGCCTCCTCCCATGTTACCTTGTAGCAGCAACTGACAGTTGTAAGGAATGTTCTGGTTTACAAAGTGCTTTTACTACTCTTTTTTTTTTTGAGATGGAGTCTCGCTCTGTCACCTAGGCTGGAGTACAATGGCGTGATCTCGGCTTACTGCAACCTCCGCCTCCCAGGTTCAAGTGATTCTCCTTCCTCAGCCTCCTGAGTAGCTGGGATTACAGGCACACACCATCACGCCCAGCTAATTTTTGTAGAGACAGGGTTTCGCCATTGTTGGCCAGGCTGGTCTTGAACTCCTGACCTCAGGTGATCTTTCCGCCTCAGCCTCCCAAAGTGCTGGGATTACATGCGTGAGCCACCGTGCCCGGCCTACTCTGGTCATTTTTGAGCCCTGTAACAACCTTGGAATGTGAGTATTGGCTCCAAAAGGTGAAATGACTTGGCCAAGAAGCACAGCTTGAAATGGCAGAGCAGGGCCGGGTGGGGTGGCTCATGCCTGTAATCCTAGCACTTTGGGAGGCTGAGGTGGCAGATTGCTTGAGCTCAGGAGTTAGAGACCAGCCTGGGCAACATGGCGAAACCCCATCTCTACTAAGAAAATACAAAAATTAGCCAGGTGCGGTGGTGCATGCCCATGGTCTCAGCTATTCAGGAGGCTGAGGCAGGAGGATTGTTTGAGCCTGGGAGGCGGAGGTTGCAGTGAGCCAAGACTGTTCCAAAGCACTCTAGCCTAGGTGACAGAACAAGACTTTTGTCTTTAAAAAGCAAGCAAGCAAGCAAGCAAGCAAGCAAGCAAGCAAGCAAGCAAGCAAGCAGAGCTGAGACTCAAAAACAGGTCTCCCAGCTCCAGTCACAGGGTCTATCCTTCTGCCTGACACTGCCTGAGCACTTAGCAAATATACTGTTAGTAAGTTAGGCAAAGAACAAGTCAGTTTGAATTGGGGCTAGACACTTTCTAAAAAATGCTCTCCTGGGAAAGTAGATGATAATGAAGACATCTGTGCCTGGATCCATGTTAAAGCAATTGGCAGCATTAAGTACATTGACCATCCTCAGTAACCTTGACACCACCTTAGACTTCTCACTCACTCTTTTGATACCCTTGCAAAATCTGCTGGGGCAGGTCATATTCCACACATTCTACAGATAGCACCCAAGGGAGGAAGTCATTTAGTGTGAGCTGAGAGTTGAAAAAGAGATAAGAAGGAGGCCAAGTACAGACAGAAGAAAGGGGTTTAGGAAACAGAAGGCTGTCTGAAGGTCACTCGGCTTCTAGAGTGCAGAGTTGCCTGCCTCTGGGAAGAGGGCATGAGGTAGACCATCACTGAGAGACCCAAGCTTCCCTGACCTTGAGAACAATTCCCTCTCCACAGGGGTGCCCAGAGGACACAGTGCAAGCTGCTGGCTCTGAGACAAACTGAGAAGGGTGAGAAAGTTCCAGCAATCAATCCCAGCTCCAATGGGGTGTGAGTTTCCCAACTGAGCTCTGTAGTTGAGTTCCCATCAATCCCTCATTCCCCTCAACCCCCCTCCCCTGCCACTGCTGCCTGCCTGGCTTTCCATATATCATCCCCCTCTGCTCACTCACCACAGGCGAGTACAAAATGCACGCAGGATGGATGGAGAGCTTCAGTCTGTGCAGGCAACACACAATTCTCTATGCAGCTGCAGGGGCCAGGCACAGATAATCCAGCGCAACAGATAATCCAGCATTTGTTTCCAGGGGTCATGAGCCAGGGAAATTCTCAGCTTTCAACATCAAACAAGGAAAACATCTGAAGTCCAGGCATCTGGGAAGGCTTTCCTCTCTTGCCCCATAGAGGTCTTATCTAATGGCATGCTGGGAACAGCTAGTCTCATCCAAGGAATCTTTACTAGAGGCAGACAATAATAAAAATCCTTGTCTTTTTCAGATATTTTTCAGTTGGGTTGCCTTGGACTGAAGTGCAAAGAAAATTTGGAACAAAGAGATAGAAGGAATGCTGCTACTGATACCCTGTGTGACCTTGGGGAAGTCACTTCACCTGGGTTGGAGCCTTTTTCCTCAGGTGCAAAGTAAAAGTAAAAACTTATTGCAGGGGCTCCCAAATCAGGCTGAGTTTCAGAATTACCTGGAGAGTTAAAGAAAAGAAAAATATTAAGTTGGTGGAAAAGTAATTGCATTTTTGACATAAATGGCAAAAACTGTAATTACTTTTGCACCAGCCTAATATTTTCTCAGGCCCCACCCCAGGCCAACAGAATCTATATCTCAATGGTGAAGCTCAAGAATGGACAGCTCTGACAAGTGCATCAGGTGTTTCTGATGCCCAGTCGGGTAGGAAAATGACAAGGTTACATGGATTTGGTCTCTTTAAACTATAAACAGTTATGTTTAATGAGTTGCCAAGGAACTAAATACATAGACATCTGTAACCAGGAATAACTTTGTCTCAGATAAGCCATCTACGAATAATCAGGCAGGCCTGCACCTTGGCCCAAAACTCCAGACGTTACCTGGTTTCCGACCTAGATGTTAGCTGCCAGGCTTTGGGTCTGCCTGCTCACCTGCCCACCTCCCAGATTCCTGATGCCTGTCCCCTGGTCTGGTATGATTACCACTGCTCAAGCCTCTCTAAATTCCCGGAAGAGATTTTCTGAAAACAAAACATGGTGTAGAAAAATAGTACAAAAGAAACATGTTCTAGAAATGAAAGGTCTATGTTCTAGGAGAAGATTTATGTTCCAGAAACAGAAATTCCTCCTCCTCTGTATAGATGTGCATCTTGAAAAGGTACTTAACCAGCTACTGTTTTGCACTTTCATTATAGTGCTAAGCACTCTGTGTTTGCTACATCATTTAATCCTTTCTTATATTTTGAGATAGGGCCATTATTATTTTATTTACAGATGAGAACACAAAGGCTCAGAGAGATTGAATAACTTGTCTAAGGCCAGACAGTGAACGAAAGGCAGAACTGGGATTCTAATTTAGTCTTGACTCTTCACATCTATGATGGTGTTTCCCCAGTGTCCTCATCTGTAAAACAGGAATAATATTGGCCAGGTGTGGTGGCTCATGCCTGTAATCCCAGCACTTTGGGAGGCCGGGGCGGGCTGATCACCAGAGGTCAGGAGTTCGAGACCAGCCTGGCCAACATGGCGAAACCCCATCTCTACTAAAAATACAAAAAGTTAGCTGGGCGTGGTGGCACACATCTGTAGTCCCAGCTACTCTGGAGGCCGAGGCAGGAGAATCCCTTGAACCAGGAGGCGGAGGTTGCAGTGAGCTGAGATCGCGCCACTGCACTCCAGCTTGGGCAACAAGAGTGAGACTCTGTCCAAAAAAAAAAAAAGAGAAAGAAAAAGAAAAAAAGGAATAATATTACTTTTTAAGGTATTGTTCAAAGATCAAATGAAAGAAACTTAGGCATCTCAGGGAGTCTTCTGGGGGTCACACAACAAGTGAGATTCAGCAAAATACCTCTCTGCTCCCTCTCTTCCCCTGCAAAATTAGTGCCAAAATGTAAGATATGTCTGCTACTTCTTACCTGACCAGAGGCAAGGTCAAAATGGGAGATTGAATGTGGGTTGAAGAAATGAGAGTGCAAGATGGGGATCCATACCATATTGTGAGTGTGGGAACAATAGCAGTAACAAACATGATGTGGGGTCACAGTGGACCACATATCAAGCAGGACCCAGTAGTGATTGTTTCAAACCATGGCAAATATTTTTTGGGTAAATGAAGATCTTGAGAGGATACCACTAAGCTATGGTTACTGCCATGGCAGATGTAGAAGGGGACCAAGGTAACGTGAATATCACATCTGTTAGGAGGGACATGGGTTCTGGGCAATACAGTGAAGATTCAAGTCCAGATGTGATGGGAGCACTGGACTGAAACCAGCCAGATGAAATGGGGCTATGTGTGGCGGTCCAAAGGACTAAAGTTCTAGGCAGGAAAAGCAATGTTTGACAACAGATTATGGGAAGATAGCAAGGTGGGAGTAAGGACGAGGGCCAGGAAAGGTGGAGTCAGTGAGATGACTTTAGTAAGTGGCTATGGGGGGAAATGACTTCCAGGTGGGCCATGCCAACTCCCAAGGGATGGCCACCCAGAATCCACTCTGATTACCCCACAAGGGCATCTTGGGCTCAACTCCAGGCCCCAACTGTGAGGCAGACACTGGTGACACTGGCTAGTCTGTCCAGATGCAGGTGAGCCAGAGGGTGAGGGGCTGGGGTTTTGGGTAATATAACTAAAGACAGACGGTTCTGCTGAAGAGATGCCAAAGCAACTTGAGAGTTATCTTTGCTTATCAGCAGGAGAGGTGGTTAGGTAGAAAAGTGAAGACTCTCCTGGGAGTTTCCATCTACAGCAGGCAGAAGGAGGTGAGGGTAGTGAGAAGAGGCCAGATTTTGGCTAGGGGTGGGGAAGAACTGGCTCACCCAGAGCTGCCTCAGCATGGTGCAGGTCAGTTAGCAGGTAGAGAGTTCCCAGTCCCCAGGAAGATTTTAAACAGTTGTCCAATGGCTTAGTGGTGCTGTAGGGAGGCCTACAATGGTGGGCGGGAGAATTAGACTAGACCAGGTTTTTTTTTTTCAGTCTTTCTTGAAAACTGTTTTTTCAGATGACAGCTTATGAGAAGCCCAGTAAATAAAACACAGATTCTCTGGTTGAGTTGGGGGTCAGAATCCCAAGGTCCCCATCTCTGGACTTTGGGGATTTCTTGAAGCACAGTTTGAAAACTGGTGACTGGATAGTCTGTAAGGCCTTTTCTTTTTTTTTTTGAGATGGAGTCTTGCTCTGTCGCCAGGCTTCGGCTCACTGCAACCTCCGACTCCCTGGCTCAAGCTAGTCTCCTGCCTCAGCCTCTCGAGTAGCTGGGATTATAGGCATGTGCCACCATGCCCAGCTAATTTTTGTATTTTTAGTAGAGACAGGGTTTCACCATGTTGGCCAGGATGGTCTTGATCGCCTGACCTTGTGATTTGCCCACCTTGGCCTCCCAAAGTGCTGGGATTACAGCTGTGAGCCACTGCTCTCGGCCGCCCACCCCCCACCCTTTTTTTTTTTTTGAGACCGAGTCTCACTCTGTCGCCCAGGCTGGAGTGCAGTGGCGCGATCTTGGCTCACTGCAACCTCTGCCTCCCGGGTTCAAGCAGTTCTCCTGCCTCAGCCTCCTGAGTAGCTGGGATTACAGGCCCCTGTCACCATGCCTGGCTAATTTTTGTATTTTTAGTAGAGATGGGGTTTCACCATGTTGGCCACGCTGGTCTCGAACTCCTGACTTCAGGTGATCTGCCCGCCTTGTGCTAGAATTACAGGCATGAGCCACCGCGCCCAGCCTGTAAGGTCTTTTTTTTTTTTTTGGAGACGAGTCTCGCTTTATCCCCCAGGTTGGAGTGCAGTGGTGCAATCTCCGCTCACTGCAAGCTCCACCTCCTGGGTTCACGCCATTCTCCTGCCTCAGCCTCCCGAGTAGCTGGGACTACAGGTGCCTGCCACCACACCTGGCTAATTTTTTTGTATTTTTAGTAGAGACGGGGTTTCACCATGTTAGCCAGGATGGTCTTGATCTCCTGACCTCGTGATCTGCCTGCCTCGGCCTCCCAAAGTGCTGGGATTACAGGCGTAAGCCACCAACCCAACCAGGTCTTTTTTAATGTTAAGGTTTGGCAAGGCAAGACAAGAACTTGAAAGTGCCAGCCTGGTACTTAAAATAATTGTTTTGCTCCAAAAGTTTGTTCACATCATCATCTCTCAGTTCTTTCTGCTTACAAACCCTGGACCTGACTGCCTTCTCTGTTGGTCCCTTGGCTTGGTTTTCCATATGCAGCCTCTGCAATAAGAGCAAGCAAAATGACCACTGTCTTGGGCTGGGACATAACCACAATGTGTTTGCCAGAGCTGGATCTCACTGTGCAAGCGATGTTTGTAGGCTCAGGTGGTCTGAGTTTAGTGGTCACTCAAACGGAGTTTGTTCAGCATCCACAGAGTATCTTATCCCTCTGCCGGGTTTCGTGCTGGACACTTGGAATATAATGTCCAGTAAGATATGATCCCAGTCTCCAAGGGCTATTCATTCTGGTGGGGAAGCCAGCCTTGCAGGGGGGCCATGTGGAGGGGAATAGGTCTCAGGGAAGGCTTCTCATAGGGATACTACAGTGAAGCTTTGAATTAACTTAAGGAGGAATGGGCATTTGAAGCAGGCAAATGTATTAGAAAAGAGCAGAACAGAGGTAGGAAGAGCACAATGTGTTTAGGGAACTGCAAGTTATCCAGAATGGCTGGAGCCAAAGGAGTAGGTAGGAGAGGCACAAAATGAGCCTGGAAAAGACACCATGCACTGGATCCTGAAGCTCCTGTGAGCTGATCTAAAAGGACTTTGTCCAGAAAGCCCTAGGGAACCTGTAATGATTCTTAAGTGGTTTGAACCAATTTTTCTTGTAGATATTCCAGTTCCTAAAGCCTGAAGAGCGTAGAAGTAGCCCTGTTCAAGTGAATGTGAAGAATGAGCCTGCTCAGTGGACATTACAAATGATCCTATTAAGTGTGGAGCATGGACACACTTATTATTATTCCTGGGTTGGCTCCTGATGCAGACAGCAACCTTGAAGTCATCTCTTCCCTTTCTGTGCTCCTACTCTCCCTTTTAGCAGAACAAGGATAAAGATGTTGTTATCAACCTGTCACATCAGAAGAATTGACAAGACCAAAGTTCTCCGAAGGAAGTCTTCCCTAGTTAGAACATGATGTCTTGCAAAATTGTCTGGAGGAATCAGAGGTATATAATGCATGCATTTTGTTCTTTAGTTACCAGCAAGAAAATTGGGAGACATGTTTCTCAGGGCTGGTTCCAGAGCCAACCATGACTTACTTTTTTTTTTTTTTTTTTTTGAGACAGGGTCTCATTCTGTCACCCAGGCTGGAGTGCAGTGGCACAATCTGGGCTCACAGCAACCTCCACCTCCCAGGTTCAAGTGATTCTCGTACCTCAGCCTGAGTAGCTGGGATTACAGGTGTGTGCCACCACATCCAGCTAATTTTTGTATTTTTAGTAGAGAGGGGGTTTCGTTATGTTGAGCAGGCTGGTCTCTAACTCCTGGTCTCAAGCGATCGGCCCACCTTGGCCTCCCAAAGTGTTGGGATTACAGGCATGAGCCACTGTGCCTGGCTGGTTGCTCTCTTTTCTGAGCTGGAGTTGGGGCATGAGGGTACAAGGAGAGAGCAGCACATGTCACTGACCAGCAGGTTCCTGCCAACCTCATAGGGTTGGTAGGATTGAGATAATCCATGTAAGGGCTTAGCACAGTGCCTGGTATATGGTTAGCCCTTAGTAAATGTTAGTGGTTATTGTTAATGTGTATATAGTCAAGTGTTGCTTAACAATGGAGACTACATTGAGAAATGTATCATTAGGTGATTTGGTTGTTGTGCAAACATCATAGGATGTATTTATACAAACCTAGATGGCATATAGCCTATTGCTCCTAGGCTGCAAACCTGTACAGCATGTTACTGTGCTGAATACTGTGGACACTGTAATATAAGGGTAAATACTTATCTATCGTATCTAAACATAGAAAAGGTACAGTAAAAATACAGTATAAGATAAAAAATGATATTGCTGTATAGGACACTTACAATGAATGGAGCCTGCAGGACTGGAAGTTGTTCTGGATGAGTCAGTGAGTGAGTTCTGAGTGAATATGAAGACTGAGGAGGACATTACTGTACACTACAGTAGGCTTTATAAACACTGTACACTAAATTTATAAAAATATTTTTCTTTTTTCAATAACCTTAGCTTACTATAACTTTTTAACTTTATAAACTTTTTAATTTTTAAAACTTTTGACTATTTTATAATTGCACTTAGCTTAAAACACACTGTATAGCTGTATAAAATATTTTCTATCTTTATTCTGTAAGCTTTTTTCTTTAAAAAATTTTATTTTTTACTTTTTAAATGTTTTGGTTAAAAGCTAAGACACAAACATGTACATTAGCCTAGGCCTACACAGGGTCAGGATCATCAACATTACTGACTTCCACCTGCACATCTTGTCCCACTGGAAGGTCTTCAGGGGCAATAACACACATGGAGCTGTCCTCTCCTATAAGAACAATGCCCTCTTCTGGAACAACTCCTGAGAGACCTGCCTGAGGCTGTTTTACAATTGACTTAGTATTTTTTATACGTAGAAGGAGCACACTCTAAATAATACAGTAAATACATAAACCAGTAATAGTCATTTACTATCAAGCATTATGTACTGTACATAGTTTTATGCACTATACCTTTTTATTTTTTGAGATAGGGTCTTGCTCTGTGGCCCAGGCCGGAGTGCAGCAGTGTGATCCCAGCTCACTGTAGCCTCAACCTCCCGGGCTCAAGTGATCCTCCCACCTTAGCCTCCTGAGTAGCTGGGACTACAGGCGTGCACCACCACGCTCAGTTAATTTTTAAATTTTTTTTGTAGAGACAAGGTCTCGCTATGCTGTCCAGGCTGGTTTTGAACTTCTAAACTCAAGGGATCCACCTGCCTCGGCCTTCCAAAGTGCTGGGATTACAGGCGTGAGCCACCGTACCCGGCCCCTGTACACTATACTTTTATACCCTATACCCCTATACACTATGCTGGTGTAGTAGATTTACACCAGCATCACCACAAACACATAATGCATTGTGCTATAACATTACCACAGCTATGATGTCACTAGGCAATAGGAATTTTTCAGCTCCATTATAATCTTATGGGACCACAGTTGCATATGCAATCTAACGTGACCAAAACATTGTTATGTAGTACGTGACTGTAGCTTGGGAGGCCAGCACTGAACCCACAGTACCTCTTGTCTATTGCAAGAAACATATAGCCTTTGAGACTTTAACACTGTCTACCTGTTATTCCCCATTAAGCCATAAGTGCTTCATGGGTGGGTACCAGAGCCTGGCAAGCTTTGCATCCTCCATAGCATGCGGGGGGAGTTCCTTAACTCTCTTTGCCCCTTCTGAGACGGCATTGATCAGTTTGTCTTGTATTGTAATCATTCATGTCAGGTCATGCCGCTGAACTGTAGGCTCCTAAAGGGTAGATACTGAATCTTTATATTTGTCCAGAAACAAGCATTCCTAGCTTGGCTCTGCTCCGGGGCGTTAACACTTGCTGTTCTCTTTACCTGGTTCTCTTTCCCCAGCTCATGTATCAGCTGCCACTGCTGCAGAGATGCCTCTCCTGACCATTAAGTTATTGCCTCCACTCCATAGTCTAAAATATTATTTTTAAATTTTCATAGCACTACCAGTATGTAAAATAATTTTATTGATTTACTTGTCTTCTTTACAAGAATATAAACTACATGAGAACAGGAGCCTTATTTGCCATGTTCATTGCTATATTATCCAGTTTTTTATAACAGTGCTTGGCAAAAAGGTGCTCAATAAGTGTGAATGAATGCTGACTCAATGCCAAATCAAATGACTAGGAAGTGGGCATTAGTACCTCTTCTCCAAGACTGAACAAAAGGTCAGTATGGAGAGTGCAAAGCAAAACATGTGGCTCCAGCTTCCAAACTGGTTGGAGAAGAAAGAAGTACCAGTATGAACATCCAAGAACTAGACAAAGCAAACTATAATCAGGTGTAGGTGTGAGGCACTGAATCAGAGGCAAGAGAGAAACAGGCAGTGGCTAAAACAGAGCCTGCGAGCAGGAATCATACTCTACTCATCTTTCTGTGTCCAGCACTTAACATAGTGGCTGCAGAATAGATGCTCTGTGAGCAGCTGTTAAGTTGTACTGTGTAATGGTCCACCAAGGTAATGCCAGTGGATTAGGTGAGGTACAGAGAACTGTGTATAACTTGGTATCTTGGTTTGCAAATATTTCTACTCAACAAATTCTCGATCTATGTGTATTAAGAGATTCTTTTAAATCTAGAGTATTTACATGCAGGTACATACACAAGACAATGTTTTGGTTGAAATCCATATTACCTATTTATTCAACAAAAAACTGAGTATCTTCTATGGTCCAGGCCATGTCCTTGGCACTGCGAACAGAGATAAGTCCTGGCCCTCAAGGAGCTCACAGTCTAGTGGGGGAAAAAAGACACAAGAATAAATAAATATAATGTATTTGGAGTTTGCAAAGGGGGCCACTATGGGAGACAAAGAACAGAGGAACCTAAATATCCTATAGTTAGCATCCACAGGAAAGAAAGACCTGGCAATGTACATTTTTGTAAAGAATAGATAAGGCAGTGGTTCTCAAAGTGTGGCTGGCTAATTACCTACATCAGAATCATTTGGAGCACATATTAACAAGTAGATTCCCAGTACCTTCTGCACATATTCTTGATTTAGTACGTGTGTGGGGGGGTGGTGTACGGTTGAGGCCTGAGAATCTGCATTTTAAAAGCACTTTAGGTGATGCTACTGCATCTTAAAGTTTCAGAACTGATGAGATAAAGTTTGTTCTTTTAACTGGAATAAAGAATGATCTACACATCTGAAATGCTAACTTGTATTAGTCTTTAATGAGGGGCAAGGGAAGTAGAGAAAAGGATGGTAGTTGATATTTTCTACTATAGTGAAGTTAATTTAATTCTCACAATAATCCTATGAGGTAGATATTATTATCCCTATTTTAGATGGAAAAAAAACCCCAAAATTAGATAGTTTAAGCAATTTGTTCAACAGTATAGAGCTAATGAATAGCAACACTAACATATGAACCCAGATTCACTTAACTCTAAAGCCTGTCCACTTTCTATAACACCATGCTAGCACCAGGGGACAAATTTACTGATTAAATGGTACAATTTTCTTTGAGTTCTTTGCCAGATCTTTCTAGGTAAATAAATATAAAGAACAGCTACGTGGTACTTTAGTCATGCCCCACACATTTATCCATGGACACATCCTACTTGGCAGTTGGGGACTGAGGACAAATCCAGGAGGAATGATTAAAACGAATGGCCACTTCTTACTCCTTTTTCCATCATTTCCTCACCCGCTGGTGGAGGTGTATCAATGTACTATGTATGGCTAATAACTGGGCCCATCTGGAAAGACAAGCAAACATAACTGGATACCAATAAAAACAACCCCATCTGATGTCAAAAATTCTTGGGACCCAAAACATTCAGAAGGTCAGAAGGCATTTAATGAAAATGGCAGGGCAGATAAGACTCAAGTTTCTCAAAAGATAAACTGCCAGGACCAGAAGCAGGTCCAGAATTTACATTAGTTAACAGCTCAACCTTTAGAGAAATAGTGAAAGGATAGCAGCTTCCCCAGTTTAAAAAAATACTATCTGTCTCTCTCAATACATAGACTCAAAGGTGCAACAAAATAGACACGGCTCAGAGAATAGTGGGATGTCCACCCTATTTAAAGAGCTTAGGGACAGGCCCAACCTATAAAAATTCTTCTGGAAGGAAGAAAACACACACACACAAACTGCGAATACTGCTTAAATTCCCACTCACCACATTCAGTGTCATATAACCAGATCTTAGGCAGGAGCAGCAGAGTGGAGCATGTTAGATCAATAAAGAAATGTCAGGCCAGGCACGGTGGCTCACACCTGTAATCCCAGCACTTTGGGAGGCCAAGGTGGTGGATCACTTGAGGCCAGGAGTTCGAGACCAGCCAGCCTGGCCAACAAAGTGAAACCCTGTCTCTACAACAATACAAAAATAAGCCAGGTATGGTGGCATGCGCCTGTAATCCTAGCTCCTCAGGAGGCTGACGCAGCAGAATCACTTGAACCAGGGAGGTAGAGGTTGCAGCGAGCTGAGATCACGCTACTGTACTCCAGCCTGGGCAAGACAGAGCAAGACTTCATCTCAGGAAAAAAAGAAAGAGAAAGAAATGCCATGGTAAAGGCAGCTGACAACAATACTGGGGGCCTTGGGTTCAGAAGGCTGGTGTGTAACCACCGTCCTTTCCTATCACTGAGCTTGGAGCCACAACAGTGACACTACAAACGAAAGATGGGTTTCCAGCTCTGGAGAACAACTTTCTTATTTCTGGCATTCCAAACAATTTTTCAGTCCCAAGATGAGTTTTGATAAAATCAGCCCATAGCCCTGACACAATGGACAGTACATAACTCAGATTTCATTATTTTGTATAACAAACATTGTAAGCCAGACTTAAAAAAAAAATTATTGCTATATTTTCCCCACATCCAATCTGGGAACATTTGCTTTCATCCACTTTTTCGTATCATGTTTAGAGTTGTTTTTAAAAAAATCATGCAAACCAGGATTAATCTTCTCCTTACAAAAGAATTTTATTTATACTGCACTGATTCATTCCTTCAAACACATAGCTTCTAACAGGTGGAGTTAGAAAAGCGGGTGCCACAAACTATGGTTTAATAGTATGCAGGCCCTGTACCTGTTTATCTAACTATACCTGAAATTTGCTGATACCCCAAGCCAGCTACTTACACTAAAGGCATCTCTGGGGGGCATCATCTAGATGAAGTCTTTAACCTGATGGGAATATCTGGTTATTCTACAGTTTAAACAGGATGTTTGGCTTATGCTTTTGTTCAGCTGACTGGTGCCTGGGAAGGATTAAAGCCCATATCTAACTACAGCAGGTCTTCAAGCTTATTATCCTGTCATGAGTTCATAAAGATGACAAACTCATCATTTGGGAGCTATAAGGTCAAAGTGGCCAGAATGCAACTGCGCTGTTACACTGTGCAAAATCAAGTCAACTGTCTTGTAGGTCCTTGGCTGTCTCTTGTTATAACCTCGAACACTTAAAAAAGGAAACCTCAAGTATGCTGAGATAATTATCAGAATGTTCAGGTACCTTTGTTCCTGAATATCAAGTAATAGGGCTCATCTCTGTGACTGCTTGCGACAAGCACATAGGGCAACTCATTACCAACTGCTCATTATAAATGCTGAGCTCTTGAGTTCCTGAGGAGGGGGTGGGCTCTAGACTATCGAGGGCTGAGTCAACTAGGTGAAGGGCCAACCTGTACAGTTCTAAGTCTTATTTTGGTTCTGGGCACATTTCAGTTCTGCTCCAAGTCCGCTTTGCTCCAATTCAGCGATGACAGACATATATTTGAACTCATTTGGTCTGAGGTTAAAGGTCTCCACTAACCCGTAGGTCTCTTTCCGATCAGTAGCGTAGAAGAGCTGAACTTGGTTGGCGATGCACTGTGCCTCAGCAACATTCTGTAAGGTAAAAAGAATAATGAGGTCCTTTCTTGCACAGGGCCACAAAGCTCTTGTCTGAATTGTGTGGTGGGTGGGGGCCCTCGCCCAGGAGTCACCACTTCCAGAAAGTTTCCTTAACTTCTTGAAGTCCCTAGTCTTGGTTAGGTGCCCCTTCTCTGTGTACCAAATCATCCTGTGCTTACCACTGTCATAGTATTTATCACACTGTATTGTATTTTTCCTTTTCTTTTTTTGTCTATTTTCCCTAGTACAAATTCCTCAAAGACATAGACCGTGGTTTGTTTTATATCTCTGCAGAGTGACATCTGGTGAATGTTTACTGAATAAATTAATGTACATGTTCACATTATTCCTCTTCATCCAGTTCCCTAATAACTGTTAAATATATTTCAAGGGGGGAATAAGACAGCAACAGTTACCCAGCTCTAAGAACCAGTTTGTGAGTGAGAACTAAGTTCTTGACTAACCAGATATACACTTGAATAAAACCTGTTATGATACTACCTTGGTCAGAAAAGTACTCCCAGAGCCAGCTGTGATGGTTTTAAAATTTGCCCACAAATTTTAAGATATTCCTCCCTTTGATGGAGCCTAATTTCCCTTTCCTTGGGTAATGGCTATACTCAGTGACTTCCTTCTAACAAGTAGACTATGACAAAATGGTTGGGGGCATTGGTGTGAGCCTGTAGTCCCAGCTACTCAGGAGGCTGAGGTAGGAGGATTGCTTGAGCCTGTCTGGGTAATGTAGTGAGCCCCTTAAAAAAAAAAAAAGACTATGAAAAAATGAAAAATGATGGAGAATGAGTTCTGCTATCAAGCCATAAAGGTTGTAACTTTTCTCTTGCTAATTTTCTTGCTCTGGGAAAAGTCAGTTGCCATGTAGTGAGGACATTCATGCAGCCCTATGGAGAAACACGACAAAGACATGAGGCCTCTGCCAAGAGCCATGTGAGTGGGGCTGGATGCAGACGCTCAAGCCCAATCAACCTTCGGATGACTATACCCCTAGATAACATCTTGACAGCAACCTTGTGAGACCCTGAGCCAGAACCACTCAGCTAAGCTGCTACTACAGAAACTGCGAGGTAATAAATGTTTGTTGTTTTAAGCCACTAGATTTTGTATAATTTGTTATGCAGCCATTTATAACTAATACATCAGCAAAGGCCCAGGGAAGAGAAGGGCAGTAGCAGAGAAATGGTGAGCAATAGCAGAGAAATGGTGAGCAGGCCACCCTACATGACAGAGGCAGAGAAATTAGCCAGATGTGGTGGCATGAGCCTGTAGTCCTAGCTACTCGGGAGGCTGAGACAGGAGGATTGCTTGAGACCAGGAGTTTGAGGCTGCACTGAGCTATGGTCATGCCAGCACACTCCAGCCTGGGTAACAGAGGAAGACTCTATCTCTAAAAATAAAAATTAAAAAATGACAGAGATGGGGGTTAGAACACGGGCTACACTCTCAAACTTTGCAAAAGAGTCACCTCAGACAACTCTTACTTTTGCTATACATTCTGCAGTTCTAGTCGGTCAGAGGTACTTGTCCATTATCACCATGTTCATATAGCCAAAATTAAACCCCAAAAGGTCATGGAAAATTCCCACTAAAAACTTACTGCCAAAAGTGTGCTATGTCTAGCTAGAGAATGATGAAGACGGGTTTATAAATAACATGGGCTGTGCTCCATCTCTATTCCCTCTGTGGGACTTTCAGGACATTTCTCATGAGCAGGCACTAATCTCTGAGACTGCATCTTCAATCAAAAACCTTTTCCCAAAAAGCTGGCTACTTCAAATTAATAGAATTTTAGAGCTAGAAGGGACCTCAGAGATCACCCAGTTCTCATTTAATAGGCTAGGAAACCAAGGCAGATGAGGTTCAGGGATGGGCTCAAGGTCAAGTGGCCAGCCAAGGTCACAGCCAGGACTAGACCTCTAGACTCCCTGGCTGGTATTCCCCCCAATTCATCCTTCTGTTTCTGGTAGGGCAAGATAATTAAGATTGATGAAGGCCAATAACTACTTCATCCATTTTACCTTTCTTAAATTCACACATGCCTCAAGAGCAAATCATTTCTGAAGCAAGTGCACTGCTATAATCTGAGGATACCACCACTCTCTCAGCCCCTGGCTACAGGGCCTCTGACATCAACTTTTATCTGAAGCTTGGGGTGGGAAGGTAGGAGTAAGTTCAGCTGTGTTCACACTACAACACTGCTGTTCAAACTATTCTGTAGAGTCCTAGGTGCTCTGTGGAGGTGCCTCAGGTCCCTTCACCTGTTTTAGCTGTCATATCCTGGGGTTTTACATAGTAAGATTTTGTTTGGATAAAGGGGTCCTCCTACTACTTTAAAAAGAAGTTTGGGCCAGGCGTGGTGGCTCACGCCTATAATCCCAGCACTTTGGGAGGCCGAGGTGGGCGGATCATGAGGTCAGGAGATCGAGACCATCCTGGCTAACACGGTGAAACCCCGTCTCTACTACAAATACAAAAACAAAATTAGCTGGGCGTGGTGGTGGGCGCTTGTAGTCCCAGCTACTCGGGAGGCTGAGGCAGGAGAATGGCGTGAACCCGGGAGGCAGAGCTTGCAGTGAGCCGAGATCCAGCCACTGCACTCCAGCCTTGGTGAAAAGAGCAAGACTGTCTCCAAAAAAAAAAAAAAAAGTTTTTGAAGACCACTAGTACAGTGAGTAGGATAGGAAGGTAAGACACAGAGAGAGATGTCTACCTCTCATGGAGGGTTATAGAAAGGCAACCCCCACCAGCCCTTATTCTCCCCCTGCCTTTTATTCTCTTGGCTTTCAACATGAAGCAACAGTCTCCTCCTTTTCCAAGACCCAATAAGATAAACATACTAATTCCCTGTGCTGCTCAATAAAGAGGTATTTTAACAAGTTTGATTCCTCCCTCTCTTTCAATTTTCAAATCTACAATCAACGCACCAAGTCCTGACTATTTTATTCCCTACATATTCCTGGGGTCATTCTCTTTCCTCCATCTCTATACCACTGCTGTAGTTCAAGTTTTCACCACTTCTTGTGCAGACTATTGCAACTGACTTCTAAATTATCATACTGACTAGACTTGAACTACACAATGTTTAGGAAGCAAATAATTAAAGTTAATAATTAATAGGCTAGGTCTTAAAATCCATCTCTTTATGGGTTCTTCTCTGTTCAAACCCTTTAATGACTCTTTTCATGCCCTCAGGGTAAAGCCAAATCTCTAAACAAAAACCACCAAACCTTACATATACACACATACACACACACACACACAAGTGATACCAAACTCTTTACAATACTCCAAGTCATTTTATGTCTCTCAGCATTTACTTATGCTATTCCCTCTGTCGGAAACATTTCTCCCCTTCTTTATTAGGCTAACTCCTGCTGTTTGAAGGTTCAGTCTGGGTGTCATCTCCAGGAAATATTACTCCCTTTGGGCCAGGGATATCACCCCACTCTCTATCCCTAGAACCTTCTGCATGTCTATCCTAGCACTTACTGCATTTCAATGAAATCATCTATTGACATAGATGTGGAGCCAAATAAAGCTAGGTTTTTAAATATTCCATTAGTTTTTAGCATTAAAGTTAGTTCAGAAGAAATCTCTAGTTTCCATGTATTTCTATTCATTTGACATTAATGCTTTACCATAGTTGGAAATACTATGCCTAAAGTGCACAATTCATGCATGAGTATACAGGGGATCATATATTCATCTTATACTTCTAAGTTTCTCTTCTCTAAGTCATGTACAACAAGTTCTAACATGTCTAGTTCTACACTACATCGGAACCTCACAGTCAAGTTGATTTATACAAGGCAAATATGTATTGTCTTGTATGCTGTCAAATGTTAAAAGGCCAGGAAGCAAATTTTAACAATGATGAGAACTGCACAGCAGTTTGAGACCACCAGAGTGAGGTGGTAAAAATGGCAAACAGCAGAATGGGCCTCCTCTGACCTTTAGGATCCACTTTTAATATGATTAGATGCTGTGCTTTGCCGAAGACCAGAAAATATAGTACAATCTCTATATTGTCACTCACTTGCATGATCAAATTATTTCCTATCTTTTCAGCTCACTTCCAACTCCCACAACCCATTAGGACTCATAATTCTTACTGTCTCTAACCTCCCTTATATTTTCACTTTCCTCATTACCCAGCTTCCATTCCATGGTCAATAATCATTCCTTTGCATTCACCTTTAACTTCCTTCAGGCCATAGATAATATGTAAATAAATGAATATGGCTGTGTTCTAATAAAACTTGAAATACTATTTTTCTTTAATAATAGTTTTTGTTATTAAATAATTTCTGTATTTCTTTAAGAATAAAGAGTTTTTGGCCCAGCGTGGTGGCTCATGCCTGTAATCCCAGCACTCTGGAAGGCCGAGGTGGGTCGATTACCTGAGGTCAGGAGTTCGAGACCAGCCTGGCCAACATGGTGAAACCTCGTCTCTACTAAAAATACAAAAATTAGCCAGGTGTGGTGGCACATGCCTGTAATCTCAGCTACTCAGGAGGCTGAGGCAGGAGAACTGCTTGAGGCTGAGGCAGGAGAACTGCTTGAGCCTGGGAGGTGGATGTTGCAGTGAGCTGAGATTGTGCCACTGCACTCCAGCCTGGCCAACACAGCGAGACTCTGTCTCAAAAACAAACAAACAAACAAACAAACAAAAAAAGAGTTTTTCCCCCTAATCATTTAAAGAGGTAGAAAACATTCTTAACTCGTGGGCGTTATAACAAGCAGTGGGCTGGACTTGGCCCATAGGCTGTAGTTTGCTGACGCTTGTCCTAGACAACAATTTTGTACTTCCTCTTTTTGACTCAAATGTCCAACATTTTTCCAACCTTGCTTTCAGCTGATGAGAACTTTTCTTTCTTTTCACTGAGCAATCTGTAGGAAACTTATACCACTACCTCTATCCATCTAATTTTATCAGTGTCCTTATACTCTGGCTTCTCTCCTGCTGTCATATTCCTGGTAAAGATCAACCCCTCATTACCAGACTTGCCCACTCAAAAATATCACTTCCCGCTTTCTCCTGTATCATCAACATTTCCCTCTCCACTGGATCTTTATTTATTTTATTTTATTATTATTATTTTTTTAGACAGAGTCTGGGTCTGTCGCTCAGGCTGGAGTGCAATGGTGCAATCTCAGCTCACTGCAACCTTTGCTGCTGGGGCTTAAGTGATCCTCCTACCTCAGCCTTCCGAGCAGCTGAGATTACAAGGTGCATGCCACCACGCCTGGCTAATTTTTGTATTTTTTGTAGACACAGGGTTTCATCACATTGGCCAGGCTGGTCTCAAACTCCTGAGCTCAAGCAATCCACCCACCTTGTCCTCCCAAAATGCTGGGATTACAAGCATGAGCCACTGTCCCAGCCTCAACTGGACCTTTCCCATCAGCATACAAATATGTTTTCTTTCTCATATTTGAAACAAAAGATACCCTTGGGCGCACTTCTCCACCTCCAGCTAATACCCCATTCTCTCCTTCCCTTTATAGAAATGCCCCTTGAAAGAGTTTCTATGCTGATTCTTCGGAGTTTCTCTTCCCATCCTCTCTTAAGTCTACTCCAATCACACTTTTATGAAACTGCTCTTATAAGGCCCCCAGTGACTTCCATGTTTGTGAAATCAGTAAATTCTCAGTTCTAATCTCATTTGCCCTAATAAACAAGGGAGATTTGGTGAGTTGAGCAGTCCCTATTCCTTGAAACATTCAATTTTAGCTTCCAGGGCATTCTACCATCTTAATTTTCCTTTTACCTCATGGCCATTCCTTCTTAATCTTTGCTGATGCTTCTTCATCTCTCCAGGGATGGAGACCCCTCGCTCAGTTCTTAGATCTCGTCTCTTCTCTATTTTTACTTACTTCCTTGGTGACTTCATTCAGTCCTATGGTTTTAAGTACAATCTGTATGCTGACAACTCCCATATTTATATCTCCAGCCTGGACTTCTCCCATGAAGTCCAGGCTCATATATCTAATTGCCTACTACTTGGATATCTAATAGGCATCTCAGATTTAATACATCGAAAAGTGAGCTCCTGATTTTCCTGTTAGGCCTATTCCTCCTGCAATCTTGCCTATCTCAGTTAATGGCAATTCCATATTCTTGGATAGAATTTTGGCTTTCAGTTGAATGTGATGAATGGAAGGGTTAATGTGGAAGGAAGAATGGGAGAGATGGTACTGAATAGCTTCAAGAATAGGGAAGTAGAATCCTCACTGTGTCCTAGGTTTGTGGGTTACTGCTACTGTGAGATATCAGCTGAGTGATATCACTTCTTTCTCCCTATGCAGCTGGTAAGAGAAAGAGAAAAAATAAGTGGGTGCTGTAATGAAGACTGTTAGGGGGAAGTGTCCACTGTTTGGGGACATTCTGAACTTAACCTCTGCCAGATAAAAGGATATGTGACTGAAATGAGCAAGGACTAGACAGACAGTGTACAGTAATCACAACACTGCTCCTGGCACCTGGATGTGCAGAGAGAACACAGTGGGCATCATTAACTATGAGCATATGGTCAATGCTCTATCTCAGTGATTCTCATCTAGGAGTGGGAAAAGGAGGAAAGAAAAACACTATAAATGATGAATGTTGTATAAATGAACAGTATGAAGGAAGATAAAATATTGAGAGCTATCCTAGGCTTCAATACAACTCTTCCCTATAATTAAGAAGCCATTTACTTGTCTACAATCTCTTATCTGAAACCCTTAGGGCCTGATGTGTCTTAGATTCAGAATTATTGAATTTTAGAAAGATAATAGGTATAGATACTATATAACTATATTATGTGACTCCCCATACTCAAACACATTAATATTTCCCTAGTAAAATGCATAATACTCCACACCAAGTGGGATTAGTTATATAAATAGTTTCACATCAGTTTAAAGATTTAGTTACCAAATGAGTTCAAGTTTACATAAGGTTTTGTGACCAAATGAGAACAAAAACATTTTGTTCTCAGAGCCCATGGGTTTCAGAATTGTGAATAAATGATTGAGGATCTGTACTAACTTCAAATTGGAAGATCTTGAGCAAGACAACTTCACTGTCAACTTTAAAATAAGTAAGAAACAAGGTATATGTAGCTCTTTGAAATTTTCTCTCTCATGAGCTTTGGCAGAAGAGTAATACCTTCAGTGCCATGAGGTAAATCCAAAGAGTTTTGCAAGTTAATTCTTACCAGAAATGTGGAATCCATTTCTGCAGTCATCAGCACTATGCCCTTTTCTTCCTTAAGTTCAGGATAGTGATATAAAATCAGCTGGCTGGCTGCAGCTTCCCCTCGGGTCTGCAAGGTGGAACACTTATCAAGGCTCAATAAGGTACCATCACAACAAACTGCAATTTCAAAGCAATAGACAGTCTAGAGGAAATTCTGGCTCTTAACAGCCCCTTGGGTGGCTAGTGAGTTGGAGGACTGGTATGTGGTGGTAAGGTCAGGCCTGCAAAGGCACAGTGAAACTGACAGTTTGCACAGTGTTATTTGTGTCTTCAACTGGAAAAGGTTTGGCTTTTTTCCCAGAAAATGTTTACAGTAGGCAGTGAATCCATCATTGTGACCATACATTTAAAAACAAAATGGCACAAGCAGCTACCAAATCAAGTTCTAAAGAAAGCAATGTGCCTGTGTAATTGCCACTTTCATGGACTAGTGCATTTCACAGTTGAAATCTACTCCCCTTGGCTGGCTCTGAAGACTGAGCTCTTTTAAGCTGTAGCAGGAGCTGCAGAGTTTGCACATGAGCCAGATTTGTAATGTGCAGCTCTAAAATATAATCTGGGTTGGTGGGGGGTGAAGGGGAGAAGAAGGATGGAAACACCATGATTTTATGAAGAATGATCAGGGCAGTGGTTACTAAATCTCAAGTCTAGACTAGGTAGAGAGGATGGGTTCAAAGCTAAAGCCCCTACATAGCACAGGTGGAAACAACTACATTCAAAAGAAGATTCCTAGACTTTATCTCTAAAATTTCAGCGAGTCTTTTTAATTATAAATATCCAACTATCACTAGGGTACTTGTAATAGTTCAGCATCTCATTTTTCTTGAACATACTTCTAATGTTACACTGATCATTTTGGTCATCATTCTAATATTATACTAATCACTTTTATTGTAATTATGTTTCTGGATCTTTCTCCTAAAGCTGAATATTAGCTCCATGAAGGCAGGGACCTTGTCTCACAGATCTCCAAGTCTTAGCACAGTTCCTAACACAATCCCATAATGATTAAGTTCACAGACTTTGAAGTCAGATAACCTGGGCTCAATCCTGGCTCTATCACTTATTAGACAATGTAACTAACATCTGAGGCCACTTTCTTCTATGTAATTAGAAATAATAACAGTAAATATGGCGTATTATGAGGATTAAATGACATAATATATATAAAACATGTGGCACATAGTAAGTACATCAAATTGTTGGTTATTAAAGTATGTACTCAATAAAGGGTTGTTAGACATATTACAAAATAGCAAAGTAAAAAGCTGTTCCTTCATTCTATTTTGCATTCTTTACCCCAACTTCAAAGCCAATATAATTCGTGCTTGTTTTTTGCCACATTTGACCTCCAAATATAGAATGCCAATCCTAGTTATGATTTAAAATATTGACTTTTATTTTAAAAGTTTTAAATGTTTTGAATCTAACTTTTAAATATAATATTTAAAAGTTAATATTGTTTTATTGGAAATAAAGAAATAAAGGAAGAAAGCAAACAAAATAACATTAAACAGAAACTATTCACTTAGCATGTTGGAAGGTGTTGACTTAGGTAATAAAACACATTTAAGACTTGGAGCTTTCCTCAAGGGGCTTCTAGCTTGGGTTAAAAAGATAGCCATCATAACTCAGGCATGTTTGTTAAGTGAGGCACATGCAGTATATACAACTAGAGGTCTGGGGAAGAGACAAAAGAGAACCAGAAGTAGTCAGAGAAGGTGTTTTGGAGTCTTTTCCAATTTCTAGGTATTGAGGAGGGCCTAGAAAACTAGTCCAACACAAAAAGTATGACAATTCATCTGCGCCACAATAATAAATGCTGGGAGTAAGCAGCTATTCTGTGTCCTTGAGCCTCAGCAAGGGTTTCTAGTCCTACCAAGGGGTAGTCCTCTTTCCTCTAGAGGAAGGGCACAAGCCACCTACCTGAATATTTATAAGTGCAGTGAAGTGGAGTTCAGTACCTGTCCATTGTCCTACAAAAAACTCATAACCTTCCCTTCTTGGCAGAGCACATAGAAACTGTGAAAAACAGATATACAAGGAGACAGATGAATAAATGAAATTATTTGCTCTATATCCAACCACCTGTAACATTCATTCCATTTCCTCCATATTTGGTTTTTAAAATATTTTTTTATTTTTTTGAGACAGGTTCTCGCTCTGTTGTCCAGGCTGCAGTGCAGGCATGATCACAGCTCACCGCAGTCTTGATCTGCTGGGCTCAGGTGATCTTCCCACTCAGCCTCCCAAGTAGCTGGAACTGCAGGTGTGCACCACTAAGCCTGGCTACTTTTTTTTTTTTTTTGGTAGAGATGGGGTTTTGCCATGTTGCCCAGGCTGGTCTTGAACTCCCGGGCTCAAGCAATCTGCCTCCCTCAGCCTCCCAAAGTGATGGGATTATAGGCATGAGCCACTGCTCCCAGCCTAAAACATTTTTTTAAAATTAAGAAATTCATATGTGGCAATAAATACTCATGTACTTATCAATCCACCTAAGAAAGCATCAGAAATACAATTGAGGTTCCCTCTGCATTCCCTTCTAATCCCATCCCAGAGTTAACATCTATCCAGCATTTGGTGTCTATCCTCCTTTTTCATATTTTAATACTTTAATGTATATGCGTATAACTGTAAGTTAAGAAGTAGTAGTTTACAGGCTGGGCATGGTGGCTCACACCTGTAATTCCAGCACTTTGGAAGGCCAAGGTCGGAGGATCACTTGAGCTCAGGAGTTTGAGGCCAACCTGGACAATACAGTGAGACCCCGTCACTACAAAAAAATAAAAAAAATAGCCAGGTGTGGTGGCATGTGCCTGTTGTCCTAGCTACTCGGGGGCTGAGGCAGGAGGACTGATTGAGCCCAGGAGTTTGAGACCAGCCTGGGCAACATAGTGAGACCCTGTCTTTAGAAAAATTTTTTTTAAAGTAGTAGTTTATATGTTTAAAAACTTAAATCTTATCAAAGTGTGTGTATCCTTTTGTAACTTTTTTACTTCATAGTATGCTTCTGAGATTTATCCATGTTGATATCTATAACTCTGAATTCATAAATATCTCACTGTTGTATGGAATTCTATTGTAGAAGTTTATCACTATTTATCCTTCTCTTGATGGATGTTTCAATTTCTAAACTTTCTAATGCTGCTGAATTAGCTCGTTCCAATTGCTGTAATTACTTCACATTCTATCAGATAAGGCTGATATTGGAGCATGGCTCCAGACTAAACACCAAAAAATAAGTTTTATGCTCAAGATGTTTAGAATGGGGATGAGTAGTAGAGAAAAGAATGGTGCCAGAACAAAACAAAAGTATAAAGCAGCCCAATACACATTAGTCACAAATTATCTTCTTATTGTCAACCACTCAGGCTCCAATTTATTATTATTAGATGAGATAAACTTAGTGCCTACTTGACAGATGATCCCTTGCTAGGGAAAATATTTTTTTTACAGCTTTATTGAGGTATACTTGAAATACAACAAAGTGCACATATTTAAAGTATACAATTTGATGAGTGTGACATATGTGTACTGTGAAACCATAACCAAAATCAACAAAATGAACATGGTTATCACTTCCAAGTTTTCTTTGCCCTTTGAAGTTCATACTTCCCTGTCCCTTACTGTCCCTAAGCAACCACTGATTTGCTTTCTGCCACTATAGGTTAGTGTGCCTTTGTAGAATTTTGTAAAAACGGAACCACAAAATGAGTACTTTTTTGGTTTGGTTACTTTCAGTCAGCATAACTGTTTCATGATCTATCCATGTGTAGGAACAAGAGTGACTTTATTTTAAATGCTAGTCCACCGTGTGACTTCTGACTAACCCCAAGTCCAGGAATGCCTCCCAAATGTCTAGTTGATGTATTACTCTTTATGTAGAAACATCTATTCTTCCAAAACAATCCTTGATGTTGTTGCAGAAATCATAGGCAGTGATGACTGTATCCACCTACACATTCCTTCCAGAGCATGTATACTTTCCCCAAGATATAAGACATATTGGGTCTGTCTGGTTGTGGTGTGGAGATCTACCTGTATTGCAGCCACCCAATACGACATTCCCGTCTGTAAGTTCCCCCAATAAATCATCCCATACCCACAAATTGGATTTGTCTGCCTCCTTCTTTGGTTTTTCAGCTCCTTCACCATTTGGGGGTCGTTTTGCACATATGGCCCTTTCACAGAACACCATGTTGTTGCATGTATCAATAGTTCATTCCTTTTACTGCTGAATATTATTCCATTGTGTATGTATACACACATACACACACACACACACACACATGCACATTCTCTCTTTCCACAATTCCTGTGCACTAGTGACAGACATTTGCATTGTTTCCAGCATTGGTTGTTACAAATAAAGCTGCTTGAATATTTGCGCACAAGTCATTCTATGGACATATTCTTTGAGTTCTCTTGGGAAAATATCTAGAAATGGAATGGCTAGTTAGTATGGCAGGTATATGCTTAATTTTTAAAGAAACAGCCGAACTATTTTCTAAAGTGGTTGTACCATTTTGCAATATGACCGGCAGTATAGGAGAGTTCCAGGTGCTTCACATTCTTACCAATACTTGGTATGATCAGTTTTTGACATTTTAGTCATTCTAATGGTATCTCACTGTAGTAATTTGGATTCCCATTATGACTAATGCTGTCAAGCATATTTTCAGGTGCTTATCTGCTATTCTTTGATAAAATGTTCAAATCCTTTGTCCATTTGTCTATCCTCTTTATTATTGAGTTATAAGAATTTCTGATATAACTTGAGCTATACACCTTTTGGCTATTGTGACTAATGTTGCTATGAATGTAGAAGCTATTTGGGTATGCAAATAGAATGTTTTAATTTTGATGAAATCTAATTTATTTATTATTATTTTTTTGAGACAGAATCTCACTCTGTCAGCTAGTCTGGAGTGCTGTGGTGTGACCTCGGCTCACTGCAGTCCCTGCCTCCCAGGTTCAAGCGATTCTCATGCCTCAGCTTCCGGAGTAGCTGAGATTACAGGCACACACCACCACGCCTAGCTAATTTTTGTATTTTTAGTAGAGATGGGTTTTCGCCATATTGGCCAGGCTGGTCTTGAACTTCGGACCTCAAGTGATCCACCCACCTTGGCCTCCCAAAGTGCTGGGGTTACATGCGTGAGCCACCACACCCACCCTATTTTTATTGTTTTGAGACAGGGTCTCGCTCTGTTGTCCGGTCTGGGCTCACTATAACCTCCACCTCCAGGGCTCAAGTGATCCTCCCACCTCAGCCTCTTGAGTAGCTGGGACAACAGGTGCTTGAAAAATTTTTTTTATAGAGACAAGGTCTCACTATATTGCCCAAGGTGATTTTTTTCTTTTATAGTTTGTGCTTTTTGTAATGTACTTATGACATCTTTGCCAAACCCAAGGTAATTTAGATTTCTTCTTTTATTTTCCTTTACAAGTTACATTTATGGGCCAGGTGCGGTGGCTCATGCCTGTAATCTTAGCACTTTGGGAGGCTGAGGCAAGTGGATCACTTGAGGTCAGGAGTTTTGAGACTAGACTGGCTAACATGGTGAAACCCTGTCTCTACTAAAAACATAAAAATTAGCTGGGTGTGGTGGTGGGCTCATGTAACTTCAGCTACTCACGAGGCTGAGGCTCAAGAATCGCTTGAACCTGGGAGGCAGAGATTGCAGTGAGCAGAGATCATGCCACTGCACTACAGCCTGGGCAACAGTACAAGACTCTGACTCAAAAAAAAAATGGTCTCTGCTAAAAATACAAAAATTAGCCCAGTGTGGTGGCAGGCACCTGTAATCCCAGCTACTTGGGAGGCTGAGGCAGGAGAATAGCTTAAACCCAGGAGGTGGAGGTTGCAGTGAGCTGAGATCATACTACATTGCACCCTGGGTGACAAAGCAAGCTCCGTCTCAAAAAAAAAAAAAAAAAAAAGTTACATTTACTTTTATGATCTACTTTAATTTTTGTATACACTGTGAGGTAAAAGTAGAGGTTCCTTTTTTTTGTGCATGATATTCAATTGTTTTAGCAGCATTTGTTGAAAAGATTATCCTTTCTCTAATTTATAGACACCTTTGTTGAAAAACAACTAACCACATATATGTTTGTCTATTTCAGGACTCTACTCTGTTCCATTAATCTACATGTCTATCTTTGTGCCAATACCATACTGTTTTAATTACTGTATCTTTGTAATAAGTCTTGAAATCAGGAAATGTAAGTCCTCAAGCTTTGTTCTTTTTCAAAATTGTTTTAGCTATCTCAGTCCTTTAAATATCCAAGTAAAATTTTAAAACCAGCTCATCAATTTCTTAAATGCCTAGTGGGGTTTTGATTAGTATTGTATTTCATCTAGAGACCAATTAGGAGAGAACTGATACCTTAACAATAACAAAGCCTAGGCACAGTGGCTCACACCTGTAATCCCAGCACTTTGGGAGGCTGAGGCAGGAGGATTGCTTGAACCAAGGAATTTGAGACCAGCCTGGGCAACGTAAGTGAGATCTTGTCTCTACTAAACATACAAAAAATTAGCTGAGCATGGGGGTGCATGTTTGTAATCCCAGCTACTTAGAAGGCTGAGGTGGGGGTATTGCTTCAGCTGAAGAGATTGAGGCTGCAGTAAGCTATGATCACACCACTGCACTCCAGCCTGGGCAACACTGTAAGATCCTGTCTCAAAAAACAAAACAAAACAAAATGTAACAAACTGAGCCATCCAATCCATGAACATGGTATATATCATTTCCATTTATTTAGGTATTCTCTGTTTTCAGCAATGTTTCCAAAAATGTTTTGAAAACCCGAGAAATCATTACTGATACCAAGTTAGCTGGTCCACCCCACCTATTCCTTTTCCCTTAGGCCTTCTGGCAGCTCAGTATTTCAGCTACGACCTCTTAATTCCTTTAGGCACATATTACCAGGATAGCATAGCCAAAACTGTGAAGAAAACTGCCAATAAAACAGGCATCTCAGCCCAGTTTGAACAGCTATTACGAAAAAAAAAAAGACAACCTGTAATCCCAGCACTTCGGGAGTCTGAGGTGGGAGGGTCATTTGAGGCCAGGATTTGAAGCCCATCCTGGGCAACACAGTAAGACCTCATCTCTAAATGAAAAAAAAAAAAATGCTGGTGAAGATGTGGAGAAAGAGGAACTTTTGTATAATATTGGTGGAACGTAAATTAGTATAGCCATTATGGAAAACATTATGAAGTTTCCTCAAAAAACTAAAAAGAGAACTACCACATGATCCAGCAGTCCCACTACTGGATATATATCCAAAGGAAAGGAAATTAGTATGTTGAAGAGATATCTGCACTCCCATGTTTGCTACAGCACTATTCACAATAGCGAAGATATGGAATCAACCTAAGTGTCCATCAACAAATGAATGGATAAAGAAAATGTGGTATCTATACACAATGGAATACTATTTAGCCACAAAAAAGAACAAGTTCTGTCATTTGTGACAACATGGATGAGCTTGGAGAACATTATGTTAAGTGAAATAAGCCACGCACAGAGAGACAAATACCACATGTTCTCACATGTTGGAAGCTAAAAAAAAAAAAAAACCTGATCTCATAGAAGGAGAGAGTAGGAGAGTGGTTACTAGAGGAACGAATAGCCAAAGTTTGGTTAAGGGATACAAAAGTACAGCTAGATGGGAGAAATATGTTCTAGTGTTCTACGGCACTATGGAGTACTATAATTAACAATAATTTATTGTATATTTTCTTTTTATTTATTTATTTATTATTATTATACTTTAAGTTTTAGGGTACATGTGCACAATGTGCAGGTTAGTTACATATGTATACATGTGCCATGCTAGTGCGCTGCACCCACTAACTCGTCATCTAGCATTAGGTATATCTCCCAGTGCTATCCCTCCCCACTCCCCCCACCCCACAACAGTCCCCAGAGTGTGATGTTCTCCTTCCTGTGTCCATGTGTTCTCATTGTTCGATTCCCACCTATGAGTGAGAACATGCGGTGTTTGGTTTTTTGTTCTTGCCATAGTTTACTGAGAATGATGATTTCCAATTTCATCCATGTCCCTACAAAGGACATGAACTCATCATTTTTTATGGCTGCATAGTATTCCATGGTGTATATGTGCCACATTTTCTTAATCCAGTCTATCATTGTTGGACATTTGGGTTGGTTCCAAGTCTTTGCTATTGTGAATAAAGCTGCAATAAGCATACGTGTGCATGTGTCTTTATAGCAGCATGATTTATAGTCCTTTGGGTATACACCCAGTAATGGGATGGCTGGGTCAAATGGTATTTCTAGTTCTAGATCCCTGAGGAATCGCCACACTGACTTCCACAATGGTTGAACTAGTTTACAGTCCCACCAACAGTGTAAAAGTGTTCCTATTTCTCCACATCCTCTCCAGCACCTGTTGTTTCCTGACTTTTTAATGATTGCCATTAAACTAAAGAGCTTCTGCACAGCAAAAGAAACTACCATCAGAGTGAACAGGCAACCTACAAAATGGGAGAAAATTTTTGCAACCTACTCATCTGACAAAGGGCTAATATCCAGAATCTACAATGAACTCAAACAAATTTACAAGAAAAAAACAAACAACCCCATCAAAAAGTGGGCAAAGGAAATGAACAGACACTTCTCAAAAGAAGACATTTATGCAGCCAAAAAACACAAGAAAAAATGCTCACCATCACTGGCCATCAGAGAAATGCAAATCAAAACCACAATGAGATACCATCTCACACCAGTTAGAATGGCAATTATTGTATATTTTCAAGTAGCTAGAAGAATGGATTCTGAATGTTACCAATACAATGAAATGATAAATGTTTGAGGTGATAGATGTGCTAATTATTCTGATTTGATCATTACACACTGCACACATGTATTGAACTATCACACTGTACCCCATAAATATGTATAATTATGTGTCAATTAAAAATAATAATAAAAGCAAAAAAAAAAAAAAAAAGAAGTTGAAAAGATTAAGGTCTCAGATGTCTTCCAAAACGCACTTGTACCGATAGATTAAGATCTACATCAGAAAGGGCTGATGTGGTAGGGAGCTAAAAAGCCAGAGGCTTACTGGGTCAAACCCACATGATTTCATAAGGCTGAAAATGTCACTTATTAGTACAATCAACGTGTGAGCATCTTTATTAAGTAAACAGAGCACTATAACTTATTAGTACAATCAACATGTGAGCATCTTTATTAAGTAAACAGAGCACTATAACATGTGAGACAGTATGGAATATGACGTGATGGGCTGGAAAATACTTGTTTGGCAACATTGATAAGCAACCCTTACGTGATCACCAGAAACTTACTGTTGGACAGGACTGAGCCCGGTTCCAGATCAAATCAAACTTTTCTGCCTGTAGGTTGGAAAAGAATAAAGTTAACCTACACATAGTAAAACACAAAAGGCCACTATCACATGTAATTCACCAAGACTGAATTCTAGAATTATAATACAACTAAAACAGTCATTTAAGTTTCATCATTTTCAAATCACTCTTATGACAGAAAGACAGGAAAAACCAGATGTCTGTTTTGCTGTTTATTGTCAGAATTATGTGTAAAGACTAGGTGCACCAATGCTCCAGGGAACTTTAACAATTGTCAGAGACATCAAGTCACCAAGTCAGTTTGAGGGAGAGGTAAGAAGGCCTGTTTAAACAATGAGTCAGTATCAGAGATCTAAAACATCACAAAAAGCGCAGACTCTTCTTCTGGCTGTTGAATTCATGTAGGATAAGGGTATATATATATGAGAGATTAAAAAAAAAGATAGCGATACCATCATAACCACCAAAAGGCCTGGCTTTATCCTTCCATCTATATGTTTTCCTCCTTAATCTTACACTTACTCATGTAATCTCAATATATATTTGTGTGCTTGATAGAAACTTAACCTAAGCTCCCACCCCTCCTTCAGGGAAAAACAAAGAACTAGCTGATAATCCAGTACTTCAGATGCTTTATTATAGTGAAGGCCAGCAAAACATTAAACCAGAGAAGCCAGCAGCATCCCTTCTCTGTCACAGACCTTAATGGTCAAGCAGTAGATGGTGACCATCTCTAAGAATAATTTCAAGAAGGGAAAGACCAAGAAAATGCCACTTGCTAAGGGGAATATTCACCAGAGATAGACTAGGAAGAGGCTCCAAGTCAGCTCAGGTATAGGTCACTTACAGGCAAGAAGGGAAAAAAGCTGTGCTAGAGGCCCTGTCTTAAATTCCAACAGCTTGGTTGGAAAACATCAGTAAGAAAAAAAAGACATCTGGAAATTACTCAGCAACATGAACTTATACCACGCTCCCTTGTCAGAGACTTGACTCAGAGACATTTCTAAAGTAGAAAGGAGGAAAACAAGAGCCATAAATATACCATATGGAGCTTCCAATCTCTGGTGCTCAGGGCATAATAAAAACTCTCAGGGCTGTAAAATGCAGCTTCTCAAGAGGCAATAAACATAGGAAAAGTAAAGGCAACTGCCTGCTAAGGTTAGAGAACTGACTTTCATGTTGTAACACTTTCACTTTGCCCTCCAAACTACTTACAGGAATAACTGCGTAGACTGTATCTTTTGCTGCAAAATATTGCTGCCAAATCTGTACAAAAAAGAGAGGGGTGTCTGTGACATGTGGGTAATCTTTTCAACATGTGCCAAGAAATGGTGACAGTTTTCATTGCTCAGAGGAATATGCTATTTGATAACAGAGAGGAAAAACCCAGTATAACGCTTTCATTACTAGCACATCACAAAAAAGATTTAATACAATCCACTCTTCTAGATGATTAAACTGTAACTCTTAATAACAAATTCCTGACAGAGAAACTGATTCTCTGACTTTAAAAGTCATTCCTCTTAATATGTGCCTTGTGTGTGATAGACAACTTCTTTTTTTTCACATTTTTATTTCCTCCCCAAACCCACACCTCCCCAGCCAACTGAGCCTTCCCAGAGAGTCAGGACTAGAGCTCAGGGTTCACAGTCAGGCAGACCTGGATGCGAATCTCAGCTCCAGTCATTTACTAGCTATACTACCTTGGGCAAATTACTGAAAACTCCCTAAAAAACATCAATAAAATAGCAATAATAACCTCACAGAATTGTCATGACTAGCTGAAATAATGTAGGTCTGTGCTTAGCTCAGCACTTGTCACAGAATAAACACTACAAATAATGTTAGCTTTTGTTAGATATTGTATTAGTCCATTCTCACACTGCTAATAAAGATATACCTGAGACTGGGCAATTTATTTATTTATTTATTATTATTATTATTATTATTATTATTATTGTACTTTAAGTTCTAGGGTACATGTGTACAACATGCAGGTTACATAGGTATACGTGTGCCATGTTGGTTTGCTGCACCCATCAACTTGTCATTTACTTTAAGTATTTCTCCTAATGATATCCCTCCCCCAGCCCTCCACCCCCTGACAGGCCCCAGTGTGTGGTGTTCCCCACTCTGTGTCCATGTGTTCTCATTGTTCAACTCTCACTTATGAGTGAGAACATGCGGTGTTTGGTTTTCTGTCCTTGTGATAGTTTGCTGAGAATGATGGTTTCCAGCTTCATCCATGTCCCTGCAAAGGACATGAACTCATGCTTTTTTATGGCTGCATAGTATTCCATGGTGTAAATGTGCCATATTTTCTTAATCCAGAGACTGGGTAATTTATAATGGAAAGAGGTTTAAGTGACTCACAGTTCCACAGGGCTGGGAAGGCGTTAAGAATCTTACAATCATGGTGGAAGGGGAAGCAAACACATCCTTCTTCACATGGTGACAGGAAGAAGAATGAGCAAAAGGGGGAAAAGCCCCCTATAAAACCATCAGATCTCGTGAGAACTCATTATCATGGGAACAGCATGGAGGTAACTGCCCCTATGATTCAATTACCTCCCATTGTGTCCCTCCCATGATGTGTGGGGATTATGGGAACTACAATTCAAGATGAGATTTGGGTGGGGACACAGCAAAACCATATTAGATATTATTGGCATGTTATAGGCAGCTCTTAAAATCCTGCTTCCAGAAAGTCTTCTACATGTGGAAGAGATAAGGTCTGTTGGATCTGACTATGGTATATACCAATCAGAAGTCCTACCTCTGCTTGACACTAACGAACAAGGAAGCTACAGTTGACCTTCATGATGCAAATACCAAAAGGTGGGGAATAAAAAAATTATATAATAAAATTTGAAAATTAGAAAACAGGGAAAAGGAAAAAATGCCCATAGTCCTACCACCCTAACAAAGACCACTGTTACTTTATTTCTTTCTAGCATGTCTTTTATAGTATACATAGATGTAGCATATATGCAATATTGTGTCTTTTCATTATTTACCATTAATATCATATGGATGCTCTGTGTTCTTATTTTTTACTACCTTTTTTTTGCCTTCCCATGCCTTTTTACATGTTATTGGCTCTGACTAGAAAGCCTCTCTCTCCTACCTCTGACCTCCCAAATTCTTCCTGTACTCTGAAGCTGAGCCTATATGCTTCTTCTTCCATGCAGTTTCCCTTGATATTACAGTCAGAAGTTTTCCTATGAGCTGCTTTTCTATTTTATTTATTTCCTCCCCCTTGCTTTCATATTTTATATCTCTCTTAAGATGCCTAGGATATGCTACTTCATAATAAGATCATTTGCATATGGATCTATTTCCCTCACTAGTTTGCAAGCCCCCTGTAGGCAGGTATCTGCTGTGTTGTCACCAATGCCTTGCAACCCAAAAAGTACTCAGAAATGCTGGTTGAATGATAGATGATTGTGAAATAATAAGAAACATGTAATCTAAAAGAGGCACTTAACCCAGGGTAGGGAAGAGTGCCAGAGGAAGGGACACTTGGAACTGTATCCTGAAGAATGATTAGGAGTTAGAGTAGGGAAATAAGGAGGCTGGGAAGATAACAGGTAGGGCAGGAGAAGGAGATAAGAGACACATTTGAAGCAGAGAATGACAACACTAACAAAGGCATAGAAGTAGAGGAGGGTATCATAACCAAGGTGACACCAGAGTGAGCTAGTGTTGAAGAATGGGTCAACTTCCTTTAGAGTTGGTCTGTTTTGTCAACATTTCTGTTAAAATATGGGGCCCCAATTGAAGATACTAATCAAAGTGTGATCCATCTAATCAACACAGAGCACAAAAGGACTATTAACTCCTAGGACCTATGGAAACTACTCTCAATGTGGCATAAGGTTGCTTTACCTTTTCTTTTTTTGCATGTCAAAACATTGTCTTCTCATTTTAAGGACAGCATATTCTGATTATTTTTATTTAATTTATGATATTAGCAGACAGTTTATGAATCAAAACTGAAATTCATGAGACTGATATATGTTTCCTTATATAGTTGAATTTAGCTACTCATTTCAACAAACACAAATTTATACCTAAAACTATAGGTCTCAATGATACTTGTCATATGATCAGGCCTCCTGGGCCTGGCTTCTTTTTCCCCTAAATGACATGTTTTGTGTCCATGTTCCTTTGGTACTTCTTCCCAAAGGCACAGCCAGAGTTCTCCCTGACACTTTGCATATGCCTCTATTAATAGAAAGAACCCTGTGCTGATCTGATCCGTTTTGCGGAGGCTAAAACTCCTTGGGGATGAGGATTCTCTCATTTATCTCTGTATCTGGCACAGAGTCTGACATTTAATTGGTATGCATTAAATGTGTGCTAAAATAAATGATACAGCATACAAAGGAAACCCATGGCAACTGGCACAACTTCCAGTTGTGGGAATATGATGCAGAGTCAAATAGACATGGGTTTGAGTCCCAGCTCTACCACTGACTAAGTTACATAATCTCTTTAAGTCACAGTTTCCTCAACTGTAAACTGGGAATAATGGCACCCACTTCACGGGGTGGTTAAGAGAATTTAATGAAATAATGCATATGAAGCATTAGGCATTGTACCTGATACAGAGTATGCTGCTTTTATTATTATTTTGATCCTCTCAATCTACCTAATGTATAATTCATGGAACTATAAAGAATGCCAGAAAAATAGCTTATTAGAGAGAAAAGAATCACAGGTATAAAAATATAAATGACCAAACAGGCAGGATAGCTCATGAGTGCTTTGAAGGAAAGTGTTCAGGAAGCTTCCTGAAGAAGGTCCTGTGATAATGGAGAGCTATGAATGCCCAGAAAAGGAATACAGGAAGTCACTGAACATTTGTGACCAGGTTCCTAATACATTTTTTTCCCATTTTTTAAAAAACATAAATATAGCACTTACTCTATGCCAGGGACTGTTCTAAGTGATAATAAATGTTAACTCATTTAATTATCCAAATAACTCTATGAGGTAAGTGCTATTATTTGCTCCACTTTAAATAGGGAAACTAAAGCCCAGACAAGTTGATTAACTTGTCCAAGTCCTATAGATAGTGGCAGAGCTAGGACTTAAAACCGGCAGCTTGGTTCTAGAGTCTGTGTTTTTAAACCAATACACTATACTTCTCCATAATGAAAGGAGAAGTTTCAGAGGACTCAGTTGATGAGAATATTATGGGTGGAGTGGAAAAAAAAGGAGAAGGGAAACCTATTTGGAAAGGTAGTGCAGTAATCCAGGTACAGAGTACTGATGAGGGTTACACGAGATGTGGATTATGGGAATGAAAAAGAAACTAGACATACAAGTTGATTAGACATATAAGAGTGACAAAGAAGACAAGTTTTCTTATGACATTGTTCTTCAAGTAATTCATCACTTTTGCCTTTTATTATTACCTTTCATTGTGGCTAGAAAGAGGTGTCAGAAAATGTACTTTCAGATTTGGTTCACAGAATTCACATTTTCATAGAGTAGGCCAGCCCATTTCCATTCATTACCTGTTTTATTTCTTCTGCAGTTTTTTCTTTTACCATCTCAATGTTAAAGATTGAACTGAGAGTCTTGAAAGAGACAATAAAAAGCAATTAACACATAATTAAAAAAAAAAAAAAACAGCTTAACTCTATCTCTAAGCCTGTGGCAAACATGTCAGGACAATGAAACAGATTTCCAAAAGTAGAAAACAAGTATAAGAAAACCCACATGCTCAGAGAAAGTGAGCCCCCAAGCCTAGACAGGTTTTCATAGTTCTGTTCCTGAGGAGTCTCTCTTAGGTTGCCATGTACTTCCCAAAGGCTTCACCCTTACCAATGAGTCCTGCGGCACTTTGCAGCTGGTAAGAGGAGAAAGTTTGGTTGTTATTTTTAATTAAACTGCTATGCTAGGGGTCATGGTCAAGGACACAAAGTTCATAGAAATATTTCTCACTTCTACAGCTGGAAAATCACCTTACACAAAATCACTGAGCCACAGTACTTATGTTCAAATTTGCAGCCTCTTGTTCTAGATGTCCCATATGACTTCAAGCTTTTTTTCCTATATTTAATTAGAAACCTACCTTGTCCTTAGTGAATCCTCTGTTCACAGACTGTTTCCCCAAGGCATCTGTCTGAAATATATAAGACAAGATATTAATCTACACTTTACTCATAAGAAAAAAGGTAACTAAGCTAGGTGAAGTACCCAATCTCATTAAATAATTTTGCATGTGAGAACTCACTTCTCTCCACTTTTTATAATAATTGTTCTAAAATTTTAACACTATTTTAAAAATTATTGTTGGCTGGGCGCAGTGGCTCACACCTGTAATCCCAGCACTTTGGGAAGCCGAGGCGAGAGAATCATAAGGTCAGGAGTTCGAGACCAGCCTGGCCAACATGGTGAAACCCCGTCTCTACTAAAAATACAAAAAATTAGCTGGGCATAGTGGCGGGTGCCTGTGATCCCAGATACTTGGGAGGCTGAGGCAGGAGAACCGCTTGAACCCAGGAGGCGGAGGATGCAGTGAGCCGAGATCACGCCACTGCACTCTAGCCCGGGCAACAGAGTGAGACTCTGTCTCATAAAATAAAATAAATAAATAAAAAGAAATAAAAATAAAAATTATTGTTTATAAGAAAACAACTTTCTTCTAAGATTCTGAGATTCAGAGATAAGATTTCTCTCTCAGTAAACTATCATCTACTAGTACTGAGAGTCCATTCTCCACCTGCCACTGTGGATATGAGGGATTTCTTCCCAGAATTAGGCCTGCTTGGGATTACTGTGCTCTGTCCTGACCTATTCCACACTGAGCCATGGGAGAGGTAAGAAATGGAAAGATGTGTTATCCAAGGATACTGCTTATCTCTGACAACACTTTGATGGTAGGCATCCTCAGCAGACTAGAGTCATTTTGAGTGTTCAATCTTAATGTTTCCTCTATCAAATTAGACACCCTTAAAAAAAGGCCACCAACAACTGAAAGTGATTATTTTGTCTCGTAGCCATTATCTCTCATAAAGGTCATAGCTAGTAAATCCTGTTTTGAGTAGTTTCTGGTAGTAGGGATGGGTTGTTCTGAGTCTTCCACTCAAGGCTGTGCTTCTCAGAAGTACATTCGACACCTGGGATTCTGAGGCTGAAAAACACTTTCTGCATAAAACCTTGCCTTTAGTCACTTTGTGCTTTAATTAATCCACACTTTTCATAAATGATGGTCATAGAACCTGTACCCACAAATTAGAGAAAAGCCTGTTGAACACCCTTTAGTCTTTTTGGTCACGCACCTATACACTGACAACATCCCAGTGTAGCCGTTCCTTCATATGTAAACCATCTAAAAAGGAGTTAATTTCATTTTCTTTCTTTCTTTTTTTTTTTTTTTGAGACAGGGTCTAGCTCTGTTGCCTAGGCTGGAGTGCAGTGGCACAATGTCGGCTCACTGCAACCTCTGCCTCCCAGGTTCAAGTGATTCTCCCACCTCAGTCTCCCGAGTAGCTGGGTCTACAGGCTTGTGCCACCATGCCTGGCTAATTTTTTGTATTTTTAGTAGAGATGGGGTTTCACCATGTTGGCCAGGCTGGTCTTGACTTCTGGCCTCAAGTGATCTGCCCGCTTCGGCCTCCCAAAGTGTTGGGATTACAGGCATGAGCCACTGTGCCTGATGAGAATTTCATTTTCATACCACTCATTCTCAGGTGTACCATGAAAACGAAACAAAAACAAAACAAAACCTCCACTTGCACAGCTGCTTTCACCTTTCAGTCATGAAGCCTCATGTATCGGTTTTTACACAATGTCTCTCCAATCTATTATTTGTATCCATTTTCACTTATAGAAATAAAAAATTTAAGCCCTAAGTATAAGCGTATTGCATTTTATCAAATCTAAGACATCATATCTTAAGATGCACCATTATTTTATGCATCAGAAAATGATGCCAATTAAATAGCACAATATTTTCCTGTCATATCAATTATAAGACAATTTTAGTGATGTTAAAATGAGAAAAATAAGAGTGAGCTTTAGATTTGATGAAATAAGGTAATTAAAGCAGTTGAAACTACATGTCAAAAATCAGAAGCATTTAATAAGAACTTTAAATGGGTATTTTACTTCCCTACTATGGATGCTTTGGAAATCTGTGCAGATAATTTTATGGTTATCATAATAGTTTATTGGATATTGATATCTACATTATGGGAGGGGTGTCAAATGGGTGAGTTCTACATAATAAAAAAAATTTCCCTCATCCTGTACAACTTTTCAATGTCTAGCTAGACATTCTTGCAGCTGAAAATACCTATAATATTTCAATATTTATAATTACTTGGGCCTAGAACCTTTTTTTTTTAAACACTGCTTTAATACTAAAATTTCCAGAAATGCAACTACTATATAACTTGAAAGATTCCACATTGTGGAATCATAGGTCACTGATAACAACACTGCTCATGGTTTTGGAGGTTTTTTTTTTTTTGGAGACAGAGTCTCACTCTGTCGCCCACGCTGGAGTGCAGTGGCACAATCTCCGCTCACTGCAACCTCCGCCTCCCGGGTTCAAGCAATTCTCCTGCCTCAGCCTCCTGAGTAGCTGGGATTACAGGCATGCGCCACCATGCCTGGCTAATTTTTCTTTTGCATTTTAGTAGAGACGGGGTTTCACCGTGTTGCCCAGGCTGGTCTCGAACTCCTGACCTCAAGTGATCTGCCACCTTGGCCTCCCAAAGTACTAGGATTACATGTGTGAGCCACTGCACCCGGTGGTTTTAGAGTTTTTATAATTATCAACATAACACCCATTTGCCAGTCAGTATTTGCTGCTTACATGTTCAAGGTTATTTCAGAAATGGGTGGAAGCACCTCATGACTACATTAGGTCTCACAGTGTAGTCGTGCCCTAATATTTACATGCTAAAATATGTATTTTGTTAAAAAATACTTTTCTTTATATTATGGTTAGGGCATTATATTGATTTTCCCACCTGAGGTTATACATACAGGTAGGTTATATTTTTACATACCTATTGTTTTATTTCAGGGTAGAAAAGGGAGAATTTTTAAAAAATGTATTATAAAAGGGGGATGTTGAGTCCCATGTGGTGGGGAACCAATAACTCAAAGTAGTAAAGACAAGACTGTGGGAATGGAAAATATGTGTTAGCCGTTAGCCTTCCTCTATCTAGCTAGATACAGAAGATAGCAAGTGAATATTTACCTAAGAGCTGCCACAATTTAAATTAAATCTTTACATATTCTACATTTTATCATAAAGCTAAATTTCTTTCTTTTTTTTTTTTTTTAAGATGGAGTCTCACTCTGTCGTCCAGGCTGGAGTGCAGTGGTGTGATCTCCGCTCACTGCAGGCTCCGCCTCCTGGCTCCACGCCATTCTCCTGCCTCAGCCTCCCGAGTAGCTGGGACTACAGGCGCCTGCCACAACGCCCGGCTAATTTTTTGTATTTTTAGTAGAGAAGGGGTTTCACCGTGTTAGCCAGGATGGTCTCAATCTCCTGACCTCGTGATCTGCCCGCCTTGGCCTCCCAAAGTGCTGGCATTACAGGCGTGAGCCACCACGCCCGGCCTCATAAAGCCAAATTTCTAAGTCTGTTTACCAAAAAGGGGCAAAGAACATTCCTATCTAATATTTAAAGTTTATAATATAGTAATATTTCCAAGAGCTATTGACTTGTAACCTTACTACTATAAGTGTTTATTATAGGAAATGACAATTGTTAAAATATTTGTAGTAAAGAATTGTTTGCTCACATAAAGTTGTAAACTCTATTTGTCATAGGAGTTGAATTTGCTCCCCAACCTTATTATAATTAACCCATCTGTTATTTTTTTTTTTTTTGCCCAGGCTGGAATGCAGTGCCATGACCTCAGCTCACTGTAACCTCCGCCTCCCAGGTTCAAGCGATTCTCCTGCCTCAGCCTCCCAAGTAGCTGGGATTACAGGCGCCTGCTACCACACCCAGCTAAGTTTTGTATTTTTAGTAGATACAGGGTTTCACCCTGTTGGCCAGGCTGGTCTCAAACTCCTGACCTTAAGTGATCTGCCCACCTCAACCTCCCAAAGTGCTGGGATTATAGGCGTGAGCCACTGCGCCTGGCAACCCATTTACTATTAATCCTGTTCTAATTAACTCAATTAGTCATTTTATTTTATTTTTTTCTATTTTTATTATACTTTAAGTTTTAGGGTACATGTACACAACGTGCAGGTTTGTTACATATCTATACATGTACCATGTTGGTGTGCTGCACCCATTAACTCGTCATTTAACATTAGGTATATCTCCTAATGCTATCCCTCCCCACTCCCCCGACCCCACAACAGGCCCCAGTGTGTGATGTTCCCCTTCCTGTGTCCATGTGTTCTCATTGTTCGATTCCCACCCATGAGTGAGAACATGCAGTGTTTGGTTTTTTGTCCTTGCGATAGTTTGCTGAGAACGATGGTTTCCAGCTTCATCCATGTCCCTACAAAGGACATGAACTCATCATTTTTTATGGCTGCATAGTATTCCATGGTGTATATGTGCCACATTTTCTTGATTCAGTCTATCATTGTTGGACATTTGGGTTGGTTCCAAGTCTTTGCTATTGTGAATAGTGCCGCAATAAACATACATGTGCATGTGTCTTTATAGCAGCATGATTTGTAATCCTTTGGGTATATACCCAGTAATGGGATGGCTGGGTCAAATGGTATTTCTAGTTCTAGATCCCTAAGGAATCGCCACACTGACTTCCACAATGTTTGAACTAGTTTACAGTCCCACCAACAGTGTAAAAGTGTTCCTATTTCTCCACATCCTCTCCAGCACCTGTTGTTTCCTGACTTTTTAATGATTGCCATTCTAACTGGTGTGAGATGGTATCTCATTGTGGTTTTGATTTGCATTTCTCCAATGGCCAGTGATGATGAGCATTTTTTCATGTGTCTTTTGGCTGCATAAATGTCTTCTTTTGAGAAGTGTCTGTTCGTATCCTTTGTCCACTTTTTGATGGGGTTTTTTTTTTCTTGTAAATTTGTTTGAGTTCACTGTAGATTCTGGATATTAGCCCTTTGTCAGATGAGTAGTAGTCATTAAGACTCAGCAGATTCACTTAAAATTCAGGATACCCAAGGCAAAAAAAGTATTTTCCAAGTAAAATAAACACCTCTAATTTGACTTTAAAACACAATGTAGAATCCCAATTTTCTACTGTAACTACCTTAATTCAGGCTTCTGCAGCCCACACCTGGATTACTCCATATTCTCCCTGGCGCTGGCCTCTCCTACACCAGTTTGTTCTGTGCACCATCCTAGGTTAGAATTTTTCAAATAATAGGTTGTGAAATACATTTAGTGGATTGTGATCAGAGTTTTTTAAAAGATGAAAGAGAATAAAAAGTAATAAGAATGGACTGCATGTTGTAAAAGTTAGCATTATTTTATACATTTTTTTTTCAGTTACAATCATATACCTACATGTGTACTGAATTGCAATGTAAAATATATTTCTTATTGTGGTCATGGTCAAAAAGTTTGAAAAACACTGCATTAGAATAATCTTCCCAGACACAGTTTTCAACATGCTTTTCCTCAGCTTTGATTCCTATTTAAGGATAATAATGGCTAATATATATTAAGTACTTATGCCAGAGACGGCGCTAAAGAGTTTTAAATGGTATTATCTCTTCAGCACAACTCTGTGAAGTAGGTACTGTTATTATTCCTGTTTTACAGATAAGCAAACTGAGGCATGGAGAAGTAACAATTTGCTCAGAGTCACCCAGCTAGTAAGTGGAAGGGTTAGGATTCAGTCCTTGGCATCTGGCCCCAGAGCCCATCCTCTTAGCAGCTAAATTATCCTGCCTGTACTCCTTAAGCCCAAAGAGTTTAATGCCTAACTTATTTCTTTAGCCTTAACACTTCCCTCTCCATTTTAACTGGGCATAGTACCTTGCTGTCTCCTGAAACCCCTTTTACTTTCAAAGCTCTTCCTCTGTTTAAGCTAATTCCTCAACATGGGAATGGATGGGGGTGGGTTGGCAGGGTTGGCTGGTTGTCAGGAAACTAAATCTAGTCTGCCAAATATTTTTGTAGATTAAGTTTTACTGGGACAGAACCATACCTATTCATTTACGTACGGTCTAGGCCTGCTTTTGCACTATGATGGCAGAGCTGAGTAGTCACAAAGAAGACCATACGGCCCACAATGCCTAAAATATTTAACATCTAGTTCTTTACAGAAAAAATTTGATGACCCCTGCTCTACATCAAAGTCCCATTCCTTCCTCTCTACTTAATTTAAATCCCCCACAACGTTCCTAGCCTAGGTCAGGTTCCATCTCCCATGGGAAATTTTCTCTGATACCTCTAGCCTACTACCATGTGTGCCTTGCCTTGACCACCAGACTGCTCCTCTTGGGAGCAGGAAGTACCCCTCTCATACTTCTATATCTCCACCATGACCACAGTACTTTGCCTAGAAAGAGCAGGATAAACATTTATGGATGGAAATGGAGTTGGGAGAGACTATGTTCAGTTCACCCAGCTGACCCATCAATAAACCAACTTTAAGGATAAGGGTGAGGGTAAGGAGGGTGAAGGAGTGCTGGTAAGCAAACACCACAAATGGGGGAAGGTCTTACCTTCTGTTCCACACATTTGATAAAATCACCTTGCCTGGAATGCCCCACTGGCTGCTTCCGAAATTCACTGCGTTTCTCCAGGCGGGACTCAAAAGCAGCTGGGTCTGACCTGATCAGAGGTAAACCAAAGGGTAAACCAACTGGGCCTTTTTGAATTCTAAAATAACAAAGCATCACTTTCCACCTCTACAGAGAAAGGACACTGCCATTCAGAGAGGTTGAAAAATTTGCCTTCAGTTAGTAAGAACTGGGCACAGGCCTAGAAATAAAGAAACTGGAAAAAGAAATCCTGTTATTCAACTGTTGTTAATCCTCAAGGGGCCTGTGTAACATTTTTCTTTTGCAGGCTGTTCCCTAGGTTTACACAGGGCTTAGTCTCTCAGGTACTTACATTCAGGGTACTTAGAATTTTGAGGTCATCTTGCTGGATCACCTCTTCAGACAAGAATCCTATAGCCTCCTTACTAGGTGTCAAGCTTTTACTTGAATACATCCAGTTCTTGAAAATATGTCCCCCCAACCAGGTTAAACATCTGCTTTATTCAGATCCTGGTGATTCAGAGGCTTTAGGTAGCCTATTTTGCAGAAGATTTAGCATCTGAGTATCTCCCTAACCTACCCTCCAAAGAAGCTGCTCTTGGAGATGAAACAACAGAACACATTGTTTATGTCAAAATGGGGTTGGTCTTCAGGTTTGAAGTCCAGGCTGGGGTGCTGTCCCTATTAAGAATTCTTCAGACTGTGTAGCTAACCATGGGATATTTGGTTTTGTACACTTTGGTGAAGATATCATCCAGGGATTCCAGCTCTTTGGCCATGAGACCCAGAGTTTCATGGGTGAGGTCTGGAGGACCCAGGGACATCTTGGCTATCCCTCTGGTGGACTTTCCTGGTCAATGCATTATAGGGGGCCCCTTCTTCCATAAAATTCCTTTCTGGAGGTGACATAAAACACCACTCCCTTCACTGTCATGTAGATGGGATGTTTTTCTTCTCTCTGTAGTGGGCCGGCTCCTCCTCAATAAAGAGCCTCACCAGGGGTTTCTGCTTAGTCGGGCATGGCACCTGCCTGGCCAGAGCTGCAAGCAGCCCTGGGGGCTGTACCAGGACCAGGGTCAACCCTGCTAGTGGCTACAGCTGCAACTGGGCCTGCCATAGTGAAGGGGTAGAGAGGGCAAGGGACAGCCTGGGCAGTGAAGCTGTTGCTGGGATCTGAGGATATAGAAATAAATAAGTCAGACTCCCTACCTCAAGGAGCTCACTATCCAGTGGGAGAGACAGGCATAAAAGTAAACAAATGAAAGTACAACAGGTATTATGATGAAAATTTGCTCAAACATCCCCAAATGGTTAAGGTGGTTTCATGCCTCTGTACCTTTGTTTATGTTGCTGCTCCCCTTACCTGGAACATCCCCTCCTCTCCATTCTTTTTCAAAGGAAGTTTGCTAACAGATAAAACTAGAGAGAGACTGGCAGGGACTAGGGTATGAGGAACTTGTGTGAAACATTAAGGAGTTTGGATGTTATTTAGAGGTCAGTGGGGGGATAACAGTATGTGTAAATGTTGATGGGAATGATCCAGTGGGGAAGGACGGTAAAACCAGTTATTTATTTGTTCATGAGTGGGTAAGAATAAATGGATGCTGATAAAGTATTCAAAGTACAAGTAGACAACTCTTCAGAGATGCTTGTGTGTAAAACAGATCAAATACAGATCAACGAGAGAAGCCTGGAGGGGAATGTACATCAAAGAAAGGCTTTTAAGATGACAAATACTTGAGACTATCTCAATGCTGCTGGAAGGAGAGCAAAAATACTCATTCATTTACTGCATAACTGTTTCAAATGGCAAGAAAGATCACTACAGTAGCAGTGAGAGGAACTGGGGTAAAGTAGTCCAGGAATGGAAGTAGGGAACTCTAGTTAGAGGATAATGGCAACAGCCCAGGTGACGATGATGGAGTAGATTAAGGCAGTGGAAGTAGAGATGAGACAGAACTCAAATTTACAGTACTAAGTCTTTGGTTTCCTTTCATAAGACAACTACCTTCTTACCCTGCTAAATTCTCTCCCAAGCCCCTTTAATTTTCACCTCTGATCTCCTTTAGCTCTTCCCACTTGAACTCTTCAGATGCTCCTATAGCCCCTCATATGCACCTTAAGCCCCTCTAAGCTCCAGATCCTTCCCTCTGGAAGCTAAGAGGTGGTGTTAGGGACCCTGGACTCAGAGTCAGACAAATCCCAAACAGCTGTGTGACCTTTGGCAAGTCTCTTACTCTCGCTGATCCTCAGTCTCCTTAAGAGGGTTCAATGGGTGATCCGACTGTGACACTATTAGTCTTTGATGCCCTCCTCCCATCCCCAGTCGCCTTTCCTTGCAGTCAAGGCCCTAAGCTACCACCAGCCTGGGAACTCCAGCTCTGAGCCAGGCCTCAGCTATCTTAATATGTGACCTTGAGCAAGTCAAGTCCCTTCTCTAGAAGGCGTTTTCCCATTTCTATAATGAGGACAGGTGTCTCTGAGCTGCCTGCCTCAGGGCTGTCATAAGAGTCCACCTTAGCGTTTGGAGAACCAAAGCAGACAAACGTGGAACGAGCCAGGGCTTTGCAGAGACTCCCAGCTCTGACACCAATTAGCTGTGTGATCTTGGGCAAGTGACCTAGCCTCGCGGAGCCTGGCTACATCATCTGAAGAGCTGGGACAGTACTAGTGCCCACCTCACAGGGCTGTCCTAAGGCCCAGCAGCCCGGGCCGCCCCTCCTCCCGCCTCCTGCCCGCCTCCAGCCAACCCAGGCCCGCACCTGCGCAGCAGCTGGATCTTGTCGCGGTAGCGGTCGTAGAAAGGGTTGGCCTGGAGCTCGGCCTCGGCCCCGACCCCGCTGCTGTCGGCGCCCCCCTCGGGCCGGCCCGAGCCGGGGCGCACTGGGAAGACGCGCAGCTGCGCGGGTGACACGAGCCCCAGGCCCAGGGCGCGGCTGCGCACCGCGCACAGGCCCCGGTAGAGACCGGCCACCTGCAGGACCGCCGGTCCCGCGCCACCCGCAGCCGCCACCACCACAGCAGCCATGGCCGCCCCCGCCTCCTCCTCCTCCTCAGGCGCGTCGGCCTCGGCCCGCGGCCCGCGCGCCCGCTCCATCCCGCTCCGAGTGCGCCGCGCCCGCGCTCCGGCACCGAGGTTCCGCGCGCCCAAGGTTCCGGGCGCGGGATAGCGGCGAGGCGGGGCGGGGAGGAGGGGGCGCGCCGCTCTGGCCCCGGCACTGCGCGCTCTCGCCGCCCTGTGTATGCCACGGCCCGCCTCCTCCAGGGAGGCTGCCCAAATTCAACGCCCTTCCTCCCTCTGGGACCAGCAGCCTCTGCGCGCCAAGTCCGTTCTCTAAAGCCAGCGGATCTCCATGTCCTCGCGGTGCTTGCCCCTGGCACTCGCTGTAGTGCCAGGCACTCGATGTAGTAGTCCGTCCTTCAGCATCGAAGGTCTTTTCATCAACTATAATCACAGCAGCAAGCTTCTCTTTACTGAGGTTGCTATGTGCAGGACACTGAGCGGCTTCATACTCTGTGTGGCAGTATTATCCTCATCTAACAAATAAGGAAACTGAGGCCGAGAGTAATTATGTGACTTGTTCAAGTTCTACCCGACAGCTGAGCTCTTTTCAAGATGGCAGCTGCCTCCCAAGCCTCCTTTTCCTCTGCTTCCTGACATCCTCCTTGAACTCCAGCCACAGTGACCTATTCTCTCCCAAAGAAACACCAGGATTACTCCTTGAAGAGTCCTTATTCAGGCCCTTTTTGACCCCTGGAATCCTCTCTCCTTCCATTCTCTCAACCCAAATGCCACAATCTTCCTTACCGTCTGAACCAGGTGTGAGCTCCTAGGGTCAGGGACAGTGACATTAACATCTCTGTGTCCCACCTGCTCACAGAACAGGGCCAGTCCTGGAGTGGGCTCTCTGGGACAGTACTCATCATCAGGTCCTTCTTGTCTGGGTTTTGTCTGATTGAAGCCCCTCCTGGGACAGGGGCAGAGCCTTCAACTCTGCTCAATCCAACCTATGCTCATGGAGATCAGCCCTGAGCCCTGCCCTGTGCGAGGAACAGTGTAATGGAAGATGAATAAGTCCTTCAAGTATGCCAGCCCATACCTGGCTCACACTCCTAACACTTGCTGTTTTCTCTGTGGATCTGCATGTGGCTGCCTCCTCATCATCTAAGGGCTCAGTTCACATGTAAGCACCTCCAAGGGACCTAAATGACAACCCCTCCATCTCTTTATAGTCTTTATCCCATCACTCTATTGCATTCTCTTTATAGCAGTTATCATTATCTGAAGTTCTTAGATCCTTGTTTATATTAATTCATTGAGCTTACATTCTAGTGGAGTGAAACAGACAGTAAATATATAATGTTAGGTGATGCTACATGGTATGCAGAAAAACAGCAGGCCAAGAGAGATAGAGATAAGGGGACACTTGAGCAGAGACCTGAAGGTAATGTGGGAATGCTGGGGGAAGAGCCTTCCAGGTAGGGGAAACAGCAAGTGCAAAGGCCCTGATGAGGAGGTTATTGAGTCTGAATGAGTGAGGGCACAGCAGCAGAAATGAGACCAAGAAGGTATAGGGAGGGCTAGTTAGATTGCTTAGGCCTTGGTTAAGGACTTTGATTTTAAATCGAATGAGATCGGAAGTTACTATATGTTTTAAGCAGTGGAGTAACATGATCTACTTTTTAAAAGGATCATGCTGGCTGCTGGTGGGATTTAGGATATGTGGAGGCAAGGATGGAAACTCTCCCAAGGGTGACTAATTTATTCCAGTTTGCCTAGGACTTTCTTGGCTCTAGCATTGAAAGCCCCATGTCCTGAGAACCCACCCCAAGTCCTGGGCAAACCAGGATGTTGGTCACCCTACAGGGAACAGTAATCCAAGTGAGAGATGGTGGTACTTGGACTAAAGTGATAGTGATAAAAAAAAGTGGCCAGATTTTGGTTATATTTTGAAATAAAAGCCTAAAGATCTTGCTGATGGAGTCAGTGTGGGTGTGATAGAATGAAAGGAGTCAAGGATGACTTGCAGGTTTTTGGCCTGAACAACCCGAAGGACAGAGATACTACTTATGAAGAGGAGGAAGGCTGTAGGTAGGGTAGACTTTGGAGGATGGATAATCAGAGTTTGGTTTTGGACATGTTGGTTTGGGATAATTTAACAGACTGGCAAGGAGGGATGTCAACCAGGTATTTGGGTATGAGTCTAAAGTTCTGAGGAGCATTCCAGGCTGGAGAGATACAGTTGCGTACTGTCAGTGTATAGTGATATTTAAAGCCAGGGGTCTGGGTGAGATAACTGATGGAATGAATGTAGATAGAGCACTAAGAACTGAGCCCTAGACATGCCTACATTTAGAGATCAGGGGAAAAGGGAGAAACCAGCAAAGGAGACTGGAAAGTAGGGGCCAGTGATATACGAGGAGAACAAGGGTAAGTGGACCCTGGAGAGAATTCTGTGCTAAATAGTTCCCTAAGTCACACATTGGAGGACTATAAAGAGGGGAGTCATTAAAATGGTGCTAAGAAGCTGAGCTACAAGCAGTGGTGCAACATACTGGGAAGGCTGACTTAAGCTTAATTAGGGAAGGGCTTTCTAACTGAGCTGCCCATAAATGCATCAAGCTGCCTCAGGAGGTGGTGAGCAAGTTCCTGACTCAAGTGAGTCTTGAGTCCAGGGAGATTAGTTGCTGTGTGGGGAAAAATCTACCCCCAGGAGTCAAGCATGGCCCTGATGGTGGGATCAGATGGTGGAGATGAACTAGACAACTCTCAAAGTTTCTTCAAATTGGCGATGATATGATTCTGGGCAGTCTGTCACAGAGTAGGGGGGCTGAGCTGAGTCTTGAAGGATGAGCAGGTGTTCAGTGGTGGAAAAGTGGGCAGGGGCACTCCTGGGTGAAGGAGCAGCATGGGCACACCTCCAGAGATGTGAATGAGCAGGGTCTGTTCAGGAGTACGGACTAGGCAAAAGGGAAAAGTGTGTGGAGGACGAGGAGGGAAGTAAGGCTGGAAGTAGATGCAGGCCAGATGGTGGGAAGCCCCACAGGGCCTGGGGCCTGGGAAACACTTGTCAGCACTTGAAGGAAGGTAATTAAATAAAAGACAGATTGTTGGAGCCAAAGAAGGAGGTATTGACCACTTGGTTCCCTTGAGCAGGTTTCTTCCTGCCAACTTGGTTAGATACTTTTTGAGAACAGGGCTGCCCAATGCTGTGTGTTCCTTGTTACATTCCTCACTGGGGACAGGTATCCCATCAACCGTTCCCTAAAGACCAGCAACATCCGTAAGTACCTGAGGGACAATGGCCCTTTTCTGGGGTCTGCTCTGTGGGTTCACCATAAGGGGTAGGTACAGACAATTCAATAGGTGAACCAGTCTCTGATGGAAGTAGTAGTGACATTCCACCCAAAAAATGCCACTGGATGAAGTCCCCTCCTTCCATTAACCCAGGACCACTTCACAAGCACTGCCCCTAGAATGCCCAATTCTCAGAACCCAGTGACCTCTCCTTTAGAGAACAAAGGGCCTGGGCATTCTGGAGACTCTGATTGGCTGGGCAGATGGGCTGACTGGCTGGGCAGATGGGTGGGTGAGTTCCCTCTCCCCAGAGCCATCGGCCAGGTACCAAAGCTCAGCTGTATGGATTCCCAACAGGAGGACCTGCGCTTCCCTGGGAGTAAGTGCTCCTCCAGTCCCTGTCACTGGACTTGTGCCTTAGGGCTTGGGGACAAACACTCAGGGAAGGCCCTTTGCATGGATGGGACAGTGCCTGGCTGCCTGGAGGAGAGCTAAGCAGTTAGGAGATAGTCTACTCTAGAAAACTAAGAATTATTTTAAGGCAAAGACCATGCTCTGATCAACCAGAGAAGATACTATCAATAGCCCAGGACTATCACAGCTGAATGGAATGGGATGGGACATTGGTGTCTCTGTCAACTGATGAACTTTCACTTTTTTTTTTTTTTTTGAGATGAAGTTTTGCTCTGTTGCCCCGGCTGGAGTGCAGTGGCTCAATCTAGGCTCACTGTAACCTCCACCTCCTGGATTCAAGTGATTCTCCTGCCTCAGCCTCTGAAGTAGCTGGGACTGCAGGCATGCACCACCACACCTGGCTAATTTTAAAATTTTTAGTAGAGACGGGGTTTCACCATGTTGGCCAGGCTGGACTTGAAGTCCTGACCTCAAGTGATCTGCCCACCTGGGCCTCACAAAGTGCTGGTGAACTTTTGCTTCTTGATGGACTTGCCCATAGTGAAACTTCTCAGTCTGATGGATTGGATGGGTCCTGGGTTAGGAATCAGAGGCTTGACTGAGCCTGGGCAGCACATGCCCCCGCTAGACCTAGCTTTTGTGATCTGTAAAGAGTTAAAGGTGGTGCTTAAGCTCCCTGGAAATCTAGCTTTGACTGAATAAGGGAATGATGAGGCAAGTCAATAAGGGAGGGAAGGAACGGTGAGAGTAGTTAAGTGGATGGAGCGATTGATGCATGGGTTAAGTGAAAGAGGAATGAGAAACAGCTCAGGCCCCAAGCTACAGCTATCAGCCAGCATGCCTCTTTTTCTTTCTTGCTGCCTTAGTGTGGGTCTCATTGTACTTTGGAATCCTGGGGCTGTGTTCTGTGATAACTGGAGGGTGCATTATCTTTCTGCACTGGAGGAAGAACTTGAGGCGGGAAGAGCATGCCCAGCAGTGGGTGGAGGTGATGAGAGCTGCCACATTCACCTACAGCCCATTGTTGTACTGGATTAACAAGCGACGGCGCTACGGCATGAATGCAGCCATCAACACGGGCCCTGCCCCTGCTGTCACCAAGACTGAGACTGAGGTCCAGAATCCAGATGTTCTGTGGGATTTGGACATCCCCGAAGGCAGGAGCCATGCTGACCAAGACAGCAACCCCAAGGCGGAAGCCCCTGCTCCCCTGCAACCTGCACTGCAGCTGGCTCCACAGCAGCCCCAGGCCAGATCCCCATTCCCACTTCCCATCTTTCAGGAGGTGCCCTTTGCCCCACCCTTGTGCAACCTACCCCCCCTGCTGAACCACTCTGTCTCCTATCCTTTGGCCACCTGTCCTGAAAGGAATGTTCTCTTCCATTCCCTCCTGAATCTGGCCCAGGAAGACCATAGCTTCAATGCCAAGCCTTTTCCTTCAGAACTGTAGCCTCCTCTCACTGAAGGTGGGAGCTGCAGGAATCAGGTGCAGAGTAGGAAATGGAACTAACCTCAGGAAGGTGGTATTGACAGAGGTCAGGACCCACCTGGATGTCATGCTATGAAACATTAAAAGAAAAAAAAAAAAGTCCAAGGCTCCCTCGTTTCTCATTTGCTGTTAGGAAGGCAATGTCCTTCCTGTCTGATGGGGTCACTTTGCAAACCAAGTTGGTTGCTGAGTCTCACCAATATGAACTGGCACTGGTGGTTGGCTGTGGGGAGACACACTGAACCAGTACTTGTGGATGGACTCAATATCCCTCTGTTCAGTATTTAAAACAAAAATGTGTGCCAGGCCCTGGCCTAGGTACCCCAAGGCACTGGTGTTCTGTGGGATGTGAAGCACAGCTGCCACCAGAGTGATAGCTGCTGAGGGTACGTGAGCTATGTTGATTTACAGTCGCTATGTCACAGGCAAAATGAGTCATCACGAGCCCTGTGAGCCACACTGCACTATGGGCTGAAATGCATTCTTTGTTATTATCTATGATGTATGCAGCTCTTACGTGGTTGCCTCTTTACATTATTTCTAATAATTCACAAGAACACTGCCAAATGGATATCATGATCCTCCTCTTATGGATGAAGAGACAGGTTCCAAGGGCATATGCCATACCTTTCTTAGTTGCAGAGCCAGTTCTCAAATCTACATCTGCCTTGCATCAAAGTTACTGGTATGAAAGTTATTGATCATCAGTTGCTTGGCATCAAAGGTACTGATCTTCCCACCATACGCCATAGTGCCCCTTCCCTAATGATATGTCGTGTTAGAAAACACTTGGTGAATGCTTCGGATTGTATGTAGGGTGTCATTAAGTTGGTCCATGAACTGGCTTGGAGGAAGGGCTGGTCAGTGAACTGCCTAAAATTATACGTAGACATATATCCATAGTTTTTACCTTTCCTACAGGAATCCATGTCCCCCTCCCAAAAGTTAAGATCCACCACATGGGAATATTAATAATTTTTGTACTTCTGGAAATGGTTCTAAAAGGTGAGACAAAGATAATACTGCCCATTTGGCTGCAGTTTTGAGGTAAGAAAGCCCAGCTCTATCACAGGATATGTGTTTCTCCCTTTCCTTTTGGAAATGAACAAATCCTCTCATTATATTTGTAAATAACAAAAGCTTTATGTATAGTCATTTACATAATGACTGAGGGGGAAGGTCACCAGATTCTGTGTTGCGGGGAGGGGGGGAGGTATCCAGAATCTAGCAAACATGTAGAGTTATTTTTTTCTGTGTGTGAAAAAGTTTTAGCTTGTGTATGACCCCTCTTTAGCAACGGATTTTAAGCTTTTTTTTTTTTTTAAGGTGGTGGGACATTTATGGCAAACACGCTTTTATATTGACTCTCAAAAAATAAAACAGGCCTAAGTGGAGCATCTCGGGTAGACACAGGGGCAGGGCTCACTCCTGCCTCACCTCACCCCTCCCATCCTCTGGATGCAAAAAGCCTGAACCCTGCAGCCTTTGCTTCTTCAGGCCAAATATTGCAGTCCTTAAGGCAGACTCTTAATTACTTTGGGCCCACCATGTGTTACTCCTTGCTTTCAAAAGGTGTAAGGCGTCCATAAATATAGAAATCAAAGCAGATTTTTTTTTTCCCTTAAAAATCGCAGGGGAGTGAGAGAGGCTTTAGTCAGACACATTGAGAGAAAAAAGAAATTTTTTTATTTAGCTAAATTAAAATGGCTGTGTTACTTATTTGAAATATGCAAAGCTCAAATCAAGTCATGGAAACCCTGAATTCTCCCTAAACAGAACCAAAATTGCTTATACATTACCAAAATAGCTTCACTAAAACAAAGTAGATTTAAATTTCTTAATATGAGAAAACAACAAGGTAGGTTAGGTTCGTATAACAAACAATACACGCTCTATAAAGTCTCAGGAATACCCAAATGTGTTCTGGTTTGGATATGAAAGAGGGACCACTTCTAGCTGGTGTTGGTAAGCAAGCCAATGAGGTGTGCAGCAAACAAAACCTGTCACTAAAAACAACTCAACAGGCCATTATGAGTATGAGCCCATCACAGCCAAAATCCTCAACTGTGACCGGCAGGACCAGCAAGGGGGGGTGTTGAAGGGGTTATGAACAGCAACCATAAAGAAAGGAATCTCCAACAGAAGGGACAATGGCCAGCAGTAGGTGAAGGGAACCCATTCTTCAGCTCTGTTGCATCATACACATTCCTGAGGGTCAGGCACCTCTGCCTTTTAGATGACACCACAGTCATCTAGAAGTCAGGTTTTCTCTTCTTTTGGTTCTTCTTTTTATATGCTACCTTTTTGCCTCTCTGATTTATGGGGAGGCTCTTTTAGTAAACATTATACAAGATAGTACAAGGCAAAAGAAAACAAGGACCAAGAAGCAGTGCTTTGAGTAACTTAGGAAAGCAGCAGTAGGAGCTGCCAGACTGAAAAGGTAAAAGGGTTTAAAACCAAAACCAAAACCAAACTCACTATCCAGTCTTCCTCTCAGAGATGAGATATGGCTGGTGAGGCTTGACTACAGCTAAATACAAGTCACAGGCTTAGTAAGTTAAGACAACATACAAATAAAAGTCCCAAATTCACACTAAATAATAGGCTTATGGGATGCTTAAGCCAGTGAGTCTGCTCAACTCAGAAGAAAGGAGTTCAAGATACCCTACTTTTGCCTGGAAGATGTACTTTCTCAGGCAGGATGACAAAAATATTCATAGATCTGAGAATGCAGTATAAACACCTCTGCCAAACTTGGTAGGGGGAGAGGATGGTACTGTATACTGGCTCAGGGGTGATACTAGTCAGACAAGCACAAGGTAGGAAGAACAGAAGATAAACCAAAAAACAAAATGGATTTCTCCATGTATAGTTATCTGATGCAAGGGAAAATACACACAACAAAGAGTTAAGGTGTCTTCAAAGTATCTGCCTATGAATAAGAATTTGAAACTAAAAAGGACAAGCTACATTACCCTCAAGTATATTTCATATAAATCAGTTCTCAAAAAAATACCTTCCAGGTACAGACATACTATTTATGGTACAGTATATACAAATATAGCAGTATAATTCAATTTATTGCTAGAATTTTATTTGGTTGTTAGAAAATCTGTAAGGGTGTATATATATTAAAAAAAGGTGTGGGGTGAGAGTGGATGGAAGGCAGTCAGAAGGGTGAGAGTTATTTTCAAGTTACCTAAAGTGCCAGGCTAATTTGTTTTAACCTTTCCAAGAAAGTGAAACTGAGCATAAGCTATAATGAGATAAGGGGACACATTCATGGGAAAAGACTTCATCTTGCTTTAACTAAATTTTAATACTTCTGGAAAAAAAATTTAAGTTTGGTTAATACCAAGCTGAACATCATGTAAAGAAAAAAAAAACAGCCCTTAAATGTTTAAGGGTACCGGACTGTATCCATGGTGAAGGGCAACCTGAACAAAGTTAAAAAGGAAATGATCTCCACTAAAGAAGTCTGTGGCATGACAGCTTTCTCTACTTTCTCCCTGACTTGGCCTATACCAAAGTTAAGTTTTTGTAGTTTTTTTTTCCCCTTTCAAGTTGTTGCCCAAAGACTGCTTCTAAGAACAACACAGCAATTCTAGACTCAACATACAGGAGACATGGAGGTATTATTCCTTTCAATCTAGGGATCTTTCATGCCAGGTCCACAGAAGCATTTAAAGGAAGTATTGTACTTGATTGTATTAGATTTGAAAAACTTGCTACCACCATGTGAAGGCCCTAGCTCCAGGCCTGCCCTGCTATACTTTGGCATCCTTTGGGTAGAAAGCCTCTAGCTACTTCTGAGCTGGTAATGGTAAGGAAACTGAATATTATTTCACATGTTTCATCTCACAGCCTTTTTGGCTTTAGTCATCCCCCAGAGAAACATATTAGGCTCTTGGTTAGCCTCTAGGTAAAATCTCAAGGGGTATGGTTTTCTGGGTCAAAATTAGAAGCACAGCTCTCTTCTAAAGCTCTGGGTGGTCAGTGTGAGATAATGGCTGGGGGAATTTAGCCCTGCCATTCAAATGGAGATGGTACTGGTGGTGGGAGCCAGCTACGGCTTTAAGACAGACTTAAGTGGGTGGGTGGGGAAGGCAATCTAGCTCACTCAGCAGGGAAAATGGAGCTCCCCAATGGATAACTTTTTATGCTCATAAACCCTGAAATAGTACTAAAAATGAGAAAAATCCCCAAGACTTCTCTGATTCCCAGGTTGGGATTAGCTGAGGGAATAGGAACAAAGAACCAGAATCCTACTTCCATGAGCCATGCCTGGAGTCAGTATTGTCTCCAGTGTCTACTCCCTGAAATCGGTTCCTCCAGCTACCAGGACAAACCCCCTGGCAGCGCCTGGGCCTTTGAGGGATACCTTATGGAGACATGGATGTAGTTTCAGCTGCCACCTACACCAGATCAGCAATTTTTAATAAGTCATTTGTTCATATCCTGTTCAAAACCATTCTTCCTACTTTCCACACAATATGCACAATGCTTTCTTTCATTTAAATATTTACAAACAGAAAAGGCCTATCTTTTAAAGAAAAGACATTTTCTGAGTCTCTATAAAGTGCAGCTAATTTAAGGCAAATTTAAGTGAAATATAAAAGTGGCTTATTCTCTCTCTATATACATTTCCCAGCTTTAAAAGATAAGGTCTCCTCCCCTCAAAAAAAGGAAAGAGAAAAAAAGAGGGCTTTAATTTTTTTTCTGGCAATTTTAAAATGTAAGATCTTACTGGTTGTAGGAAATCATAGATTTCTGAACATCATAAGTAAAATGGTCTTCTTCTTTAAAAAAATAACTTTTATATAGCTTCTTCAAACAAGTTAAAAGGTGGCAAAGTATCTGCTACAGTAGTTTGGAGGACTAGAGGACTGATGGGTAAGTAAGGGTTGTTTTGTTGTTAGGTAAATAGATATTAGGCAGTCCATTTCTAAAATATGCCTGATGAAGCTAGATACCTAAAGCTACCCTTAGCTCCAGGAATGAGTATCTTCCATCTCCATCGGAATCAAATGCTCTCAAGCTCTCTGGTTCTGGCATAGCAGAACCTAGGGAGGTCCAGATTTCCTGGTAGGTCAGCTTCCCATCCACGTCCTGGCCAGTCTTGCGGAATAAATCCTGAAGATCTGTCAAAAATGAATTACAAAAAATGTATACGTCTAAACATACAGCTAAATTTAGTTAAAAGTAGTCTCAACTGAATTTAAAACACTAAAAGAAAAGCTACTCCGCAAATTTTGTTTCCAAATGGTAAAGTTTAGGATTTCACTAAATCAGGAAGACTAATTTTTGATCCCTTAAAAATATATTAAAAAAAAAAAAAAAAAAAAGGCTGGGTGCAGTGGCTTATGCCTATAATCCCAACACTCTGGGAGGCTGAGGCAGGAGGATTGCTTGAGGCCAGGAATTTGAGACCAGCCTGGGCAACACAGTGAGACACTGCCAAAGTAGAAGCAGTGACAGATAATCGCAGGAGAATGAATGGTCTCATCTTCTCTCTGTCCAGCGTCTTCCCTTTAGATTTTCCTGAATTTATTCTTATGTTGAAGGGGTGAAAAGGAATGCAGAGGCCTAATGAGTTATGTGATAGGAGCTAGCTCATAAAACAGACTGTGGCATATTGTGAGATTTCTTGTTGGATGGCTGAGTGGAGACTGGAGGAATGACTTGGAAGCCCATAAAACAATCCCAAACACTCATAGCTTTCTCAGTTTTGACAGGAAATCCAAAGCTCAAAGAGGAAAGTAACTTGCCTACGGTCATGTAACTCTTAAGTGGAATACAATACAAATTTCTTTTCTTTTTTTTGAAGCTAAGTCTCACTCTGTCGCCCACGCTGGAGTGCAGTGGCGCGATCTTGGTTCACTGCAACCTCTGCCTCCTGGGTTCAAGTGATTCTTGTGCTTCAGCCTCCTGCGTAGCTGGGATTACAGGCGCCCGCCACCACGCCCAGCTAATTTTTTTTAATGTTTAGTAGAGATGGGGTTTCACCATGTTGGCCAGGCTGGTCTTGAACTCCTGACCTCAGGTGATTCGCCCACCTGGGCCTCCCAGAGTGCTGGGATTATAGGCGTGAACCACCACGCCTGTTTTTTTTTTTTTTTTTTTTTTTTTTTTTTTGGTGGAGTCTTACTCTGTCACCCAGGCTGGAGTGCAGTGGTATGATCTTGGCTCACTGCAACCTCTGCCTCCTAGGTTCAAGCTATTCTCCTGCCTCAGCCTCCTTAGTAGCTGGCATGACAGGTGTGTATCACCAGGCCTGGCTAATTTTTGTATTTTTAGTAGAGATGCGGTTTCATCATGTCGGCCAGGTCTCTAACTCCTAGCCTCAAATGATCTGCCCACCTCAGCCTCCCCAAAGTGCTAGGACACCACACCTGGCCTAGAATACAAATTTCTTATTACCTAGTCCAGTGCTCTTTCTACTATGTGACACTTGTCTCTCTGGATCCAGAAATTAAGCAGCTCAAGAACCAGTGACTCAAAAGTGTAATGAGATACCATGTCATAATCACTACGATGGCTATAATAAAAAAAGACAGGCCTTACCAAGCATTAGGGAGGATGTGGAGAAAGTGGATTGAACCCTCACACATTGCTGATGGGAATGTAACATGGTACAGCCACTCTGGAAAAGTGTAGGAGTTCCTCAAAAAGTTAGGGCTATCATATGACCCATTAATTCCATTCCTAGGTATATATATACTCAAGGCAAATGAAAACATATGTTTACATAAAAACTTGCACATGAATGTTCATGGCAGCATTACTCTTAATAGCCCAAAAGTGAGAACAATCGAAATGTCCATCAACGGATGAACAGACCAAAATGTGTTAGGTCAACAGAATGGAATATTATTCAGCCATAAAAAGGAACGAAGTACTGATACATGCTCCAACATGAATAGACCATAAAAACATTATGCTAAGTGAAAGAATCATATTGAAAGAAAAAGCACACACAAGGCCACATACTGTATGATTCCATTTATGTGAAACACCCCAAATAGGCAAATCCATAGAGATAGTGATTAAGAGACTAGTGGTTGCTGGAGACTGGCAGGAGAGGGGACTGGGAGTGACTGTTTAATGGGTACAGAGATTCTGTGAGGGGTGATGAAAATGTTCTGGAATTAGATAGTGGTGATGGTTGCATGACCTTGTGAATACACTAAAAAACACTGGATTAAAAACACTGCATTTTAAAAAGGTGAATGTTATGGTATGTGAATTGTATTTCAATAAAAAAGAACCAGAGGAATTATCTCTCCAAAGTGCATGCTCTCTACTTTTTAAAAATCAGTAAAAAGAAAAAGAGCAATATTACCAGTTGATCTGTATCTTTTTTATTTCAATGGCAATATTGAGCCAAAATGATTAGAGAATGTCTATCAATAGTTTCTTCTGGCATTTTCTCAAGGGCCTCATCACAAACACTTAGGAAGGTCAGTTATATACATAACTTTTTTTTTTTTTTTGAGACAGGGTCTCCCTCTGTCACCCAGGTTAGAGTGCAGTGGCATGATCACAGCTCACTGTAGCCTCAAACTTTTAGGCTCAGGCTATTCTCCCGAGTAGCTGGGATTACAGGGTGTGCGCTACCACGCCTGGCTAATTTTTGTATTTTTTGTAGAGTTGGGATTTCACTGTGTTGCCCAGGCTGGTCTCGAACTCCTGAGCTCAAGCCATCTGCCTGCCTTGGCCTCCCAAAATGCTGGGATTACAGGCATGAGCCACTGCACCTGGCCGTATATACATAACATTTAAAAAATACTTGTGTCCCCATAATCAAATAGAAGATTTAATATCTAATACCAAAGAAGGTCAATGAGCTTTATGTTTCTTTAAAAATCTTCCCAAACTCCTTTAATTTCATCATTTATTCCACACCATACCTAGGTAAAATAGGCCTCTTGATGTTTGGTATTCAGGAAGAATAAAAATAGCTTGAAGGGAGGGAAAACAGTTGCAGTGCAAGGTCCAGTCCATCAAGGAGCTCCTATAAACAAGCTCCTGAATAGGGCCCTACTCTCACTCCTACAATAGGTGCAGCAATGCAGCTAATAAAATGTCAAAAGCTCTCTGAAAGGCAGGAAAGCAGTGGGACACTTGTTCCCAATGCCTTACACCAAGTGGCTAGCTGAAGAGTTCTGTTTTTTTTTTTCTTTTTTTTTGTGGCATGAGTTTATACAACATGCTACACTACGCACTTGGTAGCAGTATTCAAATAAAAATATGATTGCTGCCTCAGGTCATTCCAAAAGTATAGTCATCCAAAAGTATTTAAGGCCTATGCTGAGGACTGAAGCACAAGTGTTAAGACTGCTATTCCTTACTCTGACCTAATAGCTTTCCCCCATTCATTCTCATCAAATATTGATTTAACAATGGAAAGTGGCAGGAAGCTTGTGTTCCCATTAAACACAACACTTCCCCTCCTCCCCAGAAAACAGAAAAAAAAAAAGTCAGGAACAGGGAAGAAAAGTAATCACATTTAAATGGTGATAGAAAAATTTAAGTCTTCTATGCTTTAAGCATTTAATTGCAATGTGTAGGTAACTCATTCATTTATTTAACAAATATTCAGGAGTACCAGGTACTGTGCTAGGGGCTGGGAGTAAACAAGACATAGTCCTTACCCATAGGAAGTTATATTTTGTATCTCCCCAGGAAATTCCAACAGAGTGACATGTGCTAAACAGGGGCAAACAAAATTTAAGAGCACACAGGAGGAGCCTAATCCAGTCACTGGAGGTAAGGAAATGTTCCTGGTAGAATGGTATCTAGGCTAAAGAGAAGAGCCAGAGGAAGGTGTGGTGGACAGGAGCAAGTGATTTGCCAGGCAGCCAGCTAATACAAAATCGGGAGGCACTAAACATCACCATGAGGGATAGAACATGCACTGCTGGAAGCAGTGCAAACACATTTTTCTGTGAATCATATCCTTTGTACTAATATTTTGCTGATTTTCAGTAAAAGGGTCCTTCATTTTTGGAGGGCCCTGACAAACAGGGTCAACTTTTACTTTATTTTACTAATCTCATGGTATTGTATTTGCTTTTATGCCTTCTCCATTAGACTGTAATATCCTTGAAGAAAGAAAATGAGACCATATCTTATACTGTATTCTTATTGCTTAGCACTAGGTTTAATGAGGCACTCAGTGAATGAAGACCCTAAAAAACATTAACAGAAAGATAATATAGTACACTGGTTAAAAGTGCAAGCTTCGGCCAGGTGAGTTGGTTTGTGCTTGTAATCCCAGCACTTCAGTAGGCTGAGGCAGGTGGGTCACTTGAGGTCAGGAGTTCAAGACCAGCCTGGCCAACATGGTGAAACCCTATCTTTACTAAAAATACAAAAAATTAGCCAGGCATGGTGGCACACACCTGTCCCAGCTACTTGGGAGGCTGAGGCATGAGAATTGCTTAACCCTGGGAGGCAGAGGTTGCTGTGAGCCCAGATTGTGCCACTGCACTCCAGCCTGGGGGTCTAAAAAAAAAGCACAAGCTTTGGCATCAGACTGTCTTGGTTTGCATTCTGTTTCAACCAATTATTTGCTGTGTGGACTTAGGCAGTTTCCCTATCAGTAAAATGGGTATAATACATAAATACTTATGTTCATGGGATGGTTATCAGGATTATATGACATAATGCATATAAAGTATCTGGCACTTGATATCTCCTCAATAAATGTTAGATCATATATATTTTTGACAAGTGAAAATAAACATTAAAAAGTTATTACTTTGAACATTCCCATTACTACCCCGTGGTATAAAAATTTACCTTCAGTGCTAGAAACTCCTGGTAGGGAGATAGGTCTTAGTTGGGCAGCTTTCTCAACTGGGTCTCCAAGAAACTGTGAAAATTTTGGCAATGCTGATGGCTTTGATGTGAAACTCTCTACTTGCTCTGTAACAAATACATAAGGTTTTATTTAGTATTATTGAATCTAACACCAAATTAAACTAGTATCGAAGGTCACCTTTTAGGAAAATTGGATATACAATTAATTTAGAGAAACATTTGAAGATAAAGTAGCATAGTGACTATGTGAAGTTAAAGGCTTGGATTGAGACATATTTGTGGGCAAGGGAACACCAATCAGTATTATATTACGTTAAGGTTTGCAGCAGCAGTCCCATTAGAAGATCTTACAGTACAAGCTAGCATTAAACATGTTTAGATGGTAAGAGCTTAAGCTGTCAAGTGGCAAGAACAGTGGCTGGATATCAAAGATCTTGACATCCTGGGAGATGTGCTTTAAACCCAGTCTAGGGGTATGTGCCACCCGCTAAGCTGGTGCTAAGAGTGCAACCGTAAGATGATGTAGCACAATGTTAGGACAAGACATTCCACCACAGTTCTGTCTCCTACTAAAGGAGAATTCAAGAGAGTTTGTACTGCTTTTCTAAAATAGAAAAATACTTGTGTGGGGGAAAAGGTCAAAGCTAACACAGTCCAGTGCCTTGGTTATGTCCTCACAGGGTCTAAATCAGTGGAGGCTCATGTATCTGCTAATATTGATTAGACAGGTCCATACCTAAAGCCAAAGACCCTTCCAACCCAAAGATCCCATCATTATTTTTGTTAACGATTTTCAGAAGGGCGAATATTTATTTTTAAATACATGTTATGCACTTACAGAAAGGAAAAGACTCTCATAAACAACTTTTAGGGCTGGCTTAATATACTCTATGACAGTAACATTTTTGCCTATAATTGGATGCAGACAGCATGGAGAATTCTATTTCCAGCTAAACATTACCAATTCTTCCCTTAATAGACTAGAGTACAAATCATGTACAAAATGGGCCTTTTCTAAATGAAAGCAAAGTGTATCAGCTTCATCTCGGTGCGTTCAGGCATCACTCGCTTGGTGCGATCAGTACTGCTGGAACACCTTCCCTGCTCCCCATGTGAGAGGCAAGCTGCTCAAGCCTCCATGAAATATTAAGAAGCCGGCTCTGCTCTCACCTTCATCGGCGGTCTCTGGAGGCCTGTTGCTCTCAGGTTTGTTTGTAAGAGCACTGATCAGCTGGAGTTTCTCTCTTAGCTTGGATACCTGAGAATTTGAACTATCTTCTTTCTGCACAAAACAAAGATTATAGAAGGTTTAAGGTGGTAGTAAGACTTCATCTAAGTGTCCACTGTATTCCCAGAGCCTGTTTAGCATGTAGTGTTTGACCCTCAGTAGGTTCCCTATAAAGACAATAAAAGAATGAATCAACATATACTGGTGATGTCTTTGGTCCTCAGCACTGATAAGTATCTTGCTGGATTTGAAACCATTAAGGGAACATTATGCTACAGATGATCTGATTCACTGTGAACATTTGGTTGATGGGGGAAGGAATGCATGTGTCAGCAGTAAAGGAAATGTACCCTTGCTCAGGTGCCTATGCGACACCCATTTCCTAAATAAGCAGGATCTTGTTTTCTAGGAGCTATTTCACACTAACTAAATAACTTTCCGAAATATCTTGCTTCACCTTGTGACTAGACCACTTTAGGCAGAATTTCATGCTCTTACCACCTTACAAAAAGAAGCAACTGAACAAAAACAAACCACAAGTTTTCCCCTGATCTTTCCTCTGTTTCTCCCTGGTGATGAGTCAACTGGTGGCAGAAACTGTTAAGACATAAAGAAGGAGCTGTAATATTTCTAATTCAAAGTCTTGCTTGCTCGTATCTTTTAAAAAAGTTTTTTCGCCCATACCCTGCCTCATTCCCAGGAGTATCAAGAGTGGCATATACAAATACATTTAATTATAAAAAGAGAGACATCTGGTTTCTATGAGGCTCATTTCTAACTGCTTAGATGAGTGTGAAAGGTCCTGATCCTATGTTTAATTAGAACACCAACTCATTACACATTTATTTTATTATTGATTTACTTTTCTTGTATAAGTAATTGTTAACTTCTCTTGCCCCATCTTATTTCTACTCTAATAGTTACTGTATAGTAGTTCACTCAGTTTATTTAGGGAGCTAAAATATGAACATATGTAGTGAAAACTAGGTACTAAATGTTTGAAGAACTAATGGTAAGGAGAAATTGTATCTGGTTAGGATGTTTGGATGAGGTAGGACAAAGGAACTGATACCCTGCGATGACAGTTAAAAACAAAAAAGGCCTGAAAGTAAAGCCAAGATGAAATTTATGTATACATGTGTACTGGTGTGTTCTGATATTTATTGTTAAAATGTGAACTGTGGCTGAAATTGCTACTACTTTCTAATAGAAACCACCTATTAGTTTTTTTGTGCTCAAAATTTACATCTGGCTCTTAAGTTTTTCTGTCTTCTCTAGGTGAGGTTTAAAAAAAATCTGCAGAAGCAGTTAGAAAACTCAACAAAAGCTTAGCTTATGATGCATTAAAACCTTAATATATTGTGACTTTATCTAGATAATATAAAACTATTAAGGTAGGAAAAATAAAGATATAAAGCATTACATCAAAAGCTGCCTTTACTGTGTGGTTCCAGTTCAAGTTCATTTTCTCTGAACCTCAGATCCTCCCAACTTCTCAAACATAATATGCATTTGAGATGGTAATTTAGTCACTTGGTCATAATCTTCCTGGCTTTTCTTTTATCTTAGCCCAGAGTTTAACACTCTAATCAGAGAATACTGTAATCACACTTTCTTTCCTGGAATATCAAAGCATATCATAGATTGCTGTCTTGACAGTATGTCTAGGAAGAACAAAAAAGGGGAAGGTACAAGGTGAAGGGAACTGGCTGAGGTTTAAATGGACTATGAATACATAGAGATTGCAATACAAAAATAGGAAATAAATTTTAGATTAGACACCATTTTTAGATTATCTCTGCCTCTGTCCCCCATCATTAGTACAGATAACTTACTGTCTTAGTGTAAAAGTCATTTCCTTAGGGAAGCCTTCTTGATCTTATCATATCCTGTATTTGTCCTTTATAATACTTATCATACTCATGATTCATGACCTGTTCAATTATGTGTTAACGATTTTCTGACTGACAGGACTTTGAGCTCCACCACAATAGGGGTCACATGTCTGCCTTGCTCACTATGGTCCCCCCAGCTCCTACTAAAGTGTTTGGCACAGGGTAGGTGCCTAAAAAAGTATTCATTTATTCACTAACATACTAATTTACTAATTGCTTTGTTTTGAAGTTTCAGCACATGAGAACAAAAGTACGCCCTTTGAAAAAGTAGCAGTAGATCAAAAGCACAGAGATGCTGCTGCATTTACTTTTACTTCAGGGTAAGCCTCCCATTATTTACCTTTATGCTTTGGATTTTTACTGTATCTGTTCTGTTGGTGACTTGATCCAAAGACTGTCTTTTCAGAGTGGCAGATCTATCACCCATCTTAAAGGGCAAAACAAAAACAAACAAACAAAGGGAAGATTAAAGGCAAACATTAAAACTTGAACACCTAGCACTTTTAAACAAATTCGTCAAACTTATTTAAAGGATCTCAGAACACTCTCAACAGAAATTGCAGAGGAGTGGGAGATGGGAGGAGAGAGGGAGAAAGGCCAGAGACGAAGTTGAAACTAGTGCTTCTAGCTGTTTCAGTCACAAACTTTAAGGCTTTGAAGGATAAAAGGTGGTAGAACTTTTACTCAAAATACCATGCTGAGCACGATACTGCTCTAAGAAACAGTAGGACAGATGGATACTATTACCTATTTTCTCTGCTGGAGAAATATAAAGTAGGGGGAGAGGGCAGAGACAGTAAAGAGAGTTTAGGAGTGGTAAGTTTTCACAATAAGCCTTGAAAACTTTCAAGGCATAATACTCATCATCCAAAATTCTTAGCCAACCTAGTTTAGCTGAGTTCAAAAGGGCTTCGTAAAATAAAGCTCCTTTAATCTTCACAGCTTTGTAGTAAATTATACAACTCTGTAAAGCAGGAGGGGGAACAGGTCTTCCAACTCCACCCTTCAAAGCCAAGTCCAGGCAACTTGCCAAGGCTCCACTGTGGCAGAGCCAGTTCAAATGCTGCTTTCCATGAACCAGAGTTTGACTTTATTTGTGGGCTTACTTCCAGCTTTGGTGGTTACTTGAATTTATGGCACAATTTCCTGTATTTGGTTTCTATTTTTAAATATATGCCTGTGTCTTTGCTATATGAAATCTTTAAGGGTGGGGGCTGCAGTTATTAAAAAAAGAATCCATGTGGATCCCTGCACAAAGTTTATGTGAAACTGCACATTTTATTCACAACAATATGAAAATCAGTAAGCCGTGCACAGTCGGCCAGCATCAGTGACTTAGTAGGTCAGTTTCCTTACATGTAAAATGAGGAGGTGAACTCAATGACCTCTTAAGTTGGGGAGCTGATCTGACCTGATCTGTTTCCTGACATACGCAAAAGGTTCCCCTTAATATATAGACAGCAGGATAAATATGAAAGCCAAGTTCAGGCTTAAAGAAATGATAAAAGATTTTTGGTTACTATCATTTTCATGGCTCCCACCCCTAATAACTTAAAAAAGAAAAGACCCAAAAGGCCCTCGGAAATACGTGCCAGCACTTCCCTACCAGATGGCGCACTGGTAACATGACAGTAGCCTTGTCATCTCTGCCAACAACTAGTGGTGAGGCCTTGGTAAGCGACTCGACCTCTCCGCATCTCCCTCTCCAAATCAGGACAAACACTGCCTGGCCATTCACATCACACAGCTAGTGTGAGGATTAAATGAGACAACACATTGTGAGGATTAAGCACAACACAAATGTGTGGCCTCTCAAATATGCCAGAAGGCTGTTCTCAAAAGGTGGTAGAATGTTATCCATGCACAGACAAAACACACTGCATGTCACAAAAGATCAGAAAAGGCTTACCATGCTGAAGGACAGGTTTGCTTTCTTTTCTACCTTGCTCATAGCAACCACATCGCTTTCTATCAGGTTGACTCTCTGGGTAAGATTACTGACTGTCTCGTTCATTCCCTCGAGTTTAAGATCATTCTGTCTCTGGTACCCCACTAGGGCACTGTTTACCTCCTCTAAAGAGTTGTGAAGGTACAGGATATCCTAGAGTGGAAATAAATAAAGTTATGGAATCCACTAAAGACGTAAATTAGACAAGCAGGCCAGCAGCACCGAACAACCATTACTATGTCAAGTACTGAAGTAAACTCCTTTTCCTGGTTTTGACCATCAATCGTCTGTCTTTGCTTTGTCCCTCGCACTCTAAATTGCTCCTTTTGGAATTGTTTGGCCTCAGCTAGACAGGAGGGGGAAAGAGGGAAGAGGACTACCTACATGATTCACTCTTTGGTCCCAGAAAGCTGAGAGCTTGGGAATTGATTTCCCCAATGTTTACCTCACCTGCTGGAGGAAAGGCTTGCTGGGTTATTAAATGAAAGGTCCATTAACCTAATTTGTCAGAACAAACCTACCTCAGGAACAATACCGATTACTGAATTGGCTCATGTAACAATACCATAACAAGTAGTGCATTGTTTAGTATAAGATTCAATTATTTTTACTGACATCCTCCAGTACTGATTGCTACTTTAAAAAGAATGATAACTATAGGTTTTAAAGGGCATTAAACTCAGGACAGGAATTCTTCTGAGTGAAGATTTCCTCTATTCTCTTTAATGTGATTCTGAACTCAAAGTCTTTTTTCCCCCTCTTGCCTTTTCGTCTTTAGACTTTAGAAAATCCTGATTTTCAAGGATATGCTTTCTAACATTCTTAGAATTTACTGTGGCTCAAAATAGCCATCACTCTGGATTACTTAGCTATCCATTCATCTTTAACCTGCCCAGATAGCTATTTTTTCATAAAGAGTTTCAGGATAATCTGCTCATTCTATGTCTTTCAAGATAAGAAAAGGAATTTACTCCACTGACTGACATGCAGGGAAAAACTGCAAAGTGCCAAAGAAGGGAAAGGACAGCAATATGGATCCCCGAGATACCAACACACATTCCTCTCTGCTCAGCTCCCAGGCAGGCAAATAAATACAGGATGCACCTGCTGAGACACCAAACACTAAGCCCAAACTATTTGGCTGCCTCTGCAGTGCACTGTGGTCACAGGGAGTTAAGCCAGAGATAAAAAGCACCTGTTTCAAATTCTCACTGTGGGTTTTATTGTCAAGTTCTGATGTGGCTGAAGGTGACGGAATGATCTGGTTGCTTCCAGGAGTCTCCTTCAAGAAGTGCTGATTCTGTTAAGAGGAAAGAAGTTTAGTGTAGGCAACAAGGAATTATTAGGTCTACTTAACTATCTGAGATTGTCCTAGAACATTCTAGCCTCCCCCAGAATGCATCCACAGATTAATCAGTAAGTATTGCCAGGGAATGTACAGGCTAACCAGTCTTGTGCTAGGTTCTGAGAGAACCCAGCTTGAGCATGCACTAGGCCAGCAGCACCAAGATTACATTAGGGAACTGAGATCCTCCTAGTCTATTTCTCAATCTCTTAAAGGAATGAACTCTCTAGAAACCATTTCTCCTTTGCCCCATTGCCTGTGCTCCCAGAGAAACTATAGCATCACTGTAACTTTCCAGGGACCAACTCGGTCTCAACCTGGGACAGTGTCATTGTTTCCACTGGACTCAAGAGCTTTGACATTAAAAAGGCAGCCAGTCATGTAACCACTGGCTTGGGCATTTAGCATAACCACCAATCATGTGCATTATTAGTTTTTCCCTTATAGCATTATGCTAAGTAAGACTTATGTTTGAGGGTTATCTTTCCTTTCCCATTCCCTTCCCACTGCTCAAGTTTCTTTCCAGAGACTGAAGTATAACATGTTTATATACACTTTTCCTTTAGTGAGGAAAACTTTGCATGGCTTAACCCTTCAGAGCCCATAACTATGACTTATCTAGCACAAAGAATGACAGTAGGAGGATTACCATTGGCAGCTATGGAAATTTAAAAGAAGTAGATTTAATTATAACAGAATGCAACTGGTGAAAATAAGTTGTTTTCCTTGAAATCTGAAATCAACCCTGTTTTTATAAGAAAACCAAAAGGCAACAATAAAGAGAAAAGGAGGAGAGAAGGAGGGGGGAATCCATGGTTCTAGAAGGCAGGAAATTTTTTAGTTAGGAAAAATTATTTTAGAAAATAGTGAATTACTTGAGAGCATAATCAAGATATTAAAATAATAAAAGAATTGCTGAATTAGAGGGGTCTTTGTTACTATGGGTCACACAGTTACTCAGCGGCAGTTAGAACCAGAACCAAGGGTCTTGACACCCAGATCAATGTTTTTTCCTCTGGGTTAGCCCCACTAAGTAACAGTGAGGTGTGCCAGTCCTGAAGAAAATGGAAAAAAACTCTCTTCTAGAGCTCTCTAATATAGCCCAGGTCTCCTTGGTACAAACTTCCCAATTTAAACTTGAAATTCTGAAGCTTGCAAAGAGCAGGTGGGGGTGGGAGGGCAGATCCAGAAATTGGCAGAGAGACTAGGGAACTTTTGTGTGCCTTGAATAGTCCTGATTTCAGATGAGTTACATATAACTCATCTCCCCAGCAAGATGGCAAGGGCTGCACCATCCTTTTTTTACTCTTCATAAATCCTTCACGGGGCTGTCACCCATTAAGTGATTGATTAAGGCCTCCAAATGACTGCAGACAGCTTACATCTGCAGCAGCACTAAGTGATCCAGAGATATTTGAAAACAATTCCTAGGCACTGCAGGGGTTTGATTCTGTCAGTTATCTGTTGCTGCCTAACAAATTATCCCAAAGCTTTGTGGCTTAGAACAACAACAATTAAGTATTTCTCATGATTCTGTGGGTTGACTGGGCTCAGCTGGGGGTTGAGGGATGGGGGTGGTGCTGTTCCATGTGTTGTAGGCTGCATTTAACTGACAGCCTGGCTGGAGCTGGAACATGCTAGACAGCCTGCCTTTCATCCACGAGCACATGTTTCAGCATTTGGGAGTCTAAGAGCCTTGCTCAAATTCCTGATGCACAGAATAGTGAGAAATAATTACTTGTTTTAAGCCACAAACTTCTGGGGGTGCTTTGTTATGTAGTAATAAACAATGAGACACTTTTCCACTTCCTTTCCTTCTTTTCCATTTTCTGTCCTACCCATTCCATCCTCAGGAACTGTGTCTTATTACCTTACCTCCTCCAGTACTATGTTTGCAAAAGATTTGGCTTTTAATTTTATCTACCATAATTGCTTTATTAACAAATTGTAGAACAATCAATGTATACTGCTTATTAGATCTTTTGAACAGATGCATAGCAGGGCCTTTTCAGATTAGTGGAAAGTTGGCAACATGACTCTTACACAAAAAAGGGTGAGCAGGAGCATGCTGACTTGCTGGGTCTCCTTACCATATCACTCTGCAGTAATTCCATCGTTTTCTTGTGTTCATCCACAGTTTTCTGTAGTGCTTCCACAGCAAGATGGACGCTGTTTAAAGTATTGCCAATGGAAGCTACACTCTGAATGGAAACATATAGGAAGGTGTAAAAAAGCTTTAAGAGACAACTGACATGCAATAAACTGTACATATTCAAAAATGTATAATTTGAATGTTTTGACACATAAACAATTGTGAAACCAGTACTACAATCAAGATAATAAACACTCATCACCTCTGAAAGTTTCCTCATGACTCTCTGTAATCACTCCCTTGCCGATCGTTCCCAGGCAACCACTGATCCACTTTCTGTCACAATAAATCAGTCTTCATTTTCTAGATTTTATATAAGTAGAACCAGTGAGCAAGTAGTGCTTTTTAAAGTGTGGCTGCTTCTACTCAGCAGAATTGGGATTCATCCATGTTGAGGCTACTTGGCAGGCTGCCGAGCAGCATTCCATTGTGTGGCTCTATCACAGTTTATCTCTCCCCCTGCTCATGGACATTTAGGCTGTGTTCAATATTTGACTATTACAAATGAAGCTGCTATAAACATTCGTGTTCAGGTCTTCATGTGGACTTATAGACATTCCCCTTTATCATATGCTTTCTAATCGCCATAATACCTAGCAGGTGAATGGCTGATCATATGGCAGGTCTATGCTTCACTTGTTAAAAAACTGCCCAACAATGTTCTAAAATGGTTATGCCATTTTACATTCCCACCAGCAGGGAATGAGAGTTCCTGTTACTCCATATCCTCACCAATCCTGTACCAATATTGGTACAGTCATTCTTTTCAACTTCAGCCATTCTAATGGAAGTGTATATTGTGATTTTAATTTACATTGCCCTAATGAAACACTGCCCTAATGAAAATCGGTGTTTCTGATTATTTCAAATATCTTCAAACTATGATTACATGTAGTGTATACTGAGATAATTAACAGGACTCTTTCTCTATCAATCAAACAAGTAATTTTCTTAATTTAAATGATTTTTCCTAGAGGAAAACCAAATCTTCCCTAAAGAAAAAATATTAGTTTATAAATCTGGAACCCAGGGATAAGGTTCTCTCACAAACTGCCTCTGTCAATCCCTGCTGTGGGAAGGCAGATGGCCGAGCTAACACAGTAGACTGCCACTTGTTAGGAGCAAAGGACACTTCGAGCAAAAGTGGGAGGGAACCATATCTGGCTTTGGGAAACTCAATACTGCAGAGATGAAAAAAAAGTAGAATCCTGTCAGCAACCACTGAATAGGGATATGAGTAGTGGCTTACTTTGCTTTCATTAGCCCTAAAAAGCCCAAGTGGACAGGGAACTTGGAGATATAATTCAGAAGCCATGTTTTAAAAAAAGCCTGTCCTAAGGGAACATCTAAAAGGGTGTTACTATTCAGTGAGTTTTGGCCTTTTCAAGACATGCTGACAGTTTTACAGTGCCACATTAGTATTTTTAACCAAGGTCATTTTTATTACACTGATATCCAAGAATCCAAGAGAACACGAGATGACACTAATAAAAATTACATGAGATACAATAAAGTTAGGTATTTGGCATGACCTACCACTTCAAAACTGAGCCACTTGAAAGAAACACAGTGCCTGGCATGATAAACACACAGATTTGCAAAGAGACAACACACTGGGTAAAAGTATCTAAGCTGGTTTGCTATCTATGTAAGCTCTGTTGCTATCTATGTAAGCTCTGAATGCCTGTTGCAAAAGCTACAGGCATTCAAAGACACCTACTGTTTGTGAATCCAATCCTCACTGGCTGGATGTATGAACCCATTGGGATGCCAGAAGATAGTAAGCTCTTGTTTAAGGATTTTTTTTTTCTTTTCTTTTTTCCCCTAAGGAAGCAACTGACAGAGCCATGTGAACTCTGGAGCAAAACTCTGAAACTAGTATTCCCATCAACAGCAAAGTGCCTGGTACATACTGGAGGAAGTTCCACAAATGTTTATTGAATGAATAAATTCAAGAATAAACCAGTTTCCTTTTCTGGTACCAAAACAGAGATATAGACCAATGGAACAGAACAGAGCCCTCAGAAATAATACCACACATCTACAACCATCTGATCTTTGACAAACCTGACAAAAACAAAAAATGGGAAAGGATTCCCTATTTAATAAATGGTGCTGGGAAAACTGGCTAGCCATATGTAGAAAGCTGAAACTGGATCCCTTCCTTACACCTTATACAAAAATTAATTCAAGATGGATTAAATACTTAAATGTTAGACCTAAAACCATAAAAACCCTAGAAGAAAACCTAGGCAATACCATTCAGGACATAGGCATGGGCAAGGACTTCATGTCTAAAACACCAAAAGCAATGGCAACAAAAGCCAAAATTGACAAATGGGATCTAACTAAACTAAAGAGCTTCTGCACAGCAAAAGAAACTACCATCAGAGTGAACAGGCAACCTACAGAATGGAAGAAAATTTTTGCAATCTCCTCATCTGACAAACGGCTAATATCCAGAATCTACAAAGAACTTAAACAAATTTACAAGAAAAAATCAAACAACCCCATCAAAAAGTGGGTGAAGGATACGAACAGACACTTCTCAAAAGAAGACATTTATGCAGCCAACAGACACATGAAAAAATGCTCATCATCACTGGCCATCACAGAAATGCAAATCAAAACCACAATGAGATACCATCTCACACCAGTTAGAATGGTGATCATTAAAAATCAGGAAACAACAGGTGCTGGAGAGGATGTGGAGAAATAGGAACACTTTTACACTGTTGGTGGGACTGTAAACTAGTTCAACCATTGTGGAAGACAGTGTGGAGATTCCTCAAGGATCTAGAACTAGAAATACCATTTGACCCAGCCATCCCGTTACTGGGTATATACCCAAAGGATTATAAATCATGTTGCTATAAAGACACACGCACACTTATGTTTATTGCGGCACTATTCACAATAGCAAAGACTTGGAACCAACCCAAATGTCCATCAGTGATAGACTAGATTAAGAAAACATGGCAGATATACACCATGGAATACTATGCAGCCATAAAAAATGATGAGTTCATGTTCTTTGTAGGGACATGGATGAAGCTGGAAACCATCATTCTCAGCAAACTATTGCAAGGACAAAAAACCAAACACTGCATGTTCTCACTCATAGGTGGGAATTGAACAATGAGAACACTTGGACACAGGAAGGGGAACATCACACACCGGGGCCTGTTTTGGGGTGGGGGGAGGGATAGCATTAGGAGATATACCTAATGTAAATGATGAGTTAATGGGTGCAGCACACCAACATGGCACATATATACATACGTAACAAACCTGCACGTTGTGCACATGTACCCTAGAACTTAAAGTGTAATAAAAAAAAGAATAAACCAGTTTCCTTTTCTAATGCAAGACTGTGAGAGCTGCTTCTGTACTAATGGCTACAGAAGCCTATCATTTCCTGAATTGGCCCTAGGAACAACGGCAAGAATCTGGCCTCATCAGAGTTGTCCCTACCCCTTTTTTTTCCCCCCGAATTTGTAAGTAGATGGCCACATTGGACAAGTAGCAAATTATGGAGACTGAGCACACACAGATGGTGTGGCTATAAAATAGCAAATTTTGTCTTCGCTTATGGCTTAGAAATTTCTTGCTCCTTTGTGGAAAGAATTCATATGCTCATAGACCCTGGCACATAATCTGACCAAACTTAGCACATATTTTTATAATTCAAAGATCCTAGATTTGATATCCACCGTTTGGGGAATCCCTTCTTCCATTTCCTGTGTCAGGGGATGATGTTCTTTATGTTCGAATTAGGCACCTCTTCTGCCTTCCTACCCCTATCCACTCTTCCCGTCCATCTCTAAGGATCCCTGAGTACTATTCATCTGGTTGGTCACAGCTCACTGTAGCCTCAACCTCCCAGGCTCAAGTGATCTTCCTACTTCAGCCTCCCATGTAGCTGGGACTACAGTTGTGTGCCACCATGCCCAGCTAACTTTAAAATTTTTTGTAAAGACGAGGTCTCCCTATGTTGCCCAGGCTGGTCTGTAATTCCTGGGTTCAAGTGATCCTCCTGGCTCAGCCTCCCAAAACGTTGGGATTACAGTCATGAGCTACCATGCCCAGCCTCCAAAGTGATTTTTACCAATTAATACTCCTAGCAGGAGCAGGAGTGTTTGAAAATTTCCTTCGTTCCACATATCCTTGCCAACACTTGTTTCCTGAATTTTTAATTTTTGCATTTCCCCAGGTCATCTTTTTTTTTTTTTTTTAACTTTCTTAATTATGGAAAGTAACAGAGATTTAGGGTAACTATCATGTACAATTGGTCTGCTTTGATGAAGATATTGTGAGTGGTGAACTGAAAAAGCAAGCTGAAAAGCGAACCCATATATGCTAACACAAGAGTGCCAGCAGAGCAATTCTGGGACTCAGAGAGCCAAATAAAAAGGTATGAACCCATATAAATCACAGCTGAGGTAACCTGTTGCAAATTAAAGGCCTAACTAACCAGACCAAAACAAAATTGTTCTGAATTCTTTAGGACACAGTGATACACTCCATTACTGCCCTCTTGGAGCAGCTGATTTCAAATGCTAGGCTTTCAATGAAAACTTATAAGAAGCTAGAATTATGGCAAATAGTACCCACACATGGCACCTACCTTCTGAAGTCTCTGTACCCACACATGGCACCTACCTTCTGAAGTCCCTCTACAGTGGTAGGCAGGCTAATCAAGTCTGCAGCTGACTTAACATTGGCTTTGAGGTGGTTCACTGCAGAAGTCAACAGAGAAATCTGAACAAAAAAGAGTAACAAACAATGAAAACAAATGAGAATTTGTAGAGGACACGTTACCTTCACAAACTCTACGGTTGGTGATGTCAAGATAGTCTAGGATTTTATGTGTTTCTGCAACCCTGTCAGCTCACAGAAGTAAAGGAGACAGTACTTTGGATAGAGTTGGGATCTGGGAGGCAACAATAATACCCCTTCTTTCCCTGCCCAATTTGAACACTAGTGTCAAAGAGTGAAGGCAAGTGTTATTCTTTACCCTGTCCTGGCAGCACAAGATCCCAAAATCTTAAATTACTCAAAAGATGCTGTAATTATCACACACTCCCTCAACAATTGGACAGGAAGAAAGCTAATGATGAAGGATCACTTCAAAATTTCATTTTGGTAAAATGTAATACCTCAGTAATTTACCAAACTTTTGTTCCTGCCCAAGTGGGAACATATAAAGTAAAAGCCCATCTCACAAAATACAGTCTACAGGAACTGCACTCTGACAATTTGAACAGCACTTTCAACTACTTGGGGATTTGGTTTTGGTTTAAAAATGTGACTAATATTTCAAACTCAATAGCTCTACCAGAGCACTACTTTGTATCCTGAAGGGGCTCAATAAATACTCACTGACTCACTGACTGATGCAATGTATGTATTAAAATAGGAATTTAATCAAAATAAAATGAGGCTTCCGTTCTGCTATTTAGGCATAGAATTCTAAACATCTAGACTTCGCTCTTGAATGGGAACTGGGGGAACCTGTGTAATAGTCAGTTTCAGGCTGCAGAGACAATATTCTAAAAGCTTTGCAGTTTGGCTCGAAACACTTGAAAGACTCTTAGTTCTAAACCGCTTTCCCATTCTAAATTCTAGGATGAGAACACAGATCTACCAATAGCAATTATATTCAGAGTGGCCTCAGAGTACCCACCAGTTTCTGGGCACTTGTTATGGGCCAAGCACAGTGGTAGGCACTGGGGGGTGTAAGACAAAACAGAACCTGATTCCCTACTCATTCCTTTAGCAAATGTTTGGCATCTCTGTGCCAGACACTGCTGCAGTCATTGTGGAGACAGCAGAGAGGCAAACAAGACCATGAAGCTCTGCTCTCATGGAGCATACATCCTAGTAAAAGGTGACAGAAAAACAAAGAAAAGAAATCAGATTGTAATAAGTACTGTGCTAAGAATTTTTTCCTTTCTCTCTCTCTCTTTTTTTTTTTTTTTTTGAGACAGTCTTGCTCTGTTGCCCAGGCTGGAGTACAGTGCAGTGATCTTGGCTCACCGCAGCCTCTGCCTCCTGGGTTCAAGTGATTCTCGTGCCTCAGCCTCCTGAGTAGCCGGGATTACAGGTGCATGCCCCTACACCTGGCAAATTTTTGCATTTTTAGTAAAGATAGGGGTTTCGCCATGTTGGCCAGGCTGGTCTTGAACTCCTGGCCTTAAGTGATCCACCTGCCTTGGTCTCCCAAAGTGCTGGGATTACAGGCATGAGCCACCATGTCCGGCTATGCAAAGAATTTAATTTAAACAAAGCTCCCTGAGTAAGTAGTAGTAGCTTGGTCTGAGACAGGGAGTCTGGTAAGGAGCCTGGGAACTCGGGAACTCAAGTTCTCTTTTCCCTCTTTTCTTTTAGAAGGCAAAAGTTCAGAGGCTTAAGATGAATTTTCAGCCACTCACTAATAAAACAAATACTACTGGACCCTATTATTCACCACTGGTGAACAACACAGATGTCAGGGATCCTGTGGTGTTTACATTTTAGTGCAAGCAGACAGACACTTTTATATAGAAAAATATCAGATAGTGGGAAGCACTAGAAAAAAATTAAAATAAAGTAACTTGACAGGAGTGACTGGGTAGCAACTTTTAGACTGATCGGTCTGAGGAGGCCTCTGTAAGGAGATAAAATTTAAACTGAGATCTGAATAGTAAGAAAGAATTAATCATATGAAGATTGGATGAAGCCTATTTCAGGGAAGAGGGAACTGCTAGACCAAAAGTCCCAGTACAGGAAAGAGCTTGGCATATTCAGAGAACAGAAGTTTAGGTGGCAGGATCTCATAATGTGTGTGTGTATGTGAGAGAGACAGAGAGACAAAGTAGGTGGTGAGGCCAGTTGTGCAGTAAAGTGCCAGAACAGACAGGACTCTGTAAACCAGAACAAGCACATGGGTTTTACTTGAGGTGTGATAGGCAGGGGTGTGTAAGCAGGATAATTACATGAATGGAGACACCTTGGAGGAAGACTACTATGGCTGTCAGTAGAAATGGAGAGACCAGTAAGAAGGAGATCTGTGTAGTCTCGGCAAGAGATAATGGTGGTTTAGACTTGAGTGGTAGTAGAGGTAGTAGCAGAAGTAGAGATGATACGATTTGCTGGGACTGGGTGTTAACAGTGGGGAAGATAGAAGAATTAAGGGAAACTCTTAGGTCTCTCACCTCAAGGAGCTTTCAATATAACTGAGAGACAAGGCAAGAGTACATTAAAGAAACAATTAAGCATTAAACGTGATACTGAATAAAGTTCTGAGAAAAGGATATCAATGCAAGCTGAAAGAAACAGGCTTCGCTGAAGGAGGACTCAAATTGGACTCTGACAGAGAAGTTAGAATTTTATACATAAAAACCAAGCAGGCATTCTTTCTAGGTTAGAAGGGTGAGGGTGGCATCGGGGGATAGGGAACACAGTATGAACAGGCTCAGGAGTACTTTCTTTTCATAGCACTTCTCAAAGTGACAATGATTTGTTTAGGTGGTTATTTGATTGAGGTTTCTCTCTTCCACAAGACTATAAGCTCCACATGATCAAGGACCATGTCTCTTTTACTTTCCACAATACCCGTGATACAAAGACTGGCATTTGTTGAATGAATGGCTGAGAATTAACACTCTGTGTCTGGGATGGACATTGAGAAGGCTAGTCTAAGCAGAGTAGAAGACAGAGGCCGGGGGGTAGGAGATAAGGCTAGATAAGTAGTGAATTTATTCTTTTCATCAGTAACTGGGTATAATAATAATAACAACAACAACTATTTAACAACTATCTTATAAGGATACGTGATGGTTTCAAAATATGTCTACAAATTCTTTGATAGTCTTCTTCCCTTCAAGAGGTGAAACCTACTTCCCCTTCCCTAGAGTGTAGCCTGACATAAGTAACTTGCTTCTACAGAAGAGAATAAAGTGGAAGTGACAACTGGCAACTTTAGAAATTAGGTCACAAAAGGTCCTATGCCTTCTTCTTTGCTCTCCTTGGATTAGTCACTCTGGGGAAGGGAGCTGCCATGCTGTGAGGACACTCGAGTAGCCCCAGAATGACAAGTCCATGTTGGGAGGAACTGAGGCCTCCTACCAAAAGCCATGTGAGTGAGGAACCTCCAGCCCCAGTCAGACCTCCAGGTTATAAAGACCCGGATGACATCTTAATTGCAACCTTAGAGATCTTGGCCAGAACCAGTCTGCTAAGCTGCTCCCAAATTCCTGACATATAGAAACCGTAAGATACTAAATGACTGTTGTTTTAGGCCACTAAGTTTTGGGGTAATTTGTAACCAAGGAACAGATGATCAATACAGGCTATGAGAATTAAATGAGACATATAATCAAAGCTCTTAGCATAGTACCTGGTACAGATGAAATATCAAATAAGTGACAGTTCTTTAATAGTGAAATTAATAAGCACTAAAACATGCAATTCTACATAAGGACTCCAGAATAACCAGACTAATCATCAACATTGTAACTCTGTTCATTTAAAAACAAGATGGGTGAGAAACCTCAGTCCACAGAGATACTCTCAGCAAACCATAAACTTCCTAAGAGAAGCAATTACATTAAGGAGGTTTTCACTCATGCCTTTAAAAAGATATGAATGATATCCAGGTTTGAAAAGGACATATAGAAACAGGCATTTTCATGCTCTGCTTATGGGAGTATAAATTAGAGAAGACTTGTAAGAAGTTTATCTAGGAATATCCATCAAAATTTGAAATGTTTATATTCTTTATTTTAGCAATTTCATGTCTAGAAATCTTATAAAATAGCTCATGTACATGATATATTTTTTAAAATAATTTTTCCTTATTTGTAACAGCAAAATACTAGAAACAATTTAAATGTATATCACTAAGAATGTGCATATATTCAGTGGAAAAGCAAGCTGCAGAACATATATTGAATGACCTTATTTATTTACAAACACACACGCATGTTAACCCATAGGCTAATTCATACTAAAAACTATTATGATTTTGTAAATAGAGAACTAGGAGGATGAAGCCCACATTACTGACTGGACACCTATGGGGGCATGAGAGAGAGAGAGAGAGAGAGAGTGAGTGAGTGTGTGTGTGTGTGTGTGTGTGTGCATGTGAGATGGGAACACAGAGATGGGAATTGAAGGAAAATTTTCATAGGATTTCTGTATGTGTTTTATAGTTTAAACCTTATATAAGAATCCACTCACAAATTACTTAAGAAATTTTTAAAAAGACAAAAGATGAGAAAGAAATACACACACAGGAAAAAGACGCCACATAACTTTGCAAAGGGTTTGATGGGTTTTCTTGGCTGACCCTTTCTTCCATGCCCTCACGGGGCTTTCTGAGACCACTGTAACATGCCCAATCATAAAATGCTAGGAAGGGTTCCTGCCCCAGGTATGTTTTCCTTAGTGCCCCAAAGTATGTACACAGTTGGTTCAAGATCAGTTTGAAGGGCAAGACTATAGTTATTCCTAATACTCTTATCAATTATGTAGTTACCTTTCAGCCACCTGAGGGGACAAACACCTTCCTCCACTGACAACTGGCCAGATCCTAAAGGAAGAAGCTGTTCTTTGGGTAAAAACTCTTCTTCCAGGTACTGAAAGTTCCAACCTCCTGAGGCTATGGCAGAGTGCATGGCTAATCAGAAGTATCTCGGGAATGGTAGTGGTCTCACAAAAAGCCAGTGTGACTGGTTGGCAGCTGCCGTTTCACCCAAAGTTAAGAAGCAGCTGAAAGCCAATGCCAGCAGGATCGAGTGAGGTGCTGCTGCACTTTTCTCTGTGCTGCAAACACTCTATGCCTAGTGTATCAGCTGCCTCACTGCAAAAGCATGCTCTGGAGAGCTGACCATTAACTTTCCAGGTACCAAACATCACTTAGGTCTTCTTACTCACTTATAAAACCTGGATCACCCACTGTTCCCTAGGACTTGGCTATTTAACCCATAAATTACAAAGCTGGATTCCGTCTTCTAGCATTTCTCTCTTCAGTAAAATAATGCCAACATCTGTGGAAAGCTATAGCAAAGCTTATATATGTAACTAAAATGGAGATGAGGCACCCTCCCATTACTTTCTCTGGAATTGCTCTGGCCTCTAACAGATGCATTCTAGAATGTCAGATCAGATTCAGGCATTAGAAAAGTCACACTTTGGAATTCAGAGTCTAAAAAGTTGAATTAAATAGAACCCATTAAGAAAAATCCATATTCCAGCCAAAAGATGAGTCATGACTTTTATGCATATTACATGACTTTTCATTAGAAAAATTAAAAATAGCTACAGTAGACCATTTGCTTAATACATCATTTTATACTATGAAGTTGGAAATGCTGCTTTTTTGCTTTGGGGTTGAAGTTAAGTGTCCTTTAAATAGTAAAGAAAAAGTTATTAAAACAGACAATCATCAATGATGAGTGATTATTAGTCCTAGCAGGGACTCAGCATCATATCCTTTCAGCTTTATCTACTGAGCACCTACTGAATCCTACAGGGGCTACCAAGATGTAACGCAGCATGGGAAGCTGGAAAGAAGAGAGGCTTCCAGGACTTGAATATTTTACTTTTAGTATTGCTACACAGCTGAGTGACTGTGGACAAGCTACTTAACTTCTTTGAACCTCAGTGTTCTTAACTGTAAAATGGAGAGAACACCTCCTACTTCATAGGACTGTAGAAGCCAAGAAAGGAGATCACATGTGCAGTGCACCTAATAATGGCTGGCACAAAGAAAGCATTTAATGAATGGCAGTTATCGTCAATACCATCATCGTTATCATCATCATTGCCATCGTTTTCTTTATCATCATGCTTAAGGCTTAGAGTACAGTGTACAACTTTCTAGTGCAATTAGAAGTATATGCAAATAAGCATCACATAAGGTATTTGGACTGAGTGCTAAAAGAGAGCTACACAGAGTACTATAGGAGAAGGGCACTCAAGGTCCTTCTTGATACGGCTCTTGCTGACTTACTTATCTCTGGCCTTTTTTACCAAACCATACTGTAGCTATAATGAGTGACTAAAATTCCCTGAACACACCATGTTTTCATTCATCTATACTTTTGCACATATAGTCAATTCTCATTATTAGTGGTAGTTATGTTCTAGAAAACTTGCAACAAAACATTCAATTAGTGAATATTGAACAACTGTTCCTTGGGGAAACACAGGTTAGGTTCCTGTGAGTCCTCTGCTCGTACTTTTTTTTTTTTTGAGACAGAGTCTTGCTCTTGTCGCCCAGGCTGGAGTGCAATGGCACGATCTCAGCTCACTGCAACCTCTGCCTCCCGGGTTCAAGTGATTCTCCTGCTTTAGCCTCCCAGGTAGCTGGGATTACAGGTGCTCGCCACCACGCCTGGCTAATTTTTGTATTTTTAGTAGAGACAAGGTTTCACCATGTTGGCCAGGCTGGTCTCGAACTCCTGACCTCGTGATCCACCCACCTCGGCCTCCCAAAGTGCTGGGATTATAGGCATAAGCCACTGTGCCCGGCCTGCTCAATTTTTTTAAACTGATCAATACAATACATAACCTTGTTGTATATGTATTTCTGTTTAAAGACATCTTATTTAATGCATATTGTTGACTCATTAGCATTGAACCCACAGCCAGCAGAACCATAACTCATGCCTGAAAGAAGCCTATCTAACACATGTATTTTTTCCATAGGGAACATCACAGTCTCCCTGCACTTTGGAACAATAGACAACACATTAGCACTATGGCTGAGGGACATTTTTGAACATGGAAATCACCAAAAACAGCACAAAAATATAAAAAATATGGCATTAAATATATTGTGAAAAAGACACTGTTTACAGTATGAGAGCTGAACCAAGAAGGCAGCATGTCACCTTGTTCAAACTCAGCTGTATATATGCATGCTGGGTGACTCAAATTCCTTGCTGCTCTGCATGTGTTGATGAATGACTGCAAAAGTGCCACAAGTATAGATTTTGAGATTACAAATAAATTTACCAAGTACAGAATTGATAAATTATGAGGATCAACTGCACTAATGTTCTACCTAAAATATTCTTCTCTCTTTCTGTAGAATTCAGCTGGCCAACTCCTATTTGCCCTTCAGGACTCAGTTCAAGATCTCTAGGAAATCTCACCTGGCTCCAATCTAGGTGAGATACATACTTAAAAATGCCCTCACAATACTCATTTGGACCTATTTCTTTTTGCTTATCAGGCTGCTTTACAACTGTTTACTTTTCTATTTCCTCCATCTGATTATAAGATCCTTGAGGGAACTGGGGGCAGTGGCTCACATGTGTAATCCCAGCACTTTGGGAGGCTAAGGTGGGAGGATCACTTGATTCCAGGAGTTTGCAACTAGCCTGGGAAATAGTGAGACCCTGTCTCTATAAAAAAGAAAAAAGAGAGAGAAAGAGAAAGAAAAAAAATTAGCCAGATATGGTGGTGCGTGCCTGTAGTCCCAGCTACTCCAGAGACTGAGGTGGGAGGATCACTCGAGCCTGGGAGGTCGAGGCTGCACAGTGAGCTGTGATTGCATCACTGCACCCCAGCCTGGGTGACACAGTGAGATTGTGTCTCAAAAAAAAAAAAAAAAAAAAAAGGTCAGAGAGCTTGTTTGCCCATTCTGTTCTGCCATGTGAGGACACAACAAGAAAGTGCCATGTATGAAATAATGAGCCTCCACCAGACACCAAATCTGCTGGTGCCTTATCTTGGACTTCCCAGCCCCTGTTGTTTTTAAGTTACGTAGTCTACGATATTTTGTTATAGCAGCCCGAATGGATTTAGACAGAATCCAAAGCCTAGCTCCATAAAAGCAGCTAGGTAATTGTTGAATAATGTCTTCAAGGAAGGAGACTCCCTATAACAGTCAAGAGGGAATGAGTATAAAACCAGAGGTTTCATGAATAAAACAGAAAAGTAAATTAGATTTCAACTACTAATTTAAAGCTTTTTCAAGGGAAGATTTGATTTTAACTTTTTTTTTTTTCAAACTAATGGCTTTTTTTTCAGATTATATTAACTTCAACTTACATTGTGATAAGAACAGTTCTCGTTAAGTGATATAATAACACTTCTTGTTTGAGCCAGTTTGAATTGCTTCTAAAACAACTGCCACTAAAAGCATCTTAAGTGACAGTTATGTTTAGATATGGAAACATAGTTAAATATTACTTTAATTTTTCTACCTACTTTGGTTTAGGACAGATGCCTCTGACTTCAACAGACCATCAGAGATGTGTAACATTAATTTTAGAAAACCACTCAGACAGAGAGTGCTGAGCTCCCTTAGGAAACAACACAAGTCTCTGCTTTCCCATCACCAATGCTCTGGGCCTGCGCTCATGGTGAAGTCCTCTGTTATCAGGCTGGCTTCATAAGTCAGTCCCAGCATCTTTGAAGGCATATTGATGCTGAAATGGAAAGGGTTTCACTGCAATCTCTTCCAGTTTCATAGATGAAGCCCTAGGACAGAAGCAAACTTTCCTATTTATAGCAGGTTCTTGAATAATATTTTGTCCAATGTCATTTGGTTATAACGTTGATGGGAAAAAAATCTGACTCCTGGCTGGGGCCACTGTCTGTTTGCATGTTCTCCTCATGTTGGCATGGGTTTTCTCCAGGTACTCCCACATCACAAAACTGTGCATGTTAGGTTAGCTGGCATGTGTAAACAGTCCCAGTCTGAGTGTGAGCGTGTGTATGAGTAAGCCCTGCGATGGGGGTGGCGTCCTGTCCAGGGCTGTTTCCTGCTTTGTACCCTAAGCAGGATAGGCTCTGGCCACTCATGACCCGATCCTGCGCTGAAATAAACGGATAAATATTTTACTTGCTTTTATTCATCTTTTGTAAATGTATGTATCGCTCACGTTTATTTCAATGTTGAATACTAGATGTGTTTTGGTCTTTATCTAGAAGTGTAGTGATTTTTTTTTGTGGCCAGAAATGTGCCCTAGGAATTTAACTTTTTTTTTCTTTTTTTTGAGACAGGGTCTTGCTCTGTTGCCCAGGCTAGAGTGCAGTGACACGATTACAGCTCACTGCAGCTTCAAACTCAAAGGCTCAAGCAATCCTCCTGCTGCAGACTCCTCAGTTACTGGGACTAAAGGTGTACGCCACCATGCCCGGCTAATTATTTTTATTTTTTTCTAGAGACAGGGTCTTGCTTTGTTGCCCAGGCTGATCTGGAACTCCTTGGATCAAGTGATTCTCCCACCTTGGCCTCCCAAAGTGTTGGGATTACAGGTGTGAGCCACCACACCTGACCTTAAGTCTTCTTTATATTAATTAGCCTATGATAAAACTGGTTTCATTATATGCCATTTACTTAAGTTTACAGTTTCCAAAAACCTATCAATGACATTGAGATTTACTGTATCTGCCTTCTCAGGTGCTTCTTGCATTAAAAATAATGGCAGGCTAAGAATAAAATGATTACTTTGTGTCTAGCTTCCTGGTTAAAGAGAACTCAGAAACCAACATATGTACCAAAGATTTGAAAATCTATGTGTTTTCTCCCACCATGTACCAATATCCCCTTTGACTCTTCCTATAATGTCAGTTTACAAGAACGAGATGAAAAATAGATAGCTGACTTTGCCTTTTCATGCTGAACGGTATCATCCTCCTCTCAGAATGGTAAACTGCATGGCTGGCTACCTATATGGAATCCCCAGTTTGCCCCAGGAGAGATGCTGATTATCTTTCAGTGCTTCAATGTGGTCTACTTTCACCTGATGTAATTTGCTGTGTGAATTTAGGCAAGGCCAATTTCTCCCATCCTTTTTGCAAAAAAGGGGTGAATACCTGCTTTTCTCTAATTACTTAGAGTCCAAAGGTAAAGGACAGAGGGTAAATACTAGACGGCTGTAACTCATGAATTATTTCATGAATAATTTTGAAAGATTAAATAGAACTGAATGGAAAGTGTCATAAGGCACCATACACATTAAGAGTGAGCTACTGTTTCAGAAACGTTTATGTCAGTTACAAATAGGTATGTATGCGTTTACTGGGTAATGATGTAAAACATTTTTTACTGCAGGTTCCAGGCAAAAGTTTGGAAGTCACTGCCCCACACTATTTATCATTGGTCTTAAGTGCTGAACTGCCCCACTCCTGGACCATTGCTGAAAGGTGTGGCTTCAGATACATTTGCAAGCACTTTCTTCTAGCACAGCACTCCTTGTCACTACTGGCTCATTCTGAACTTTGTGATTCTACTCTGAACAAGACAATACCTTCTCAGCCCCAAGAAAAATAATATCTATTTTTAAGCACTTTGCATGTGTGTCATTCATCTGGTACTTGACTTTTCTTTTCTACACATATACATTTCCTAACTAAATGGAAAAAGTAGGGATGGGGCTATAGTTACCCTGTGACAAATATGGTATCCTTATACATACAAGATGCTTGATCAACATCCTTAGAATAAGCCTTTATTCTCTGGCAGAGTCCCACTTCTGGAATCAATGCCTACTCAACTCTGGTCAATTTAGGGACTGGAAAAGTTTATGTTGTATTAGGCTTATTTGACTGACCAAGGTATTTAACCAACTCCATCACCCACTCCTAAGCTATTCTTAGAATGACTACTGTTGATGATTTCCAGATTTTGTAAACTCAAATGAAATAAGCTCTCATTAGCTAATAAAAATGGGTTATCTACTTTTCTTGGGGGTTAGATGACACTCCTTTTTTATCTGACACCTATTCTACTATGTAGGAAAGGGTGATTCAAGAAACTTCCAACTTTCTCTCAACTGCTGTATTTAGTAGAATTATTTTCTTTTGCAGAAAGGATTAACATTTTAAATATCTGGTAAATGCATAACTATTTTACCTGACTTTAACATGCTGGGATTACAGTATGCAAAACCCCATTTCAAAAAGTAAAACAAACTGAAATGAATTCCCTATACCTACAATTCTCTATATCCTATTCATACTAAACAACCAAACAAATATTCATAGCTTACACAGCAAAAATCAAACTTTTAGTACCTGCTTATTCATTTCTGTGATGTTTATCCAGACTTTGTTCAAACCCATCTCTCCAGATTCAATCTTCTCAAGTTGTTTTTGCTTGCTGAGTAGTTCTTCATTAAGTTTGGGGATTTCTTGGAATGAGCTTTTCTGATTAGATTCCACTAAAAAGACAAAATAAGAACAATCATAACTAGCATAAAGTGCCCTCATGGTCCTAAGATGAAAAAATCATCAAACAGTAGGAAAGAAGATGGATTAATAAAAGTTAATTCTGACATTGTTCTTTTATTTATGTAAATATATATCTTTCACACTAAAGCTCCCATTTTAACTGGGGCTATTTCACTGCTGGCAATGCAACTTTTAAAAGTTAGCCAACTAAAAATCATAACAGAATGTGAGCAGAAAGAGTTGGCTTTGAATCTCAATTTTGTGACTCACTATGATCTTGAGCAAATTACTCAAATTCTTAGAGCTCAGTTTCCTCATCTGTAATACAGCGATAAAATATACTTTCACAGGACTGTTAATATTAAGTGAGAGAATGGCTGCAAAGCACTTAAGACAGCTGGTCATAGATGATAAATGCTAAGTACTGACCAGCTCAATTAAGGAGCTTTTAGATTAGTCAATTAAGATTTATAAATCTACTCCATTAATGCCCAAGGTGAGATTATAAGTTATATTTCTAAATGCTTAAATCTTTTTCTACCTTAGTCAACTGCAAGGGGGAGGTTTTACCACCTTTCGAATGCTGTTACGAGGGCTAAGATTTTTAATCTTTTTCATAAGTAGTAAACAGTATTTTCTTAAGTCTTAAATCACCCCAAAACTCAAAATGAAATAGAAGATAAAAGAATATGCTAGGTGAAGTATAGTATGATATTTGGCCTTTCTTTTGGGAAACAATAGCTCCTGAATGGTTTAGGGATTTGCCAGCCTGAAGGCAGAGGCCTGAAACAATGCTTTCTCTTCTTTCTTTAAAGAGCATTTTCCCTTTTCATAGAAAATAAAATATTAATAATGGCTGGTCCTCCAGAATAAAACCTACATCCTTTTTTTTTTTTTAAAGCCACAGACCGCCTTAGTTATTATATGCTTCCTTAAAACTAAAAACTGGCATAAAAGACCCATATAAAATAACTTCCTAAAATGTAAGCTCCAAGACTATTTTGTTCATTTCTACATGGTCAGCTACATTTTGTTCATTTGTTCATGTGCTATTTTGTTCACTTCTACACTTAGAACACTCCTGACACATTAAAATGTTAATTAAAATTAAAATTTTAAGCACTCAATCAATATTTATCACCTGAATAAATATTTCACCTTTGCTTAACTTCCAATTACATTTCTCATCACTTTACCTACCTCTTCAACCTACTTGTGGCCAAGCTGATCTTCCTGACACACTAACCTTTGAAGCCTCATGACCCTTGCACATGCTATGGTTTTTGCCTAGATGCCCTTGGCTTGTCTCTTCTTTATTTCTACCACTTTGGCCTAGTTCATTCCTTCTAAGATTCAGCACCAACAGCCAGGACACTCGGACCACTGCACCTCTTTTCACTCCAAATTCTACCATGCACTTAACACGTGGTACTGTAACTTTACTCATCGGTCTCCTCTACCAAATGGTGAGATGCTTGAGGACAAAGACTAGATCTAACTTGGGTATGCATTTCCAGCAGCCAGCACAGAGCCAGGTACTCAGAAGGGTTCAAATGCTTGTTCTGTGAAATAATTGCAGGGTATGAAATGGAGTTAATGTTATACTATTAAGTTAAACAAAAAAAACCCTCAACAAATAACCCAGGCTGGGTGCGGTGGCTCACACCTGTAATCCTAGCACTTTGGGAGGCTGAGGTGGGTGGATCACCTGAGGTGAGGAGTTTGAGACCAGCCTGGTCAACATGGCAAAACCCTGTCTCTACTAAAAATACAAAAATTAGCCAGGCGTGGTGGGGCATGCCTGTAATCCCAGTTACTCGGGAGGCTGAGGAAGGAGAATCATTTGAACCTGGGAGGTGGAGGTTGTGTTGAGCCAAGATCTTGCCACCGCACTCCAGCCTGTGCGGCCGGAGCGAGACTCCATCTCAAAAACAAACAAACAAACAAACAAAACCAAATAAAAAACCCAAACACATTTAACAAGATCCCCCACAAAATGAGGAGTGATGGTGGTATCCTTATTTTAAGCAAGCTTACTACTGAAAATTCAGAATAATTAAAAGAAATGAGATATATTTATTCATTTTCCAAAAATGTTTGCCAAAGGGCTTCATTATAATGACAGACTTCCTACATGCTTTAAAATTAAAAAAAAATTGATATATGGTAATTGTACATATTTACAGGGTACACAGCAATGTTTCCATACATGTAATGTATAGTGATCAGAGTAATTAGCATATCCATCATCTCAAACATTTATCATTTCTTTGTGTCGGGAATATTTGATATCCTCCTTATAGCTATTTGGAACTATCTAGTGTTAACTCTAGTCATGCTACAGTGGTACATAACACTAGAACTTTCTCCTCCTATCTAGCTGTAATTTTTCATCCTTTAACCAATCTCTCCCTATCCCTTCTTCCCCTATTCTTCTCAGTCTCTAGTATCCTCTGTTGTATTTTTTACTTCTATAGAATCAGATTTTTTTGAAATATATTTTTATTTTGTTTAGACATGAGATCTCTGTTACCTAGGCTGGAAGGCAGTGGCATGATCATAGCTCACTGCAGCTTCAAACTCCTGGGCTCAGGCGATCCTTCTGCCTCAGCCTCCTGAGTAGCTGGGACTACAAGCTTGTGCCACCACGCCCAGCTATTTTTAATTTTTTTAGAGATGGTGTCTTGCTATGCTTCCCTGGGCTGGTCTCAAACCCCTGGGCTCAAGTGATCCTTCTGCCTCAGCCTCCTTAGTTGTTGGGATTACAGGCGTGAGTTACCATACCCAGTGAGATAAACTTTTCTTATCTTCCACATATGAGTGAGAACATGCAGTGTTTAACTTTCCGTTCCCAGCTCATTTCACTTAACAACGTCCTTCAGTTCCATCCATATTGCTGAGAATGACAGGATTTCACTCTTTTTATGGCTGAATAGTATTCTACTGTGTATATATACTACATTTTCTTCATCCATCTGCTGTTGGACACCTAGGTTGATTCCATATATTGGCTATTGTGAATAATGCTATAATAAACATGGGGGTGTGGATGTTTCTTCCACATACTGATTTCCTTTTGCCCAGTAGTTCCCAGCAGGTGCTTTTAATGTAGCACTTGATTTACACATGGTTTACAGGAATCTATCTATCTCATACAGTAGAAACATTTTACCAGCCAGTCTAAATTCATTTCACTGAATTTCCTATACATTTTCAGTTAGGTTATAAAGAAAAACTCATCCAACAAACATCTGCCATACTCAGGTACCCCGAAGGGGCAAGGGGCGAAGTCTCTCTTTCCTGCAGTCTATACGCATGAACTAGGAGGTAGGAGTGGAAGAGGAAATAGACAAATACATAAATAACCTGGGTTACAATTATTAACTAAGAAACACATAAAGCTGACCAGCCCTGAAAATATTCTGGATCCTGAGGACTCTATGAGCCAAGAGGGGATCACAATGATTATCTGGTTTGGAGCTTTTTAGGAGAGACAAGTCAAGTAGAGGTACTTTTATTACATAAATGGGAGGAAGTGTAGCAAACAAACAACTTCTGATTACTAATTCATGTTTTTCCAACAAAGGAAGCAAACAACTTAAAATTTTGTATGTTAATGCTCAAAAGAATTTACCTAGTTCTTTTGATTTCCTAATCTTTAAGATGAGGAAATGGAAAAATGTAAACATATACCACTCAAATAGTAAACATATTGCTGACAGCAATATTTTATATTTATACAATGTCTTTCCAGTTTGCAATAAACTTTTATGTATTAATTATTCAACAACTTGTTATTAAGCCCCCACCATGTGTCCATCCCTGCACCGGCACTAGTATATACAAAAGACCCTGAAGCTCTTAGTCTAGTGGGGAGCCAGGCACGGTCACAGAATTACTATACAGTGTGACCGATGTTATGACAGAGGAATGCCCAAAGTGCTTTGGTAGCACAAATACATCTTTATGTTTTATAGATGAGAAAGTGAAGGCCCAGAAAGAATAAGTGACTTGTCTAAGTTTTACAGCTAGTTTTGCAAAGCCAGAATTCAAAAAGTCAAACCTTCTGCTCCTAGGACCAGTACTTTTTCTAGTATACTTTAGAGGTCACAGATACCTATATTCCCTAATGCCCTCGTTAGCACAAGACCATCTTTAACTTCTGTGCTAAATGACCAAGTCACTACTTTGTCTGTATGGCCAGAAAAGGAGGTGCCTGATTTATTTATACTTTTCCAAATTTCTTTTCATTTACTCAAGTCTTTCATAGTGGAGTGACAGAAAAGGATGGTTGAGAATAGAATCTTCCTTAGAATAACTGTGGAGGTTTTTTGAAGTATCTGGTTTTGGAAAAAAGAATACTGAGCTAAGAGTTTCAGGGCCAGTCAGTACTTTTAGCTTAAGGATCAAGTTTCTCTTTGACGAGAAAAAAAAAAGAAAAAAAAAGGCCAAGCCTATCTGCTTTGCTTTCTATTTCAGGTATTTTAGCAATCCTTCCTTTCCTTGCAAGTGTCTTGGAAAATTTATAGAAATAAAATCAAGAAGTTCTGGATTTCTCAAAAAGGTATTAAAGCCAGACAAGCAGGTGGTCTTATCCAAGTTCGTGAATCCCACTGTCTTCTTGAAAAACAAGAAAAAAAAATTAACCTTAAAAAATATATTTAGGCAGGGCGTGGTGGCTCAGGCCTGTAATCCCAGCACTTTGGGAGGCCGAGAAGAGTGAATTACCTGAGGTCAGGAGTTCGAGACCAGCCTGGCCAACAAGGTGAAACCCTGTCTCTACTAAAAAAAAATACAAAAAATTAGCTGCATGTGGTGGCATGCGCCTGTAATTCCCAGCTACTCAGGAGGCTGTGGTAGGAGAATCACTTGAACCTGGGAGTTAGAGGTTGCAGTGAGCCGAGATCATGCCATTGCACTCCAGCCTTGGTAACAAGAGCAAAACTCCATCTCAAAAACAACCAACCAACCAACCAAAAAAAAAAAATTTTTTTTTTAAAGTAGAAGCATAATTCAAAGAAAGATTATTTAAACCTAACAAGATTGGTTCCATTTAGTCAAGATATTGGTTCTCACAAAATAACTCCTAAGTAGTCTATGATGGTTTAGCCTATGGACTGACTACACCCCATTCCCTACCCTCCCTCAGGAAGTCCTGCTTTGCAATGTCAGGAAGACATTGCAGGTGCTGGCATTTCTATTGTAGCGAATCAAAGCCAACAAAACAGCTGGACTGACAATTCCAAATCTGCTTCATTCAGCTGGCTGACAAATGTAGTTAGGGTCCCAGGGGAATGTGGCTCAATGGTAGAAAGCAGGGTCCGCAGTCCAGGGTATAATTCTTGACATCTCCTGAAGACAATATAGTATTTCCAGGGATTGGTATTAACAAGTGTTCAATAAATATTTGTTGACTGATTGCCAGGTCTATTATATGTACAAGTACTACATTTTTAAAATGTAGTACTTTATTTGCATTCCCAAAGAAATTACCTGAAAAGCTCAGCTAAGCTATAAATTACATAAGTATCCTGTAAACACAGGTACAGAGCAGTCAGAAAAAGGAATCCCTGGATAGGTGAATTGAGCAATGTTTTGAAATATATAAATAAATAATTGCTATATGTGATCAAAACAAGCTACAGCACAAGCCTATAGCTGAACTACAAGCCTAACTAACTACAGGGCTGTAGTTAGGAGACCCAATTAACTACAGAGAGATGACGGCACAGACAGGTGTCTTCAGTGGTTACTTATGGTTGAACACTGTTTCTGAGAACCTAATTTCCAAGTTATGCTTACTACTTACAAAGGAAAAATTGGCCTCAGAGACACTGTACAATACTGCAAGGACAACTATAAAGGAGGAAAAATAAATATGGGGTATATATCTCATTGTTTCTTATATCATACTCTAAAAATTGGTAATCCAGGTTAGGATTCTGGCAGAGAATTGTGGCATACTGAATCCCCAGCCCCAGAATCAGAAACTCAGAAGAAAACCAAAGTCAGTATTTTTTTTTTAAGCAACATCACTAGAAACATCATTAACACACTAAAAATTAGCTGTTCTTAGGCTGGGTTCAAAACTTGAGTAACTGTAGGCAGCCAAGAGAAGTTGGGATATTGCAATCTTCTAGGCTTCAGATGGGAAAGTGAGGATACTGTAATCTAGGCTTAAGATCGAAAGTAAGAACTTTAATTCCAGTTCTGGAGCCAGATTTCTTTATGACCTTGAGAAAGCCTTGTGGTCAGTTTCCTGGTGTGCTCATGCTATTAAGGTTAGGGTATTTGTGATTAAGTTGAAACTGGTTCCTTTGCTTAGAAGATTAACCCTTAAACCTAGAGCCAAAAGTTTCAGTGTTGCTAAAAAAAAAAAAAAAAAAAATTCTATGTTAAATTCGGTCAAAGCTATTATGCAAACATACCTTTTGGAAAAAGTAATTTGGGCCGAGCACAATGGCTCAAAGTTGTAATTCCAGCACTTCGGGAGGCTGAGGCAGGCAGATCACTTGAGCCCAGGAGTTCGAGACCAGTCTGGGCAACATAGCAAAACCCTGTCTTTTACAAACATACAAAAATTAGCAGAGGGTGGCGCGTGCCTGTAGTTTCAGCTATTGGGATTGGGGGTGTGGGGTGCTGACACGGGAAGACTGCTTGAGCCCATGAAGTCAAGGCTGCAACGAGCCAGATGCCACTGCACTCCAGCTTGGGTGACAGAGCAAGCAAGACCTTATCTCAAAAAAAAAAAAAAACAAGAAAGAAAAAGAAATGAAAAAGTAATTTGGATGTGTAAAATATAACTTTACAATTTAGAATATACAAAACTCTGTGACTTCAAAACCTCCTTAAACTTTAAAACTCACTCATGAGATAAACATTTCTGACAGTTGCACAGTGTTCAAAGTAGGTATGGTTGTTGTAAGCCCTTCACGAGTATGTAACTTAGTTCAAGTTTCCTAAAACTTTAAAATGATAACACTCATTAATGGTATTTAAATGTTTTTTTCTTGAAAGAGATCGTGTTACTAGTATAAGCACAGCTAAGGAGAGAAATCTATCAGTCCTTGCTCTAAGCTTGAAAACTGATAAGTATGCAGAAAACCAGTTCTTCCTGTTTCTTCTACTAAACTTCTTTTAGATTACTGACCAAGTTGATATCAAAGAGATCTGTAGGCACTTGAAGAAATGTGCATAGGCTTACAAGGCCACCAGGAACAGTGGTGCAGACAGTAGTGTTATAAATGTGAATTTGGGCAGCAAGGGGCAAGAGGACGCTCAGCTCTGTCATACTTAATCACTGAACAAATTACTTAATCCTTCTAAGAGCACAAAATAATAAAAATAATACCCATCTCACCGGATTATTTTGTAAAGAAAATGATTTGAGACTTGGCACAGAGTAGGCCTTCCACAAATGTTAGCTACTCTTATTATTGCCCATTCCTATGCTCCTATTCAGTCCTTCTAAAGAGGCAATCGTTTGACAGATGCTCCCACATTCTTTCTCAAATGGCCCTGTGAGGTGGAAGGAATAGCCCAGTGTTGTCATTGCCACTTTATGCTTGGGGAGATGCAAGCCATAAGTAGAGGTTACACCAAGTTCTAGACTCCTACCCCTAGGGTAGGAGTCTCTTGCCTTTTGCACGCTAAGCATTGACTGCAATGCCATTATTTCAGATGCTACTTGTCCTGCTGGTGCATAAGCACTGCCTTTTATTTGTGAGTTTAAAAACAAATAAGTGTTACAACATTCAAGCAGAGAGCTCAAAAAGAGTATAAAAATACTGAGAGGAACGTATAATTGCTTCACTAGAATGGGCAAAAATCTTCGTTCAGCAGGGTTGACTTTGTCCCAGAACCTGGAAAGGAGTCCAGGATTACACCCTGAAAAGAGTGACCACTGCTGGGTGTGGTGGCTCACGCCTGTAATCCTGGCACTTTGGGAGGCCGAGGTAGGTGGACCACCTGAGGTCAGTAGTTTGAGACCAGCCTGGCCAACATGGTGAAACCCCGTCTCTACTAAAAAGACAAAAAAATTAGCTGGGTGTGGTGGCACACACCTGTAATCCCAGTTACTCAGAAGGCTGACCATGAGAATCACTTGAACCTGGGTGGCGGATGTTGCAGTGAGCCGAGATTGCGCCACTGTACTCCAGCCTAGGCGACAGAGCAAGACCCTGTCTCAAAAAAAAAAAAAAAAAAAAAAAAAAGAGAGTAACCACTTACTTACTTGTTCGAAATTTTTCCTTGAGGGCATCCAGATCCTCCTTGAGAGCAACCTGCATCCACACCAAGCCAACACAGGCCACAACACAGGCAGCAAGGATGACAAAACCACAGAGCGGATAACAGATCTTGCAGCATCGTAAATAGTCTCCCCTGCTCAAGAGGACAAATTCAACCATGAGTACAAAAGTGATTATGGGTATAGCTTTATTAGCAATAGTACACGTTTTGCCATGCAATTATCTCCTTTAAATGAATAACCAGTGAATTAACCAGGGGAGGCAGGGTAAAGCACTTAAATGAATAAATAATATGACCTATTAAGGGTTCATCTACTGGATACAAAGGTTTCAAATGTCACATAAAACAGAAGGAGTTCCTGCAGGTAAAAGGAAGAACCTAAAGGCACTGCAGCTGTCATTATCAGGAGGGAGGTCTTTGAATACAAGCTCAGGTCACAAAAGTGTAAAGACCAATGTTTCTCTGCAATTCCATCTCTGCACTGGAATTTGCCTATTGATTTCTCTCTGAAATACATACTCACTCCGGGGAACCTTGCTCCAGTTTACTGAAACTTTATAAACTTTTGAGCAAGTTTTACTGCAAAAGAAATGAAAGAAACAGGATCTGTAGTTTTAAGTGGACACCTGGTGTATTCTAGCTTATTGGCTCAGAAGTAAGGAAACATAGAAGGGGCTGGATTTCACACAAAACATCAACCAACCTTCAAGGTCTAAACTAACTTAGTAGGGTTACTACTCCAGGTACCTTCTGATGAAGGTAACACTTCAACTGATCTTCATAACCCAAACCCAGGATTGCCCTTAACAGCCTTAGCTGACAAAGCTCATTAGAAATCAAACTCTTCCTTTAACAAAACAAGACATTTTAAACCAACCAACCACTCAATGTCAGCACCCCGACCTTCTGCCTAGCCATTGTTTCTACATCCTCAGCAGAATCCTCTTTTCTTTTAGTGTGCTCTGAGAGAGTCAAAGGACGTTTTTGAAGTTCCCTTTAGTCCTTTCCCATCCTGAGCCCCAATCCCAATGTCCTCAAATCTTACTACTTGATTTGCCTAGTGGTCTCTCCACCTATGAATGGCTAGGGAAAATGATGCCTCTTCTTTTGCCCCCCGACCCCACCTACTCTCAAGGCTCATACTTCCTACAGTATATCTCTCACCATATTTCCCCACCACCAATATTCAGACTCATCAAGAGTGCAAAAACGAAATAATCTGCAGTCTTAAAGTCTCTGCTTCTCCTTTGTTCTACACTGTTTTAAAAAGTCTAGTCCCCAAAGCTTCTCTGCTCCTCTGTCTCCATTCTTTGCTTCTTTAGGACTCCCTGGGCTCTTGGCACATTCTCCAAGTCCACATTTCCACCTCAGATTTGGAGCTTTTCTTTCTACACCTAAAGACAGATCTCTAACTTATTCTTCATTCAGGATCTGAACTTACCTTCTCCCTAAAACCGTTTTTCCCTCTTTGACTTCCAAGGCCTACACCCTTTTTTCTTCCTAAGGACTTCCTTTCTCCTTCCTGTCAATGTGGCCCCTTGGTAGTGCAAGGAGATGCCTTCTTCCCATTCCACCTTTCACCACTACTCACTTGGCAAAGCGAGAGCGATTTCCAACCACACCGAATTCCTCTTCCTCTTCGGAGCTGGACTCAGAGTCTGAGTCGGGAGGCTCAGTGCGAAGCAGGCGGTGACTGCTTGGGCCTTTCTTGGGCTTCTTTCTCCGGCTGTCCCCAGCCAAACCAATCAATGCATTGAGCTCTTTGCGCTTTTTCATCTTTTTGTGTGGGGTGAGTGGAGCCCCGACTCCTGAGCTGCCAGGTTCGTACCCGATGCCCAATTCTCTTCCTGCCTTGGAGCTGCCTTCCAGGGTTGGGAATCCTGGGCCAGAGCCCCCTGGTCACTCCCACCTAGGGGTGGGACTGACCAGATCCGCCAGGGACTGGAGATTGGAGCCCAGAGGAAACTGGAACTCAGATGGGTGGGGGAAATCACATAGAAATGGCCAAGGAGCTGGTGACCCCAAAGGATAAGGCCTTGGGTGCAGAGTGTTAGTAGAGGGTGGAGAGGGACCTTTATCTCCCAAAGGGCGAAAAAAAAGCCAGGTCAAAAATGAAGGATTCTCAGCCCGGATAAGTAGGCAATACTTCTAAGGGTGCTCCAGGAGGTGAGGAAGGGCACGCTTAAAATACGTGTTTCGGACCTCCGGAGCAAGATTTCCAATGGAGAGGGAAGAGAAACTCGTTCTTGAATGGGAAGAGAGTGGGGAGGTGCAGAGTAAGAAAGTGGGAACGCGTCAGTCCCTTCCTTGCAGGAGAGGTGGCGGCAGGAGGGGGCTCCCAGCAGCTACAATCCCAACACTGCTTGGCCGCAGAGAAAATGCCCTGGCCAGGAAGCCGGCTGGGGTGTGTGATGATCACCGTTCTCCGGCCTCCGTCCTGAACGTGAAGGGGGCCCGAGGCCGAGGAAGATCCGGAGCCCGGCTAGAAGGGTCGGCCTGAGAGAAGCCAGTCCCGCGCCTGATAGACCCCCGCCCCGCTGTCTGGGCCTTGGGGACACGGTGCCGCGGGCGACGGCGGCTCGGCCGACCGAAAGCGCTCCCGCCCGGAGTTTGAGGTCTCCGGCACGGGCAACTCTCGGCCACTCACACGCGCAGGCCCCACTCCAGCCGCGACTCCGGCCCCTGCTCCGGCTTCGGCCGCGGCTGCTCCCGACACGTTGTTGTTGGCGTTGGTGGCGGCGGCTGCGGCGGCGGCGGCCGCGAGCTCCAGCCCCGGGCCATCGCTCCAGCCCCAGATCACTTCCCCTTTGGCAGCGGCCGCCTGCGCCGCCTGCCAGTAAGCCGCACTCCCATTGGTCGCCCGCTGGGGTGACGTCACGCCGGGGCGAAAGTCGTGGCGGAGAGGTGGGGCGTTAAAGGGGCCCTGCCCCGGCTGGGGCTGGGTCCCACCTGCCGATTAGGGTGGCCCCGCCCCCAGGAGGGCTTCCGGGACCTGCTGCGAACCTGAGCCGGGTGGAGTCCTGCATCCTGCGGAGCGCGGGCGGGGCAGGCAAAGCGCCCGGCTGCTCGACCTACTTCGAAAGTTCATCAGCCGCCCACGCCCCCTGGACTAACCAAGTCTGAAGGCTCCGCCTCTCTGACTCTCACACAGGCTGTTAAAAGTTTAGGCGCGTTTCAGATTAATTAACACATTCATTCAGTCAATAAATATTTATTGAGAGCTTACTTACTACGTGTCAGGAGCTGTTCTAGCGCTGGGGATACAGCCATGAACAAAATAACCAGGGTCCTTGTCTTCCTGTATAGTGTTGCCAGATTTAGCAAATAAAAATGTAGGACACCCAGTAAAGTTTGAATTTCAGAGAAACAGCAAACAATTTTTTAGCATTAAGACATCCCATGCAACATCTGGGACATCCTCACACTAAAAAATTATTCATTGTGTATGTGAAATGCAAGTTTAACTGAGCATCGTGTATCTTATCTGCCAATCTATTCCTGCAGTTTATTTATACTCTAGAGGGAGGAGAGCAACAATAGGCAAACATATTAAATGTCAGGAGGTGATAAGTGTTATGATGAAAATTGAAACACGGTCAGGTGATGGGGAGTGCCTCTGTGAAAAGGGAACATTTAGTCAGCTTATCGGAGGAGAGGTGAGGGAATGAGCTGTGCAGTGGCTGCAGGAAGGAGTGACCAGGAAGACCTGTTGTGGCTGGACCAGAAGAGCAAGGAGCAGAGTGATAGGAAATGAGGTCAGAGAAGCATCAGAGGCCAGGGCTTTAGGGCCTTATGGATCACTGAAAGGACTTTGGGAAAGCACTGGGGGCTTTAAGCTGAGAGGTAGCATACTCTGGCTTTTCCGTAAAAAAAAAAAAAAAAAAAAAAATTCACTCTGGGCCAGCGCGATGGCTCACGCCTGTAATCCCAGCATTTTGGGAGGCTGAGGTGGGCGGATCACAAGGTCAGGAGATGGAGACCATCCTGGCCAATATGGTGAAACCTTGTCTCTATTAAAAATACAAAAATTACCTGGGCGTGGTGGTGCGCGCTTGTAATCCCAGCTACTTGGGAGGCTGAGGCAAGAGAATGGCTTGAAACCGGGAGGCGGAGGTTGCAACAAGCCGAGATTGCACCACTGCACTTCAGTCTGGCAACAGAGCGAGACTCCGTCTCAAAAATAAATAAATAAATAAATAAATAAATAAATAAATAAATAAATAAATAAATAAAATAAAATAAAATAAAGGAAAAAATTACTCTGGCTACTTTGTAGAAAAAAGTGGGGGGAGAGTGAGGAACACAGGAGAGCAGTTTGTTACAGTCCAGCTAGAGATGATGCTGATAGATTAGAGAGGCAGTAGCAGAGATGGAGAGCATTCTGGATGTTTCTTGAAGACAGAGCTGACAATTTTTGCTGATAGATTAGATGAAAGGTGTGAAGAGAAGAGAGGGTTTGGCGGTGGAAACACTGGAAGCAAGGAATTGTTATTTATTGAGATGGGGTAGAGCAAGTTTGGGACAAGTTTGACAAGCCAATTCAATATTCAAATGGAGGCTGTTTGGTATACCCATTGAGAGTTCTCTGGGCACAGGTTGGGGCCTGAAATATCAATTGGGAAGTCATCAGATATAAATGGAATTTAAAGCAAAGTGCTTTGAGCTACTTGGAAGAAAGTCACTTAAAGTAATTTTTATGCCCATATTCTTACTGTGGCAATTACGCTGCTTTTGTCCAAGGATTCTCGCAAAGCCTGGGCCTGTATCTGATTTGTTTTTAAGTGTCTAGCCCAGAAGTGTACTCCTAAATAACGATGACCCAATAAATATGTGATGACTACATAAGTGGGCAGTGTTGCAAAGAGGTATGAGTGGACTTTTGGAATCAAAATCAAGAAACCTGGGACTCAATCATGTCTCTACTTCTTCCTGGCTCCATCAGCATGGAAGCCGTTTAGTTTCTCTGAGCTTCAGTTTTCTCCTCTGTAAAATGGGGATAAACACCTATTTCACAGGACAATGAGATGAATGTGAAAGTGTTTTTGAAGCCCCAAGTCATGGTGTATTGTCCCCTTTTGTTTCTAGAGCTTCATTGCCCAATACAGTAGCCAAACTGGCCACATATAACAATTTAAATCTACATTTAACATAATTAAAACAAAATACAAATTTTAAATTGGTTCTTCAGTATCATTGGCCACAGTGTCCAGTAGCCATATGTGGCAAGTGGCTACCAGGCAGCAAGTAATAGTACAATTCCACCACCACAGAAAGTTTTACTGGAGAGTTCTTCACTAATGCTTCCCTGAAGGACTGGGGATAGACAGGTGAGGCTCCTGACTTCAAGAACCATTTCTGAAACACATCCTGTGGTCACCAGAAGCCCCAGGCAGGAGAGGTGGCTGGCCCGAGGGTGGGGTGGCCCTCCTTTGTTGTAGATGATACAGGTTCCCAGGGAACCAGGGACTGAGGAACCCAGGGGAGTGGGGCAGGGCTGAGGACATACCACCCCCGCTGCAGGGACTTCTGGTCAGCCAGAGCCTGTGCTCTCTGTGGGTGGAGATCTCTCCCATGACTGGCCAGTGGGCTGGTCATGGGTGGGGAGGCTGCAGGAGTAGAATTGACAAACAGGGGAATGCTTCTGCTGGATCTGCCTCTCAGTCCTTCTGTCTGCCTGTTTGCTTATGATCTGTAGATAACACCCCTCCTTGTTGGGTAGACATCACACAGGATGCTGTCACCCTTTGAAAGTTACTGGCCAGCTGTTTCTTTTCCTTCAGGAGCTCTTGGATACCTCTCTGGCCTCCTTCCTCAGACCCGGGACCCTCAAGGCCAGGGATTAAGCCACCCCACTCAGAGTGGGGCCTCCTGCTGCCCTCCCACACCAGGACTCCCAAGGTTGTGATCCATCTTCTCCTTTGGGGTTGTTCATATTATGATCCTGGGGAGTCTGTTAACCTACTCAAAACTTGCCTGAAATGCAGTGAGTTTGGGGAAGTCACTTTAGAGTTCTGGCGCTTCAAAGTTTCTGTCTGTGATATGGGGATGATAATATTCCTAGCCCAGTCTTCTGCTTCATGTTGTTTGGGGCAGGGAGTAGCATGGGCGTGCTTTACATGCTGTGAAGTGTCATGCAGAGTGGGTACATGTCTGCTGAATGCTTCTGGCAACTCTATGGGGAAGGTAGGCAAAGATGATTTCCCTGTGCTCAAAATCACAGCCCATATAACTGGCAAAGCCAAATCTTGAGACCCTGTGCTACTTTGGAAGACTCCATAGAGTGCTTTCACTTGGGCAAGCTGAGGCACAGAGTAGGGGCAAACTTGCCAAGGTCATAGTCAAAAATTGGATCCAGCTCTCCTAATTCCTGGGCTGAAAGCTCTTTAAGATCTTGGAGTCCTCTCTTACCTGGGATCTAAGTCTGTGTCTGAACATTGCCACTTGGCAGCTGTGTGATCCTGGACAAAGTACTGAGCCTCTCTGAGCCTCAGTGTCCACTATGATTGCCACCTCAGTGAAATAGAGGCAATCATAGTACCCAGGACTGGCTACATAATTTATGAGGACCAGTGCAAATGCAAATGCAGGGTTCCTTTTCTCTCTCTGCTGTCTCTCTCAACCTGTCTTCCTGTTTATTATTCACTATTTAATGTTGTATTCCCTTAGGCCTGGTGATACAAGGTGAGTGTAGACCCTCACATGAGACAGGCAAGAGGCCTGTTTCATGACTTGGCATGCAAACTCTCTCTTCCTCTCCCTGTGCCGACACCCAGGCCCCTGCCTGGGATGGAGTTGTGGTGGCAATAGGGATGTGGGGTGTTTAGGGGAACAGACAGCTGAGAACCCATCTCAGGGAGGAGGAGGTGGGGAGGTGACAGGAGGCAGGACCGTGTATGAACCAAGGCTCCAAATAACCAGTGTGTGCTCCACTGCTCCACCCAACTTTTCTTATAAGACACAAATTAAAAGATAGAATGATTAAGAATTTCAAGGTGGTGACCACAGGAAATTAAACCCCAAGTGCATGGCACCCTTCTGAGTGGGGGGCCCTGTGCAGCTACTCTGGTCATACACCCATGAAATTAACCCTGGAGTACTTAACTCACAGAGTATCTGTGCAGAAGTGATGTGTCTGACACATAGTAAGTACTCAATAAATGTCAGCTGTTCCATTAATGTGATTATAAATTACTAAATGGGATTTATTATAGATTTGTTCAATGTGATTTTTCAGATAACCCAGTTGTGGGAAAACATCTTCATTTACTGAAGAGAAAGCACTGCTTCCACTTGTCACAAGAGTCCTCTTTGACATAATCTTTTTTGATACTTTGCTATGGCTGAGGTGGGGGGAAGGAACAGAAATGAACATTTAAAAATATTTAGGTATCATGCATTTTTGTGTTACTCCTCAATGCAATAAGTCATTCTTCACTAAGCAAGCATCTTATTCTTCCTCTAACCAAGAAGGAAATTGTTGCTCAGAGATCAAAAGAGACTTGCCCAGGGACACACAGTATGTCAGCGGCAGATACTGGGGCTTGAATCTGGATCTCTCTGCCTCTGAAGCCTGAGTTCTGCACCCAGTGCCCAGTGCCATGCTGGCAGAGCCTGCTGCCTGGGGTCTTTGTCAGCAGCTCTTCTGAAAGGGACCACCAGCTGAAGCCTCTCAACTTTCCTGGGATCTACTTCTCCCAGCCCCTTCCCATTCTTTTTGCTGCTGTGCCGGCAGCTGCATCCTGTACCCTGATGAGGGGCCTGAGGACAATGGGAAGGGGAAGGATTGGGTGGTAGGAAAGGCGCCAAGCACCAAGCTAAACAATGGCTTCTCTGCCGGTGGGGCCCAAACAGCCGGAAGCAGCAACTGGTTCACAGCATTATTGTGGGCAGGGGTGAGGACTGCCCCTCCTGAGATTCTCCTTCTATTCCAGGCACATCCTCTTCTGAATTGCTGCAAACTTTTGTGTCTCTGCCAAGTAGTGGTCTCAGTTTCCCCATTTATGTGTCTTTAGCATCCAAAACAGGGCCTAGTGCTCGGGAAGGGATGGGAATCTTCTGGGCCCGTTTGCTGAATTAAAAGATGAGACGCTAAAGACTCTAAAGAGTTCCCAGGCATTGCCCTTCATCTTGATGATCCTATTTATCCATCCATCCATCCATCAAACCCACCCTGGGTGAGCCCCTACTGTGTGTGAGGTCCTGGAGAACATCAGTAATAGTCAGGTTCTGCCCTACAAGAGTTCCCAGGAAGCAGGCGATGCTGTCTCCCCCTATGCCCCATGCCCCCCACCCTGTAAATGTCATAGAAAGGTTTATAGTGGGGGTGGGGTGGGGGGAGGAGAAGCAAGCCTGGAGTAACTAGCTTTATTTTAGGGTGATAATAAAAATCCTGGGAGTAAAGAATCTGTACTGTGACCTCCCACCCTCCTGCCCATGCCTCCACTCCTGTCCCTTTCCCTGGGGCTTGAGCTGGAGTGGAGGCTGCAGCTGGCTATGGAGGGAGCCCAAGGCCAGCACCCCTGGGTTTGAATCTGAGCCTCTCCACTCACTAGCTGTGTGACCTTAGACCAGTTCCTTTTCCTCTCTGAGTCTGTTCCTCACCTGCAAATTGGACCTAACAGTGCTGACCTCCTGGCAGTTCCTGTGGTAAGAATGAAATTTAAATGGTGAACGTTAAAAGCCTTCAGGGGAATTGCTAAGTGCACTGAGTGGACAGGGAGGCTGGGAATGGAACCTCTGAGGAATCCATTTGACCTAGAAAGCCTAAACAGCACAGGCTGGGAGAGAAGGTGATTGCATCATGAAGGCAGGGCTCTTCTGACTGAGGAGGGGTCTGTGTGCATGTGTGTGTGTGTGCACGTGGACCTGTGCTCCTACTATCAAGGCTGGGTGTTTGTGGATGGAATACACAGTAGGACATGCTGAGTCAGCAAGGCCGTGTGAGAGACCCCCTAGAGAAGGCTGCCTGGGCCCTCCTGAGTTCTCTTCTGAGGGAATAACACTGGCTCTGTGTTTCTAAGTCTAGCTGCAGCTCCAGTTCCATCTGCTACCAGCCCCTCTCTACTTAAGACTGGCACTACGGAGGTGAAAAGAGAGGCACAGCTTTGTGCTGCCCTCTGCTGGTTTCTTGGACACTGTGCTTCTTAGATGGGGACAATTTCCATGCACCCAACTCACCTTCGTTAATCCCTGTGTTGGATGGTGGGGACACACAGATGAGGTCCATTTCTGCTGTGTGTGTGTGCGTGTGCGTGTGTGTGTGTGTGTGTGTGAGAGAGAGAGGAACAAAGTGTGATCAACAATATGATACAAGATGCAGAAAAGATAGGAATAGCGTGAAGGAAAGTTTTCAAAAGGTAATGATCCTTTATTCATTCATTCATTCATTCATCTGTCAAATATGTATTGTATTCCAAGACCTAACCTTTGTGCTGGAGCTATAACATGGAACAAAATACACAAAATTCCTGCCTGCATGGACCTTACCTTCTAATGAAAAGAAACAATTCGTAAGTAAGACAGATAGGTAAATTGATAGTGTTGGTTGATGAGTACTATGGAGAAAAATGAAGCAGGAATGGAGGACAGGGAGAATTGTTGGGATGATTGCCAACTCTTGTGTAACATTTGAGTAAAGACCCAAAGGAGAGGAACTTTATCTTCTGAACGTGACTGAGTAACTGGCATTGGACTTTCTGGCCTGCATAAATAACTAGACAACTGGATAAGTGTATGAAACAACTATTTAGACAACGGACAATAGTTAGCATGGAACTATGATCCCTGAGAGAAGGAAAACAAGCAAAGTGAGCCTGAAGACAACCCTAGCTTTCTGTTTGAAGGCACTTTTGGGCAGAGCAGGGAGGGGAAATCCAAGTAGATCACAGGGGTCTTTTTGTGTTGAAGTTAGAGATCTTGACATTAGGAGGGTCTGTGGCACTATAATTTCCAGGGAAGAGTACCAGAGAGGAAGAAGCTACTCAGAAAAAGAGCTTCAGAAATCTGTATAGAGGTCTCCCTTGAGTCCTTGTCTAAATACTCATGAGTATTTATATGCATGAGTTGTGCATGCATATAATAAAACTCCATAAGTGTGGGCAAATGAAAACTACTGGGGAGCTATAAGCTGAACAATTTTCAGAGTTCAGACAGGGCTGAGAGACATTCATGTTACAGTTGGAGAGTGAAGAGAACTTATCGGACACCCACAACATTCAGTAGAGGCCTCAAAAGGGTCTTGGTAGTAGGGCTAAACTAGCCCTAAAGTCTACTTTAGCACCATCCTAATAAGTCTTAAACACAAGCCTTACAAGGAACAAGCTGATGATCAAGTAAGTTAACTCCTACCAAAACAAAACAAAATTCAACATTATTGAAAGGAAGGAAACAAAAATTCAGACCCTCAACAACAGAATATTCACAATGTCCAACATCCAATAAAATTAGATACGTAAAAAAGCAGGAAAATATGACCTATAACCAGGAGAAAAATCACTCTATAGAAATAGACTCAGAAATGACAGGAATGATGGAATTAGCAGACACAGATTTTGAAGCAACTGTTCTAAATATACATTAAAAGATTTAAATGAAAACATAAACTTAATGAGGAAAGAAGTGGAAGTTATCAAATGGAACTTTTAGATTTAAAAGTATAATATCTGAACTAAAAATGCACCATATAGTTCAACAGCAGATTATATAGTATATATAGCATATGGTGTATATATAGCAGTTATATACTAAAGAAGAAAAGATCAATGAACTCGAAGACATAGCAATAGAAAACTCAGAAAGGTTAAGGGCAGAAAAATATTTAAAGAAATAATAGTCCAAAGTTTCCAAACTTGAAGATCAAAAACAGTTGTCTCAAGAAGCTCAACAAATCCTAAACAGGATATACACACAGAAAACCATACCAAGGTACATTGTAATCAATGTACCAAAAGACAAATGATAAAGATAAGACATTAAAAGGAGACAGAAAAGAAGACATATATACAAGGGAATAAAGATAAGAATGATCATTGATTTATCATTGACCAAAAGACAATGGGATAATAACTTTAAGGAGCTGAAAGAAAAAAAAAGTCAAACTAGAATTCTACATCCAGTGACAATATTCTTCAAAATGAAGGTAAAATAAAGACATTTTCAGAGTATATACCCAAAGGAATAGAAATTGTTCTATCATAAAGGCACATGCATGCATATGTTCATTGCAGTACTATTCATAATAGCAAGGAGATGGAATCAACCTAAATGCCTATCAGTGGTAGACTGGATAAAGAAAATGTGGTACATATACACCATGGGATACTATGCAGCCATAAAAAACGAGATCATGTCTTTTGCAGAAACATGATGGAGCTGGAGGCCATTATCCTTAGCAAATGAATGCAGGAACAGAAAACCAAATACTGCATGCTGCTCACTTATAAGTGGGAACTTAAAGTTGAGAACACATGGACACATAGAGGGGAACAACAGACACTGGACTACTGGAGAGTGGAGAGTGGGAGGAGGGAGAGGATCAGGAAAAATAACTAATGGGTACTAGACTTAATATTATACTTTATTAATAATCTATACAGCAACCCCCCATGACATGGGTTTACCTATATAACAAACCTGCACATATACCCCTGAACTTAAAATAAAAGTTAAAAAAGAAAAAAATAAAAAAATTAACCCCATTTACAATAGCCACATGTAAAATTAAATACCTGGTGGCTGGCAAGATGGCTGAATAGAAACAGCTCCGGTCTGCATCTCCCAGTGAGATCAACGCAAAAGGTGGGTGATTTCTGCATTTCCAACTGAGGTACCCAGCTCATCTCACTGGGACTGGTTAGAAAGTGGGTGCAGCCCACAAAGGGCCAGCTGAAGCAGGGTGGGGTGTCGCCTCACCTGGGAAGTGCAAGGGGTCAAGGAACTCCCTCCCTTAGCTAAGGGAATCCATGAGGGACAGTGCCATGAGGAATGGTGCATTCCAACCCATGGTTTTTTCCATGGTCTTCACAACCTACAGACCAGGAGATTCCCTAGGGTGCCTATGCCACCAGGGCCCTGGGTTTCAAGCACAAAACTGGGTGGCCAATTGGGCAGATACCAAGTTAGCTGCAGGAGTTTTTTGTTTTTTTTTTTTCATACCCCAGTGGTGCCTGGAATGCCAGTGAGACAGAACCATTTACTCCCCTGGAAGGGAGACTGAAGCCAGGGAGCCAAGTGGTCTAGCTTAGCAGATCCCCCACGGAGCCCAGTGAGCTAAGATCCACTGGCTTAAAATTCTCACTGCCAGCACAGCAGTCTGAAGTCCACCTGGGACACTCAAGCTTGGTGGGGGAGGGGCGTCCGCCATTACTGAGGCTTGAGTAGGCGGTTTTCCCCTCACAGTGTAAACAAAGCCTCAGGGAAGTTCGAACTGCATGGAGCCCACCACAGCTTGGCAAAGCCACTGTAGCCAGACTGCGTCTCTAGATTCTTCCTCTCCAGGCAGGGCATCTCTGAAAAAAAGGCAGCAGCCCCAGTTAGGGGCTTATAGATCAAACTCCCATCTCCCTGGGACAGAGCACCTGGGGGAAGGAGTGGCTGTGGGCGCAGCTTCAGCAGACTTAAACTTTCTGCCTGCTGGCTCTGCAGAGAGCAGCGGATCTCCCAGCACAGTGCTCGAGTTCTCCTAAGGGACAGACTGCCTCCTCAAGTGGGTCCCTGACCCCCGTGCCACCTGACTGGGAGACACCTCCCAGCAGGGGTCGACAGATACCTCATACAGGAGAGCTCCAGCTGGCATCTGGTGGGTGCCCTTCTGGGATGAAGCTTCCAGAGGAAGGAACAGACAGCAATCTTTGCTGTTATGCAGCCTCTGCTGGTGATACCCAGGCAAAAAGGGTCTGGAGTGGACCTTCAGCAAACTCCAGCAGACGTGCAGCAGAGAGGCCTGTTAGAAGGAAAACTGATAAACAGAAAGGAATAGCATCAACATCAACAAAAAGGACGTCCACTCAGAGACCCCATGTGAAGGTCACCAACATCAAAGACCAAAGGTAGATAAATCCATGAAGATGAGGAAAAACCAGCGCAAAAAGACAGAAAATTCCCAAAACCAGAATGCCTCTTCTCCTCCAAAGGATCAGAACTCCTTGCCAGCAAGGTAACAAAACTGGACGGAGAATGAGTTTGACGAATTCACAGAAGTAGGCTTCAGGTCGTGGGTAATAACAAACTCCTCCGAGCTAAAGGAGCATGTTCTAACCCAACATAAGGAAGCTAAGAACCTTGAAAACAATTAGAGGAATTGCTAACTAGAATAACCAGTTTAGAGAAGAACATAAATGACCTGATGGAGCTGAAAAACTCAGCATGAGAACTTCGTGAAGCATACACAAGTATCAACAGCTGAATTGATCAAGTGGAAGAAAGGATATCAGAGATTGAAGATCAACTTACTGAAATAAAACATGAAGACAAGATTAGAGAAAAAAGAATGAAAAGGAACAAACAAAACATCCAAGAAATATGTGACTATGTGAAGAGACCAAACCTATGTTTGATTGGTGTACCTGAAAGTTATGGGGAGAATGGAACCAAGTTGGAAAACACTCTTCAGGATATTATCCAGGAGAACTTCCCCAACCTAGCAAGACAGGCCAACATTCAAATTCAGGAAATATAGAGAACAACACAAAGATACTCCTCAAGAAGAGCGACCCCAAGACTAATCGTCAGATTCACCAAGGTTGAAATGAAGGAAAAATGTTAAACGCAGCCAGAGAGAAAGGTCCGGTTACCCACAAAGGGAAGCCCATCAGACTAACAGCAGATCTCTCTGCAGAAACCCTACAGGCCAGAAGAGAGTGGGGGCCAATATTCAATATTCTTAAAAGAATTTTCAACTCAGAAATTCCATATCCAGCCAAACTAAACTTCACAAGCGAAGGAGAAATAAAAACCTTTACAGACAGGCAAATGCTGAGAGATTTTGTCACCACCAGGCCTGCCTGACAAGCGCTCCTGTAGGAAGCACTAAATATGGACATGAAAAAACCAGTACCAGCCACTGCAAAAACATACCAAATTGTAAAGACCATCGACAGTATGAAGAAACTGCATCAACTAATGGGCAAAATAACCAGCTAGCATCATAATGACAGGATCAAATTTACACATAACGATATTAACCTTAAATGTAAATGGGCTAAATGCCCCAATTAAAAGACACAGACTGGCAAATTGGATAAAGAGTCAAGACTCATCTCATGTGCAAAGACACACATAGGCTCAAAATAAAGGGATGGAGGAATATTTACCAAGCAAATGGAAAGCAAAAAAAAAAAAAAAAAAAAAAAAAAAAAAAAGCAGAGGTTGCAATCCTAGTCTGATAAAACAGACTTTAAACCAACAAAGATCAAAAAAGACAAAGAATCAAAGAAGGGCGTTACATGATGGTAAAGGGATCAAGGCAACAAGAAGGGCTAACTATCCTAAATATATGTGCATCCAATACAGGAGCACCCAGATTCATAAAGCAAGTTCTTAGAGACCTACAGAGAGACTTAGACTCCCACACAATAATAGTGGTAGACTTTAACACCCCACTGCCAATATTAGACAGATCAGTGAGACAGAAAATTAACAAGGATATTCAGGACTTGAACTCAGCTCTGGACCAAGTGGACCTAATAGACATCTGCAGAACTCTCCATCCCAAATCAACAGAATATACATTCTTCTCAGCACCACATTGCACTTATTCTACAATTGACTACATAATTGGAAGTGAAACACTCCTCAGCAAATGCAAAAGAATGGAAATCATAACAGTCTCTCAGACCAGAGTGCAATCAAATTAGAACTCAGGATTAAGAAACCCACTCAAACCCGCACAACTACATGGAAACTGAACACCCTGCTCCCGAATGACTACTAGGTACATAACAAAATTAAGGCAGAAATAAATGAGTTCTTTGAAACCAATGAGAACAAAGACACAATGTACCAGAATCTCTGGGACACAGCTAAAGCAGTGTTTAGAGGGAAATTTATAGTACTAAATGCCCACAGGAGAATGCAAGAAAGATCTAAAATTGACATCCTAACCTCACAATTAAAAGAACTAGAGAAGGGAGGGATAGCATTAGGAGAAATACCTAATGAAAATGAGGAGTTAATGGGTGCAGCAAACCAACATGGCACATGTATACATATGTAACAAACCTGCACATTGTGCACATGTACCCTAGAACTTAAAGTATAATAAAAAAAATTGCAAAAAAAAAAAAAAAAAGAACTAGAGAAGCAAGAGCAAACAAATTCAAAAGCTAGCAGAAGACAACAAATATCTAAGATCAGAGCAGAGCTGAAGGAGATAGAGACACGAAAAAAACGTCAAAAAATCAATAAATCCAGGAGCTGGTTTTTTTGAAAAGATTAACAAAATAGACCACTAACCAGATTAGTAAAGAAGAAAAGAGAGAAGAACCAAATGGACACAATAAAAAATGACAAAGGGGATATCACCACTGATCCCACAAAAATACAAACTACCATCAGAGAATACTATAAACACCTCTATGCAAATAACCTAGAAAATCTAGAAGAAATGGATAAATCCTGGGACACATACACCCTCCCATACACCCTCCCAAGACTAAACCAGGAAGAAGTCGAATCCCTGAATAGACCAATAACAAGTTCTGAAATTGAGGCAGTAATTAATAGCCTACCAATTAAAAAAAGCCCAGGACCAGATGGATTCACAGCCGAATTCTACCAGAGGTACGAAGAGGAGCTGGTACCATTCCTTCTGAAACTATTCCAAACAATAGAAAAAGAGGGAATCCTCCCTAACTCATTTTATGAGGCCAGCATCATCCTGATACCCAAACCTGGCAGAAACACAACAACAAAAAAATTTCAGGCCAATGTCCCTGATGAACATCGAAGCGAAAATCCTCAATAAAATACTGACAAACCGAATCTAGCAGCACATCAAAAAGCTTATCCACCAAGATCAAGTTGGCTTCATCCCTGGGATGCAAGGCTGTTTCAACATATGCAAATCAATAAACATAATCCATCACATAAACAGAACCAATGACAAAAACCACATGATTATCTCAATAGATGCAGAAAAGGTCTTTGACAAAATTCAACAGCCCTTCATGCTAAAAACTCTCAATAAACTAGGTATCAATGGAACGTATTTCAAAATAATAAGAGCTATTTATGACAAACCCACAGCCAATTTCATATTGAATGCGAAAAAGCTGGAAGAATTCCCTTTTTAAACCGGTACAGGACAAGGATGCCCTCTCTCACCACTCCTATTCAATATAGTGTTGGAAGTTCTGGCCAGGCAATCAGGCAGGAGAAAGAAATAAAGGGTATTCAAATAGGAAGAGAGGAAGTCAAACTGTCTCTGTTTGCAGATGACATGATTACATATTTAGAAAACCCATAGTCTCAGCCCCAAATCTCCTTAAGCTGATAAGAAACTTCAGAAAAGTCTCAGGACACAAAATCAATGTGCAAAAATCACAAGCCTTCCTATACACCAATAATAGAGAGCCAAATCATGAGTAAAATCCCATTCAGAATTGCTACAAAGAGCATAAAATACCTAGGAATCCAACTTACAAGGGATGTGAAGGACCTCTTCAAGGAAAACTACAAATCACTGCTCAAGGAAATAAGAAAGGACACAAACAAATGGAAGAACGTTCCATGCTCATGGATAGGAAGAATCAATATTGTGAAAATGGCCATACTGCCCAAAGTAATTTATAGATTCAATACTATCCTCATCAAGCTACCACTGACTTTCTTCACAGAATTAGAAAAAACTACTTTAAATTTCATATGGAACAAGAACAGAGCCCATATATCCAAGACAATCCTAAGCCAAAAGAACAAAGCTGAAGGCATCATGCTACCTGACTTCAAACTATACTACAAGGCTACAGTAACCAAAACAGCATGGTACTGGTACCAAAACAGAGATATAGATCAATGGAACAAAACAGAGGCCTCAGAAATAATGTCACACATCTACAATCATCTGATCTTTGACAAACCTGACAAAAATGAGCAATGGGAAAATTATTTCCTATTTAAGAAATGGTTTGGGAAAACTGGCTATCCATATGGAGAAAACTGAAACTGGACCCCTTTCTTACATCTTATACAAAAATTAACTCAAGATGGATTAAAGACTTAAATGTAAGACCTAAAACAATAAAAACCCTAGAAGAAAACCTAGGCAATACCATTCAGGACATAGGCATGGGCAAAGATTTCATGACTAAAACACCAAAAGCAATGGCAACAAAATCCAAACTTGACAAATGGGATCTAATTAAACTAAAGAGCTTCTGTACACCAAAAGAAACAACCGTCAGAGTGAACAGGCAACCTACAGAATGGGAGAAAATTTTTGTAATCTATTCATCTGACAAGGGGCTAATATCCAGAATCTACAAGAAACTTAAACAAATTTACAAGAAAAAACAAATAACCCCACCAAAAAGTGGGTGAAGGGTATGAACAGACACTTCTCAAAAGAAGACATTTACGTGGCCAAGAAACATATGAAAGAAAGCTCATCATCAGTGGCCATTAGAGAAAGGCAAATCAAAACCACAATGAGATACCATCTCAAGCCAGTTAGAATGGCGATCATTAAAAAGTCAGGAAGCAACAGATGCTGGAGAGGATGTGGAGAAATAGGAACGCTTTTATACTGTTGGTGGGATTGTAAATTAGTTCAACCATGGTAGAAGACAGTGTGGCGATTCCTCAATCGCCAGAAATACCATTTGACCCAGCAATCCCATTACTGGGTATATACCCAAAGGATTATAAATCATTCTACTGTAAAGACACATGCACGTGTATGCCTATTGTGGCACTGTTCACAATAGCAAAGACTTGGAACCAACCCAAATGCTCATCAATGATAGACTGGATAAAGAAGATGTGGCACATATACACCATGGAATACTATGCAGCCATAAAAAAGGATGAGTTCATGTCCTTTGCAGGGACATGGATGAAGCTGGAAACCATCATTTTCAGCAAACTAACACAGGAACAAAAAACCAAACACTGCATGTTCTCACTCAAGTGGGAGTTGAACAATGAGAACACATGGACACAGGGAGGGGAACATCACACACTGGGGCCTGTCAGGGGGTGGGGGGCTAGGGGAAGGATAGCATTAGGAGAAATATCTAATGTAGATGACGGGTCGATGAGTGCAGCAAACCAACATGGCATGCGTATACCTATGTAACAAACTTGCACGTTCTGCACATGTATCCCAGAACTTAAAGTATAATAAAAAATTAAATACCTAGAAATTAACCAAATAAGTGAAAGCCCTTTATGATGAAAACTATAAAACACTTATGAAGGGAATTGAAGAGGACACCAATAAATGGAAAAATATTCCATGTTAATAGATTGGAAGAATCTATATTGTTAAAATGTCCATACTTCTCAAAGCAATCTATAGATTCAATGCAATCCCTATCAAAATACCAATGACATTCTTCACAGAAATAGAAAAAAAATCCTAAAATTTATATGGAAACACAAAAGATCCAGAATAGCCAAAGCTATCTTAAGCAAAAAAGAACAAAACTGGAAAAATCACTTTATCTGACTTCAAATTATACTACAGAACTATAGTAACTAAATAGCATGGTACTGACATCAAAACAGACACATAGACTAATGGAACAGAATGGAGAACACAGAAACAAATCTATACACCTACAGTGAACTCGTTTTTTGACAAAGGTAACAAGAACATACACTGGGGAAAAACAATCTCTTCAATAAATGGTGCTGGGAAAACTGGATATCCATATGCAGAAGAATGAAACTAGACCCCTATCTTTCTCCATACAAAAAATCAAATCAAATGAATTAAACACTTAAATCTAAGACCTCAACCTATAAAACAACTGCAAGAAAAAAACACAAAAAACAAACAAATAAAAAAAACAAAAACATTGGGGAAAGCCATGGGACTGGATTAGATCACTAATGGGATGAGTGGTGAGTGGAAATGGAAGGACAAGGGTTTCAAGAGCTGAGCCCTGGTGATCCTCCAATCCCCAGCTTGAGGGCGTGGAGGGAATAATTAGAGAAGTAGGAGGAAATCTTTGCTATGAGCAAAGTTGTGTAGGAACGAAGGCTACCAATAATGTTAGAAATAAGGGCAGGGAAGGCCATGAAGGGCCTTGAATGCCAAGCTAAGGGCATCACTGGAGGTTTCCTAAAAATACAAAGTCATGGTCAGATTCATGATTAGAAGGATTGATCTTGCAGCACTGAAGAGATGCAATGAAAGTTAGGGTGGGGTAAGCCCATAGGCAAGGAGACCAGGAAAGAGTCAAGGCAAGCATGCGGCCATTATAGCAGTCTATATCAGGGCCAGTAGTTTCGTGATCTGGATTTTTTTTCCCCTTGGGCTCCTCTAGCCCAGAATGTCAAAGTTTTCAGGGAATTGTTAGCCAAAAATTCCACTGGACTTTGCTGACTTGGCCTGAACTCAGAGAAAAAAGGAACTGCTGAGACCTCTGTCCATGGTGCTGATGTAAATCCCCCATTTCCACCTCTAGAACGCACACTTGCATTCCTGTCTCAGCTCTCAGGACTGGCACAGAATCAACAATCCCAGCATCACCCCACATATGGCCAGAGGCTCAGAGGCCTTGGGCCTGGTGAAAGGATGGTTTTGGGATGTGTGTCTGGCTCTACTTCTGTTTAAATGCCCCAGGTCATATTTGCTTTGATGGAGTCTTGGTAGCCAGACTGAGAAAAGCTTCATATCTAGGAAACAGGAGGGCTCTGACCTTGCCATTTCCCACCCTATAGTTGAGGCTGTTAGAGGTGGCCAGAGCTTGCCTAACCCTTAGTCTTGTTTTTCATAGTGGCCTTATTCCCACTCTGCTCAGCAGTTATCCTGAACAACCTGTAGGTGCAAACCTTCTGGCATTTTGTCTTTGCCTGTTACCTCTTCCTGAAAGGCCCCTTTATGATTCCTTCATCTAGATAAATTCTCAGTGTTATTAAATGCTCAACTTGGGTATACAGGCATACCTCAGAGATATTGCAGGTTTGGTTCCAGGAAACTACAATAAAGCAAATATAGCGTTAAAGTGAGTTACACACATTTTTGGTTTTCCAGTATATATAAAAGTTATGTTTACACTATACTGTAGTCTATTAAATGTGAAATAGCATTATGTCTAAAAAGTGTATATACTTTAATTTAAAAATACCTTACTGCTAAAAAAAATGCTAATGATCATCTGAGCCTTCAGTGAGTCATAATCTTTTCTCTGCTGGAGGGTCTTGCCTCCATGTTGCTGGCTGCTGACTGATGGCTGCTGACTGATCAGGTAGTTGCTGAAGGCTAGGTTGGCTGTGACAGTTTCTTAAAATAAGACAACAGTGAAGTTTTCCACATCAGTAGACTCTTCCTTTCATGAAATATTTCTCTGTTGTATACAATGCTTTTGATAGCATTTTTCTTCCAGTCAAACTCTTTTCAAAATTGGAATCAATCCTCCCAAACCCTGCTGCTGCTTTATCAACTAAGTTGATGTAATATTCTAAATCCTTTGTTGTCATTTCAACAGTGTTCACAGCATCTTCACCGGAGGTAAATTCCTAAGAAATTACTTTCTTTGTGCATCCATAAGAAGCAAAGCCTCACCCATTAAAATTTTATCATGAGATTGCAGAAATTCAATCACGTCTTTAAGTTCCACTACTAATTTTAGCTCTCTTGCTACTTCCACCATATCTGCAGTTACTTCTTGCACTGAAGTCTTGAAACCCTCAAAGTTGTCCATGAGGGTTGGAATCAACTTCTTCCAAACTCCTGGTAATGTTAATATTTTGACCTCCTCTCGTGAATTATAAATGTTCTTAATGCTGAATCCTTTTCAGAAAGTTTTCAATTTACTTTGCTTAGATGTAACTGAGGAACCACTATCTTTGGCACCTTTAGCCTTAAAAAATGTATTTCTTTCTTCCTTTTTTTTTTTTTTTTTTTTTTTAGACAGGGTCTTTCTCTGTTACCCAGACTGGAGTGCAGTGGCATGATCTTGACTCACTGCAACCTCTGCCTCCTAGGCTCAGGCAATCCTCCCACCTCAGTCTCCTGAGTAGCTGGGACTACAGGCAAGCTTGACCAGGCCCAGCTAATTTTTGAATTTTTTGTAGGGACAGGGTTTCTCTATGTTTCCTAGACTGGCCTCAAACTCCTGGGTTCAAGTGGTGCACCTACCTTGGCCTCCCAAAGTGCTAGGACTACAGGTGTAAGTGACCACACCTGGCTGTATTTCTTAAATAATAAGATTTGAAAGTCAAAATTACTTCTTGATCCATGGCTATAGAATGAATGTTGTGTTAGCAGGCGTGAAAACAACGTTAATCTCCCTGTATATCTCCATCAGAGCTCTTGGGTGACCAGGTGCATTGTCAATGAGATGTAATATCTTGAAAGGAATCTTTTTTTTTCCTGAGTAGTAGGTCTCAACAGTGGGCTTAAACAATGCTGTAAGCAAATGTGCTGTCATCCAGGCTCGTTGTTTCATTAATAGATCACAAGCAGAGTAGATTTAGTATAAATTTAGCCCTAGGATTTTTGAAATGGCAAATGAGCATTTGCTTCAACTTTAGAGTTACCAGCTCCATTAGCCCCTAACAGGAGAGCCAGCTTGTCTTTTGAAGCTTTGAATCCAGGCATTGACTTCTCTTCTCTAGCTAGGAAAGTCCTAGATGACATCTTCTTCCAATAGAAGGCTGTTTTATCTACATTGAAAATCTGTTTAGTGTCATCATCTTTATCAATGATCTTATCTAGATCTTCTGGTTAACTTGCTGCAGCTTCTACATCAGCATTTGCTGCTTCGCCTTGTATTTTTATGTTATGGAGATGGCTTCTTTCCTTAAACCTTATAAACCAACTTCTGCTAGCATCAAACGTTTCTTCTTCAGCTTCCTCACCTCTCTCAGCCCTCATGAAATTGAGGAGAGTTAGGGCCTTGCTCTGGATTAGGTTTTTGCTTCAGGGAATGTTGTGGCTGGTTTGATCTAGACAGACCACTAAAACTTTCTCCATGACAGCAATAAGGCAATTTTGATTTCTTAACATTTGTGTCTTCACTGAATTAGCACTTCAAGAACTTTTCCTTTGCACTTATAACTTGTCTAAGTGTTTGGTGCAAGAGGCCTAGCTCTTTGCCTATCTTGGCTTTCGAAATGCCTTCGTCACTAAGCTTAATCATTTATAGCTTTTGATTTAAAGTGAGAGATGTGCGACTCTGACTCTTTCTTTCACTTGAACACTTAGAGGCCATTGCAGCATTATTATTATTATTTGAGACACAGTTTCACTCTGTCACCCAGGCTGGAGTGCAGTGGTGTGATCTCGGCTGACTGCAACCTCCGCATCCTGAGTTGAAGCGATTCTTGTGCCTCAACCTCCCCAGTAGCTGGGATTATAGGCTTGCACCACCATGCCCAGATAATTTTTATATTATCAGTAGAGATGGGGTTTCACCATGTTGGCCAGGCTGGTCTTGAACTCCTAACCTCAAGTGATCCGCCTGCCTCGGCCTCCCAAAGTGCTGGGGTTACAGGTGTGAGTTACTGCGCCTGGCCTAGAATTATTAATTGGTCTAATTTCAATAATATTGTGTTCAGGGAATAGAGAGGCTCAAGGAGAGGGAGAGAGATGGAGGGTGGCTAGTCGGTAGAGTGGTCAGAACACACACAACATTTATCAATTAAGTTTACCATCTTATATGGGTGTGGTTCCTGGCTCCCCAAAACAATTACAATGGTAACATCAGAGATCACTGATCACCATAACAGACACAATAATAATAAAGTTAGAAATATTGCAAAATTACAGAAATGTGACACAGAGACATGAAATGAACACATGCTGTTGAAAAAATGGCACAGATAGACTTGCTTGTTGCGGGGTTGCCACAAACCTTCAATCTAAAAAAAAAATACTCAGTATCTGTGGAGTGCAATAAAGTGAAGCATAATAAAACAAGGTAGTCCTGTACTTGGTTCCAGAAAGCCTTCCCTAATTTCTCTTAGGCTGCTTAAGTGTCTCTTCCTTTTCTTCCTCCTCTTTTGCTTGACACTATGCAAAAAATCAGCTGATTTTTAATCTTGTCTCCTGACGCTGTCATCTTTGACTCTTGCATACACCTCTTTCCCTTCTTCCCTCCTTCCCTCCTTCCCCCTTTTCCTCCTTTCTTTTTCCTCCCTCCCTTCTGCCTTTCTTTTTCCTCTCTTCTTCTCTCTAGTCTCTCTCTCCACATTCACGCCCACAGTCCAACTCACAACCCAACCCAATCCAAGAAGTAACATCAACAGCAATAATTTACATTTAGGCGTTCATCACCCTTTCCCATCCCCTGGTAAACATCATCCTGAAATTTATATTCATAATATTTTTGATTAAAACTATATACCCAACGTATATTTTTAGTTTTAGTTTTTATTAAAATTTATGAAAAAGGGTATCATGCTGTACACCATCTTCTGAGGCTTGCTTTTTCTCTTTCAACAAAATGTTACCAAGATTTGTTCAAGTTGTTATACAGGCTACAGTTCATTCAATTTTGCTGGTATATACAAAATATTCTTTTGTGCAAATATATTACAATTTATTTGTCAATTTTCCTGTCAATGAGCATTGGAGTTACTGTCATTATTTTGCTACTACAAATAGTACTACTGAAAATATTGTTGTACATGTCTCCCGGTGCATGTCTTTTTGTACATACACACACACATACACATATACACACATATTTTGAAGTGAAATTTCTGGGTTATAGAGTATGTGAAAATTCAACTTTACAAGATAATACTTTTCTTTTTTCCAGAACGGTTGTGTCAAATTACACTCCCACCAACAATGTATAGTAGAATGGTTGACCCACATTCTCTCCAATACTTGCTGTTGCCAGACTTCTTAATTTTTTCAGATTGAATGGGGGTAACTTGAATTTCATCTTTGTCTTTATCTTCCCTTATTAGTAATGAGATTGAACCAACATTTATTGAAGATATGGTTCCCTTTCCTGCAAAATGTCTAATCATGATTTTTGTTCATTTTTCCTACTCTGAATGTCTGAGGCATTTTATAGATTTTTATTTTATTTATTTATTTTTTTTTTTAGATGGAGTCTCACTTTGTTACCCAGGCTGGAGTGCAATGGTGCAGTCTTGGCTCACTGCAACCTCTGCCTCCCAGCTTCAAGTGATTCTCCTGCCTCAGCATCCTGAGTAGCTGGATTACAGGCACGTGCCACCACACCTGGCTAATATTTGTATTTTTAGTAGAGACGGGGTTTCACTATGTTGACCAGGCTGGTCTTGAACTCCTGACCTCATGATCCTCCTGCCTTGGCCTCCCAAAGTGTTGGGATTACAGGCATGAGCCACCACGCCTGGGCTCTATAGTTTTTGATATAAATCCTTTGCTGGTTTTTGATATAAATCCTTTGCTGGTTATTTGTTACAATTATTTTCTCCCAGTTTGTAAATTATCTGTTTTCTTTCTTTAAAATGTCTTTCATCAACAGAAGTAATTATTTTAATATAGTTCAGTTTATTAATCTTTTCTTGTATGATTAGTGCCTTTTTGGGTAGATTTTTCAAGGAATTGTTCCCTAGATCAAAGTGATAAAGATATTAACCTACATTTTATATTAAATGTTTTGAAGTTTTTTATTTTCCCTTTTGGTTTTTAGTCCATCTTGAGTGGATTTTTTTGTGTGTATGTATAGGGAAAAATAGGAATCCAATTTCACCTTTTCCATTTCTATAATATTGTGTGATAGATCTATTTTGGGGCTGTCTATTCTAATCCACATTGACCAATTTTTACCGCCACACTGTCTTAATTACCATGATTTCATAATATGTTCTGATAGCTGGTAAGACGAGTCCTTCCTCCCTATTTTTCTTCTTCAGAAATACCTGGGATATTCTTGGACCTTTCCTCTTCCATATTAATTTACAATACATTTGTCAAGTTTTATTTTAAAAAGCCTGTGGAGATTTTAATTGGGGTTGCAGTCAATCTAAAATTAATCTTTTAACTATATTGAGTATTTCTATTTATGAACATGATATAAATGTTGCCTTCATTTGTTTAGATCTTCTTTAATATCTTTCAGTAAGTTTTTTTCCTGAACTGTTTATTTTGCAAAAATTGTCAGAGCTACAGAATATTCATAAGAGCAGTAAATCAATACCTATTTACCCTTACCACATTTGCCTCAGCTGCCTATATAAGTATTAATATGTTTTTTATTCTAACCTCTTTGAGGTTAATTTTCTCCTAAATTATGAAACCTCCCCCTTCCAAATATTTCTACAGGTAACTCCTAAGTACAAGGACATTCTTCTGAATGAATACAACATAATTATCACACTGAGGAAATTGAATACTGATACACTGTTATCCTCTAATATATGATCCATATTAAAAACTCACTAACTATCCCTTTGATGACCTTCACAGCTAATTATTTAGCAGATCAGGATCCAATTAAAGATCTCAGATTATGTTTTGCTGTCTTGTCTCTTTTTTCTCCTTTAATCTGGAACAGTTCTCTAGCCTGTTACTAACCTATGTGAATTTTTTCTTTTATGATGTTCTTGGAAGTATAGGCCAGTTGTTTGGACAATGTTCTAAAGTTTGGATTCAAAAGGATTGGGCTAATTTACAGTCCCATCAGCAATTGTTGTATGATTGACCCAATAATTGGGTCAGGCCAATTTACAATTCCACCAGCAATTGTATGATTGGCCAGCCTGCACAGCCATGGTTAAGTGAAGCTGGAGAACCCACGCTGGATTGTGGAGGAGCAGGAGGATGGAAGCAACGTGAACAGCTGGCACTGAGTGGGATGCCACCAGCTGGTCCAAAGAGAAGCTCCAGGAGCTCCTGGTGGTCATTGTTGTGGAGGATGAGGCTGGCCACTGAGAGATCAGCGAGCTAAAGCAGGTGGAAGGTAAGGCTTCTTGCAGCATCCACAAAGGAAAGGTGATTTTCTTGTGTGAGTGAAACATCAAACTGGGCTGGAAAGGTATCATTAAAGAATCTGACGTGAAGCATAAGGGATTGATTGAAATACCCAATCTTTCTGAAGAAAATGAAGTAGATGACACCGAGGTGAATGTGAGTAAAAAGAAAGGAGATGGGGATATACTGAATGATCTTATGAAAACTGCAGGCACTGCTAAGGTCAGGGAGGAGGTCCTTGGAGATTACCTGAAGACACTCAAGACAGAATTTACAATGGGAATGGTTTTACCAGTGAAAACTATGGCAACCTAGGAATTGACTGTTAAAAGAAAATGGAGCGAGAATATCTTGCAGGTTCGGGCCTCATCTCCAGTGGCACTGGGTGTAAGAATTCCCGCTATGGCTCTTCCCATGAGGGCACAGTTTGACGTAACTGTAGAACAGTTGTACAGCATCTTCACTATGAAGGATTTGGTGCAAAAATTTTCTAAATCTTCTGCTGTATTAGAAGCTGAAAAGGGAGGGAAATTCCAAATGTTTGTTGGGAACATCACTGATGAATATATAGAATCTTTAACAAATAAAAAAATCATAATGAAATGGAGATGTAGGAACTGGCCAGAAGGGCAAATGGAATTACAATTCGACTGTAAAGGAGTTCCTATCTGTAAAGAAGAGAACATGAAATTCTGTTGGCAGAAGCAGCATTTTGAAGAAATAAAAGATTTACTGCGCTGACCACCCTGAATGGTTGAATTAGTTAAAATTTTATAAGGCATTACTTTTTCTAAGCAGAAAATGTGTCACATTTACCTTTTCCCTATCCTTTCTTTTCCTTTAAAAGAGGAAAAAAATCCATGAAAGTATACCAAATTTAAAGCATTGTTTGACTCTTTATTATAACTAGACTCTGCATTGAGTTAAAAGTAGCAAACAACCTGAAATTAGGTATTAACCTGACCTTCCATAGATGTTCCCCTGGAAATCGATCAAGTCCCTGAGTGCAGATAGTTGATGTCTCTCAAGCTAAAGTTTGTCCTACAGCAAGCTTGCTTGCAGCTGTACTTTTAGTTCAAGATGACAAAAATAAATGGCATGTTGATGCTGTTCCTTTTCCTTTAGGGTTTTTAAGGTGTGCAGATTTTTGGTAGTGAGACAGTGGCATGTTGCATTTAAAAGCATGCTGAGGCCGGGTGCAGTGGCTCATGCCTGTAATCCCAGCACTTTGGGAGGCTGAGGCAGGTGGATCACCTGAGGTCAGAAGTTAGAGACCAGCCTGGCCAACATGGTGAAACCCTGTCTCTACTAAAAATACAAAATTAGTGGACATGGTGGCGCATGCCTGTACTCCCAGCTATTTGGGAGGCTGAGGCAGGAGAATCACTTGAACCTGAGAGGCGGAGGTTGCAGTGAGCCAAGATCGCGCCATTGCACTTCAGCCTGGGCAACAAGAACAAAACTCCATCTCAGAAAAAAAAATCATATTGAAGTGAGGGTGAATTGGCTAATTGGCTATGTTGTGCTCCACTTCTCCCTGCTGTGGTTTTGCACTTTGGGCTGGAGAGGAATGAGAAGTCTATGGGGATAAGTTAATTTTGTGGACTGCCAGTAACACTTCTAATGAAATAGCATATGGTGGATAAGTGTTTCACCTCACTTACGGTTTTCTCACTACTTTCACCTGAGAAGACTGAAGCAATGTATGTAAACAAATGAAAAGTCATCACAATCAGTTTAAGTGCACAGAATAGCAATCAGTCGTGTCTATAAAAAAACAATTATTTTAAAAATTGTTGTATGATTGTTTCCTCATGATAGATTTAGAGTAAACATTTTTTTTTTGGCAGGAATGATATTATAGATCAGTGACGTGTATCACATCTGAGGGCATACAATGCTACTTGTCTAAATATTGGTTATGTTAGCTTTAATCACTTTATTGAGGAGATATCTCTCAATAATGTGTTATACTTATTTGTACATAGATCCTACACAACTTTGTGTTACATTTGTGCCTCAATACCTTATAATTTTGTTGCTATTAGAGATGGTATCTTTTAAATATTGTTTTCTACAGTAATTTTTTTGTTGCTGGTGAATAGAACTGCACTGACCTCTGTATATTAACTCTCCATCCAGTTGCCTTGCTATACTCTCCTAATAATTCTAATAATTTGTCTACAGATTTTTTTTTGTTTCATTTTATGCAGACAGTTATATTATTTGTACATAGTGACAGCCTTACCTCTCCCTTTCCAATCATTTGTGGCCGAATGTCTTTTTCACTTATTAGGGCTGAAGTTGTGTTCTCTAAGCCCATGGGCTTCCCTCAGCCACAGCACTGATAGTTCTGTGTAATTATTGCCTGATCATTTGCCTATCTCCTTTACTAGCCTGAGAATTCTTAACAAATTGATTGGTCTCTGAATCTATGTTACTCGACACTGTCCTTGGGGGCTGTCCTTGGGAGCAGTAATATGCTAGGGGTTCATAGTAGAGCAGGTCATCACAGCTCTCCATAGCAGGGATGGCCATGTCTATTTTCCAGATGGGGAGACTGGCTCAGAGATTTAGTCATTTACCTGAAGCCATTGAGTTGTTAACTGGTTTGCCTGGGATTTGAACCTGGTCTGCTGGTTCCAACTCTCTTACCAGGCCCAGGACAAATGTCTGTTGAAGGATGTCAGGGCCCAGAGTGGATGCTTGGGAATAACAATAGCCACTTATTGAGCTCTGTGCTATGTTATATAAATAATTTACTTTTAATTTTTATTTACTTGTTTTATTTCACCACACCACAGATGTGGTCTATTTCTTTTATTTATTTTTGAAATTAAACATTTCGTCATACCACAGTACAGTTTATATAAATAATTTCATTTAATCCTCCTAACAACACTATAAGATGGGTACAATATTATCTGTCTTTTTCTTTTTCTTCAAGAGAAAAAGAAAAGTCTTGCTCTGTTGCTCAGGCTGGAGTGCAGTGGCATGATCATGGCTCACTGCAGCCTTGGCCTCCTGGCTCAAACAGTCTTCCTACTTCAGCCTCCCAAAATACTGGAATTACAGGTGTGAGCCACCACACCAAGTTTATTATCTCCTTTTTGAAATGAGCAAACAGACTCAGAGAAGTTAAGCAACTCACCATAGTAGCTATAAAGTGGAAAACCTTGGATTTGAACTCAGATTTAACTCCTAATACTTTTGTCTTAATCACTATTCTGTAATGCTTCCCCAGTGAACTGACAATTGAATGGGTTGGAGGAAGAATCGAGGTGCCTTCCTCAGTCTCCAGGGGGATTAGGAAGATCTCAGGGTTTTTTTTTTTTTCTTTCCCTGGAGAGGTTTGAGCATTAGACTTCTGGTTTTGGTTAACTCAGGAAGTCCTAGCCGTCTCTCCCGCAACATGCAGAGGCCCATTTTACATTCCAGGGCTCCTCAGCTGTCCTTAGGGGCAGTAATATGCTAGGGGTTCATAGTAGAGCAGGGTCATCATGGTAGCTACTGTCCTGGGACAGCCCTTATCAATTCAGGCAATTTTGGAGGTGGACTAAGACTTTTCTTTGGGTCCAAGGAATGAGCAGGCAGTTCTGATTCCTCAGGGATTATGGGGTCACTATCTACCCTAGCGACTTCCCCAGACTTGGCAGCAGATGGTCTGTAAGCCTTCACCTTGAGAATTCCCAAGAGACAGTCCCTCAAGGGACAGTCTTTGGCTCCTAGTCTTGTGCTGCATCCTTAAGGGGCTGGGAATAACCAGACCTAAGATTCAGGGGGTCACATTAATGAGCCTGGAATAGAGCCTAAGGGTAGTCAGGGGTGGGAGGAAATGTTACACTCTCTGTAGCAACATCTGTCCTATAATGCTATGGAATAATAGCAATGTCTTGTCCAGGAATCCTGAAATATTACTAGGGGAGATAATTCCATCTCAGACCTGAGCTATATGCTTTCTGCCATATAAGCATTATGGTTAACATTGAGCTTCCTGGAAGCTAGGGCACAAAGGGAACCACAATAGATATCAGCATTTAACTTCATGAAATTCTTGAAGTCCCATAAGATGTTAATAAGAGTGTCTGGAATAAGCAGTTCATTAGTCAAATAAACCTAGGAAATACTGCATATACTACACTCCATTCTGTTTGAGGAGTCCTAATGGCATTAAATAATGAAGGCTCTGACGCATCTTGCAGCAAAATTTATTTTTTACTCAGTTTCCCAAGTTTAATTGATCATGGAGCCCCTTTCCCATGGAAAATTTATTGACGTCTAGCAATAAATCAGCATTTTGAATAGTTCATTTTGGAAAATGCTTATTTATATGTTTTCCTTGTCAGACAAAAACATTTTCTTTCCTGATTTTAAATTCTAAGGAAGGGCTAAGTATACCTCGGTTTCCCTGCCAGTTTATTCCTGTTTGACTATTTGAACCTCCCTCTATCCCTGTAATTTTTTGTCCATACCCATGTCCTCAGGAGTTTCTATAGATTTAGGAAACCAGGGTAAGTTTCCTTGGTGGAAACCCAACTATGGTGATCTAACAAGTTTAGTGAGGTGAAGTCAAAATAAAGCTTTGGAGGTGAGGGTAATTGTGAAGCCCATTAGGGGTTGGCCCAGGAAATCTGGTGAGAAGGTATTACAATGTACAGCAGTCTCTTGAGAGTCTTACCCCAATATGAGGTGGTTTCTATACTTGGAGACAGCTGTGGTTTTAGCCTGTGGACTCTGGCGACCCCTTTCCACATTTCCCTGTTCACTGCTTTGGGGAAGATGGCCTTGAGGGGCAGAAAGGAGGATTATACCAAGATATGCAATAGTTGGAGACCTATTGGTCATTCTGGACGTGGCTTCAGCCTCTGCACTTTTAGGGATGAAAAACTGGGGGTCTTGGAACAGGCCAACAGAACAGCAGGTCTTTTCTTGTTTCCTCTGGGCACACAGAGTCCCCATCCCATAGCATCAATAACTGCCTGAAGCATGACTTGTCTCCCTGACTGGATTGGAGCTCCTCAAGGATGGGGGCAGCTTCTTATATTTCTCATGCCCCTTCCCCACCACACGAGGTGCTCATGCTGGGTGCTCATGAGCACATACCCAGCCAGCATGAGCACCTAGCGTGGTGGGGAAGGGACATCAGAAAGTGCCTGATCACTAACATTTATGCGTAGCTCAGGTTTTCTAAAAAGTTCCATAGACATAATCTCATTTGGGATTCACAGCAACACTGTGAAACATGTCAGAGATTATCACCCCATTTTATAGCCAAGGAAACAAAGTCTCAGAGAGGTGAAGTGATGCATCCAACTTCACACTGTTGGTAAGTAGCTGGTGGTCTATACGCTACATCACATCTGCTGCCTTTGGAAGGATTCACCCTGAGGTTCAATATAAGAGGATTCTTAGTCTAGGTAGGGGGCGGGGAGCTGTGTCTGGTCTTAGCATCCTGCGATTCTCTCCTCAGTGGAGACTGCCTCTTTTGACCAGCAGAGGGAAGCATGGAAACACAGAGCCTTCCAAAGCCTAGGACTGTTTAGGTTCACCCTCACAGTATGTGATTAGAGCCTCAGCAGAGTTCTAGGCAAAGAATACTGACTGCCATTTGCTGCACACCCACTCTGTGCCCAATTACTATAATACATATTATTTATAACTCCTAAAGCAGCTCTCCATGGCAGGGATGGCCATCTCTATTTTCCAGATGGGGAAACTGGCTCAGAGATTTAGTCATTTACGTGAAGCCATTGAGTTGGTAACTGGTTTGCCTGGGATTTGAACCAGGTCTGCTAGTTCCAACTCTCTTAGCAGGCCCAGGACAAACGTCTGTTGAAGGAAGTCAGGGAAGGGTCTTCTTCCCTCCCAGCCATCCTACTTCTCCAAGTTCATACCACACAGTGCTGAGTGCAGCTCCTTAGCTCAAGGAAGAGGTCATGCTGCAGTCCGCCTCCTACCTCCCAATTCTGTCACTGCTCAGCGTCTCATACCTTCCTTTCCTTTTTTTCTGCACCTCCCTCTACTTCTTTTCCATCCAAAGCTGGGACAGGCAGCAGGCGCATGGGGCCAGAGGCTGGAACACTGGACTGGGCTGAATCTGGATCTCTGGTCTCTGACCTTGTTGATTATCCTGGTCTTGCTGCTGTTCCCTCTGCTCCCCCAAACCCCTGCATCCAGGTACTCCTCCATGGCCACTGCCCTAATATAAGCCTCCATCATCTCTTGCCAGCCTTTCTCACTGATGTTCCACCCTCTGGTCCACCTGCATAAATTAATATCCCCATAATAATCATATTAATGAGGATCTAACTCCTCACATCGCTCCTCACATAGCAGCCAGAGTGGACATTACTGCCAATGCCTTAATTCCCTTAAAGCCTTCTGATGCTCCCCATGGCCTGTAGGGTAAAGCCCCAACCCTGCTCCATCCCTGCAAGGCCAGGGATGACCTGGGCTGGCCTGCCCCTCCAGCCTCCTCCCTCAGCCTGCCCCATCCTCATGCTCACTACCCCAGGTTTATCCAACAACTGGCCAGCTGTACTCCGCCTCAATGGCCTTGTCTACCTAAACTATGTTCCCTGCTAGGGAGTGCTCATTTATCTTTCCAGACTCATTTCTATGGCCCCTCTTCTAGAAAGGCTTTCATGACTTTCCTTTCCACCCTGGTTGGAACAAATTTCTTCTCCACTCCCCTCACCTTGGTCCCAGCAGCAAAAAATGCGTAACTGCCTTGATTTGTTCTGTGTCTTTCTTTTCCACTCATCTGTGAGCTACTGGAGGGCAGGGATCATGTTCGAGATAACTGTGTGTTCCCAGCCCTTGTGCTGGGCTGGCACACAGTAGTAGCTTAGTGGGTGAACTTGACCTCAGATGGCTTTACTGCTCAGGCCCATGGCTTTGGGTTCCTGCTGCTTCAATCTCCTCCTGGGTGATGGGAAAACATTGCAAAGATGCATGAAGAAAGAACTAGCCTCAGTGTCCCTGCTGGTCAGGGTTTTCCTTCCTCCAGAACCCAACACACAGTTAGGGCACACCTCCTCCCACCCTCCTCACCCTGCCATAGCCTGAGGGAGATCCTGTCTTTGAATTCTGCCTTGGTATAAGCTTTGAGGTCTATTCCCTCCTGCCTCCTTCCTCAACCACTTTCCTTTCCAAAAGTCTGCCCACAAGTCTTTATAAAATCTCTGTGTAGCTCCTGGCCTCTTGTATTACTCATCATCTTTTCTGTCATTTATCGGAAGAGAGGGAGAGGGACAAGATGAGGTTGGAGATAGAAGAAGGTGAGTAATACATTTATGTTCCAGGGCTTCCATCTTTTCAGTGAAGTGGAGAGCACTGATTAAGCAAAAGTAATTCCTCCTCTTCTGCACTTGCTGCTGGAAACAGTTGGGAACCTCAATATCTTCCTGAGGGAGGGTCCTAGAGGCAGCTGGCTAGAATAGTCAAGCCCCAGGCTTTTTCTGGGGGTCTTATTTTGGCAGAATCTAATTCACATTTTCTGCCCTTGTTGTGTCCTCTCCCACTGTCAGACACGTTTGTACTATGTATGGTTTGATTGTTTTATTATTAGGCACTAACCATGTTGTAGAGGAACCCATTTCGCAATCCATCTGTGCTGATTTTAACTGCCTGGCTTCGTTTGGGAGTTTTGATCACTGAAGAAACCATTACCCACTTCTGGGTGTGTCTGGCAGAGCTGTAGTCGGTCCCAATGCCAATTCCAGACACTCATTCCCAAGTCTGCAAATTGTTGTATCCTTTCTTGTAGTGACGCTCCCTCGAGCATCACAGATTTTACACATTTGTTAGATTTAAAGCAAGCATGTGCACCCTGTGGAAACAGAAACTCTGAAGAGTTCCAGTTGTCCTGTGTTACTCCATTGCTCACACAGTCAAATGCCTGGGGCATAGAGTAGTGAGTTCACTATGTACTGGGAGTGTCAGGCAGGCAAAACGCCATTGCTGTCCTGGGTTCCCCAGAGACTTCCAGCCTCTTGGATCACTCTGCCCTTTGGCACTCAAATAGAATCATCTGGGATCTAGTTCCACACATGGTGGGAAAACTAGCACAACCCTCACAATCAATATTTTCAGAGATTCTCAGAGGCTTATGTTTCTCCTGGTGATCTTTTGGTTTTTGTAGTGCTTTTAAACATGTCTGCAAATTCTTTGATACCCTTTCTATCAAGAGGTGGAGTTTAATTCTCCTCCCCTTGAATCTGGGCTGGATCTCATAATTTGCTTCTAATAAGCAGAAGGAAGAGGAAGTGATGCTGCTTGATTCTTGAGGTTAGGTCGTCAAAAAAGACGATTGAACATCTATTAGGCTCTCTCTCTTTGGATGCTTGCTTTGGAACCCAGCTGCCATGCCGTAAGGAAGCCCAGGCCACATGGGGAAGGCTTGTGTAGGTGTTCTGGCCAATGGCTGCAGCTGAGATCACAGGTAACATGTGAGTTACATGTAAGCGAGGGAACCTGTGGGAGGACTCCATCGCAGTCACCATCTAACTGCAACCTCTCTGCATCCTGGGAGTCTTTTCCTCTTCTTTTGCTGGTTGGTTCCATACACATCATTTCCCACTTTTTTGCTCTGGCAAAGCATCGCCAATGCAAGGTGAGTGTCTACAGTGGGTGATTTTGAAGATGTGGGGCCGGGGGTGGGGGGGTGGTGATTGCAGCAAAGGCCAGAACAAATGAGAATTTAAATTTGAGTACTACTCTTAACTTGAATGAAAATTCATAGGCACTCTGCATCACAGGGAATTCTTGCAGGTCCTGTCCACCCTTGCGTGGCAGATTTCTGCCATCATCTTGGGCCCCTCTTTCACCTGTTCCCTTCAATCCTCTTCTCCTTTGCCAGTTGCATTAATTTTTATTTTCATATGTAGAGTCATCCAATGTTAGATTCTTAGTCCATAAACTTAGGGCTGTAAGAAACAAAATGTTATCTCTCCACATTTAAACTTATTTTATTTTCCTAACTCCCTTTCTATAGGTGACAGAAAAAAATTTCAGTCTCTTTCTAGGGCACTGATCTCTTTCATGAGGGCTCTGCCCTCATGACCTAATCCCCTCCCCAAAGGCCCCACCTTGTAATAGCATCACATGATTGATGATGATTAGGTTTCAACACATGAATTTGGGAGGACACAAACATTCAGATGATAGCACCAGACTTGTGTCAAGCTCTAGGAGTTATGACAACATTGGTGAGACTGGGTTTCAGGGTGTCTAGTCTCATGGGGATGCCCTGAACTGTATACAGTTCTTTCTTACCCTTAGTTGTCAATTCATGGGGATAGCTCCTGTGTCACCTCTCATTTCCAACCAGAAGGCCTCTCCAGGCCCAACTCTGCCAGCTATCCCTGAACTCCACCTGAGTGCACGCAGCACTCTTTTTCTCCCCTGCCATTTGGTTGTTAAGATCATCAGCCTAGGAGCACTGTGCAGCCCCTTCTATTGCACCTTCATGGAGTGGTGATGGGCTTTGCGGCTTTCCTGGGTCAACTCAGAAAGGGCATGTGTCCTTTTAACTCTGTGAGCTCCTTGCAGAAGTAACACAGGAGCTTTTTCAAGGACTCATCAGTCTTCATCTCGTCTTCATTCTGGCTTTTTCTCTTTCCCTGGCTGCCCCCACTCAGTTCGGTCCTGGTTTCAGCTGCGGGAAAATGGCTCCAACCCATCATGTATTTTTCTGAATCTTCTATTTTTGTTGTAGAATTCATACTCCAAATCCTTCAAGGCTTAGGCATCTGAAGTTAAAAAGCTTGGGTTTTTGCAACTCAAAGTCTTGGCTTTTGAATCTTTAAATCAAGAATTTAATTCTGCAAAGAACCTCAGACTCAGCTGCTGGAGCAGGGATTGGGAAGGGAAGGGAGGAGGAGAGTGGTGCATAGATATATTGGGGAGTACCAGGAAGCAAACATCTTATGCAGTGATTTAAAGTCTCTTTAATCTGCTCATCTTACATTTAGCCTTTGGCCAAGGACATTTTATTTCAAGATTTACTTCTTATTGTTTTTCTGTAAGCAAAATAACATTCTATTCCTAATATTAATTCCACATTCTTCCTAGGACAATTGGCCCAGATTGCAAGTGACTGTTTAAAAATGACACATTCCCCCTTCCTGTTACATAATTATAAAACAGTGTAATAAGAGCTATGGTGGGAGTTGGCACCAGGGACTTAGGGGCAGAGACTAGGGAGAGACTGGTTGTGAGGGTGAGCTACAGAAGGCTTCCTGGAGGAAGTGACATTTGAGCTAGGGAGAGCATTTCAGGCAGAGGTTGCCCTGGACATGATGAGCAGCAGATGAGGGAGCATGAGGGTAGCCTGCAAGAATCAGCTTGTGTTGGGACTGGGGGGCAAAGAGTTTGGCTTCCATCCCTAGAGTAAGAGGTCTGAACCCATAGAAAGTTTCTAGGCAGGGCAGTGCCCTGATTCAAACACTTTCCTCTCTCCGCCCTCTCCTGCTATTTGCTCATCCCATTTTCCCCACCTGACCAGTGCCATTCTCTTCCTCATATGGAAATAATTTGTGGCTTTGTTCAGCCTGGCACCCTTTCTTCTTCCCCTCTACTCCTGAACTCTGCATCTAATAGCACTTTCTTTACAGCTGCCCTGAGTTTGCAGGCTTCTGAATACCCTCTTCTGTTTTCTACTCTCAAGCCTTTGCTCTTGGTGTTGTGTTCACCAGGAATACCTTCAAGCCCCTGTCTATCTGGCTGTCTCTTTTTGTTTTTGATGAAAACTTTTTTAAAAAATTATACTTTAAGTTTTGGGATACATGTACAGAACATACACGTTTGTTACATAGGTATACACATGCAATGGTGGTTTGCTGCACCCATCAACCCGTGATCTACATTAGGTATTTGTCCTAATGCTCTCCCTCCCCTTGCCCCCAACCCACTGACAGGCCCCAGTGTGTGATATTTCCCCTCCCTGTGTCCATGTGTTCTCACTGTTCAACTCCCACTTATGAGTGAGAACATGCCGTGTTTGGTTTTCTGTTCTTGCATTAGTTTGCTGAAGGTGATGGTTTCCAGCTTCATCCATGTCTCTGCAAAGGACATAAACTCATCCTTTTCTTATGGCTGCGTAGTATTCCATGGTGTATATGTGCCACATTTTATTTATCCAGTCTATCATTGATGGGCATTTGGGTTGGTTCCAAGTCTTTGCTATTGTGAATAGTGCTGCAATAAACATACGTGTGCATGTGTCTTTATAGTAGAATGATTTATAATCCTTTGGGTATATACCCAGTAATGGGATTGCTGGGTCAAATGGTATTTCTGGTTCTAGATCCTTGAGGAATTGCCAAACTGTCTTCCACAATGGCTGAACTAATTTACACTCCTACTAACAGTGTAAAAGTTACTCATTCTTCAGGTCTTGGTCTGGAGCTGTCTCCCCAAATCATGTCCAGGCCCCTCGCAGAACCAAGCCTCTCTCTCTGTGCTCCTATAAATATTTCTGATCTGTGTCTTCTCTAAAGTGTCCCAAAGTAGACCCCAGCCTAACCTTTGAGCTGTAGGCTGATTCCCAGCCCAGATCTGCCTGGGCAGGGTGGCTGAGTTGCTCCCTGGGGTGAATTCCTTTGGCAGAGGGAGCAAGAAAGAGGGAGTTGGTAGTACTCCCAGGCCCTGGAGTCTTTCTGACCCAAAGGTCGAGGAGTATAGAATTTAATAGGATTAGTGGGCAAACAATTAGGCAGCTACAAGGGTTTGACCCCAGGGAGGGGATTAAAAGTTGACTATAGGTTCTATGCATCTAGCTCTGGTCTGAGTCAGCAGATTTGGGTTCTAATCCAGCACCAATATTGATTTGCTGTGTGACCCTGGCAAGTCCCTTCCCTTGAGTCTCAGTTTCCTTACCTGTGATAGATATTATCAGCATATTATAGATATTCTTATCTATATAATGAAAGGATTGGACTACATGACCTGTCTCTAGATTCTCCTCCACAAATACTCTCCATAAGTACCATTCCGGGTCTGTTGGTGGAGACGGACTGGACTCCATTCCTATGTGGTTCTAACACAGTGGCAAAGTGGAAAGGATGGGCTTTGTGGCCAGGGTCACCCGGGTAAGTCCTGGCTGAATTGCCTTGGGCAACTGTCTTTAACGCTTTGAGGCTCAGTTTCCCCCTTTGGTAAATGAGGATGATAATTCCTATCTATGGAGAGTGTGTTATGATGGTTAAAGTGAAAAAAAATCAACATGTCTAAATATCTTGGTGCTCCAGGCATTATTGTAGTTGTGGGATATGATGAGGTTTCTCTTCAAATAATCTGATCAATATTTTATTCTTTAATTCTAGTACCCACCCCCACCTTTTTTTTCTCCTTTTTCCTTTTTGCCTTTGTTAGATGCCCAGGCACGCCTCAGTACCAAGGGTTATCAGTACCAGCTCACATTCCTTTCCTTATTTGGAAAGAGGACTAACTTTCCAGCTCATTACTTCCTTCCTCTCCACTTTCTTTTATGTGCCCATCCTATCTAAAAAAAATCAAATGTTTAGCCAACTGGGATTAGTTTAGATTGTATGAACCGACCCTGGCCAATGGGGAAAGAGTACAGGGGCAGGACTTGCATCAGGAATAAAGGCTCCCATGCCCTTTGTTCAGGTGTGCTCTCATGGCAACTGCCAAGGAAGCACCCCTCTACGCAGAAGTAAAATTGCTTTGCTAAGAATCCTTTGTTCGAGTGTTCAATTTCCTTAGGATTTCGAGCGTTATTCCTAACCTAGGGATTGCAATGATCAAGAGAAGGCTGTGGGGGCTCTCAGGAGGGAGGGGTTCACTCTGCTTTGGGTGGAGGTGGACTGGGAAGGTTTCCCAGGCTGGGCCTTGAAGGATGAAGATGAGCTCCTGATGGAGGCTCAGACTCCCTGTCACTGGTCACTGGGCTGAGCTTTCCATCCAGGTTGCGATTGTGGCAGGCCAGGTCTCACTAATAGCTGAGCAGGCAGGCCTCCATGACAACCGTTTTAGCACTGACTGAGTGGTTAAATATTAAAAGCTGATAGAGCCAGTGCCCTCATACAAAGGCTGGAATGTAACAAAAGCCCACCAAGAGTTTTGCCTAGGCCTTTCCTGGACCTTGAAGCATGACAAGATAATGAAGGAATTCTTAACAGGACCTCTTTAGGATTAAACAAGTTTTATTGGGGGTCTGAAGGAACTCCCCAGACCTCCACAAACTAGCTTTATTGGGGACTAAAGGAACTCCTCAAACCTCCATGATTTAGCAGGAGACATGATAAGGGTAATCACCGCAGCACCTGGACCCATTAGATTAAGTAAATTTACTGAGGCTCCAGAGGAAGGTCTTCAGGACTCAGATCTCAGTTATAGATTAAAAGAAGTTAATCACATATGTCTTTAGATGAATGCACACTTACACGTAGACATATAGCTTAGAAGGTGTATAAGCTTTGGAAAACTTTGTAATTTTGAGTTGGTCTGGTGATATTTTCCTGGCCTTCTCCCTGTACCCAGTTACAGAAATAAACTCCCTTCTTTCCCATTTCACCTGCATCTTGTTATTGGGCCATGAGAATAAGCAGCCTGACCCTTGGTTCAGTCTGGGAACACTATGAGAGTCCTCATAGGCTCTGCCCACCTGCTAAGGGTGGCTTCTCTCCCCCCGGATATGGCCAGCGCCCAGCCCCTACTCTTCTCTGCGTCCGTTCTCTTGATTGTCCCTAGGCTTCTCCAGCTGGCCACCATTTCCTAGTCACTTCTCCCGCTCAGGGCAGCCTCTCCTCTGCCCAAGGCCTGTCTCCTTCCACCCTGAGGAGCATTCTCAGAGCCCAATCCTCACCTACCCCACTCTCCTGCCTCTGCTTCACCTGGGCCTGGCTAGTTTGGCACCATAGTCCTCTTGTTCTCCTGCATGTTGGGACCTGGATCCATCTCTTATTTCCACCTCCGTCCTATAGTCACCACCTTATTCCTTTTGGCATGTAAAAATGCTCAGGTCTCTCCATTTTTAAAGTAGGGAAGCCTTCCCTGGACCCTTGATGCTCCTCTGTTACTCCCCTTCACAGCCATACTCAGAAGAGTTTGTTGTTGATGTTCACATTCCTTACCTCCTACTCACATTCCTTACCTGTAGGGAGACCCCCTGAAACTATTGCTACGGAATAAAAGATGAAATGCTCCTGATTATTGTAAATACAAAATTGCATGCAGGATTGTGTAAAGACAATGCCAGCTTGGACTGCCAGAATGAGCCAACAGTGCGTGATGTGCTTCCCCCTGCAGAGAGCCTATGAATGGACGTGCAGTCAGGGAGGTTTCACATCACCAAGACTCCTATCCCAGAAAAGCAGATGTTCATAGCTCTGGGAATGGAATGCCACCCTGGTGGAGAGCGTATAAATGGACGCATGAGGGGCGCCTGTCCATATGGATAAGATAGGGCTATAAATGCCCTCATCTTGCCACGGCTCTTCTAGGCCTCTTTAGGGTTAAGGCATACTCCCTTCTGAGAATTTCTGGTCTAACCGGTTGTCTAGCTTGACGTCCTGTTTCTATGGATTGTTTGTAACCAGCTTTTGCTGCAACTGTTACTGCTGATTAATATCTTGCTAATCATAGGTTATGGAAAGCCTGTGTTTCTGTTTTAAGGCTCTGCTAGAAATTACTGATGCACACACTATATTGTAAATTCTTATCTCTGTATAATGTACTTCTGCATACAGATGTTATGTTAAAAAATTACTTCATCCCCATGTGACCATCTCACCTCATAATCAAATGACCCTAAATCCCTCACTAACCTACCCCCACCCTCACTAAACTTAATAATAAATGCTGGTATATCCAGTGCATTGGTGGCACCAAGGGACCAGAAGGCGGTGACTCCCCTGGACCCAGCTTTCACTATTTTGTGTGTGTCTATTATTTCTCCACCTGCCAATCACCTGGGAACAAAGAGAGCCCCATTGCATTGCGGGCTGCTGGCCAGATCCTGCAATACTTACCACTGTTCACATTCCTTACCTCCCACTCACTCTTCTATCCACTCACTCCTCCATCCACTGTTTTCTAATTTCTGGCCCCAGAGTCATTCTGCTGGTGTGGTTCTGACCCAGGTCGCCAAAACAGCCCCACTCCTCCTGCTTAACAGGATGTTAAGTGAAAACAACTGCTTAATACAATTAAGCAGTTTGTCAGAGCAAACAAGGTTCTGAGCACAGCTCTTTTTCTAAAGGTGCTCAGCTTCTACCACCAAGCCTGAGGGCCAGGCAGTGTTTCCTGACCACAAAAACAGAGCTGTTCCCAGGGCAGGGTGGGAGACCAAACAGGGAGACAAAGGTACTTAGCAAGCCTTCGCATTTTTGAAATTCATCCTAAGCCTGAGTGCTAATCACCTGAGCTGCCAAAGGGCAGGGGCAGAACCCACAGGATGGTATTACTGTAACCTGAGCTCTGTTAATTTGATTACCTGCCCCGACCTGCACCTGTGCCAGCAATTCTTGGTTGTCCTTGCGGGAGATTGGGTCACCTGCCACCATCTGGCTCAAAAGTGAGTCCTGTTCCCTGAACTAGAGAGGAAGGAGCTTCTGAAAGCATTGACTTAGTTACCTTCCTCTCCCCTACTGATGGGAGCCCCAGCCCCTGCTTGCTATGAGATAGTGGGGAGCTCACTCATAGCTCAGAGATACCTCCTTGGCAGGTTGGTTGTGTAATGGCCATGGCATGCTGAGAGTTTTTAAACTGCTAGCTCCTGTTCTCTTGTCCCTTCTGTGTCTCCAGGCAGTGTGGCATGTTGACATTTTTCTTTCATTGCATCTGATACCAAGCCTGTTACATTTTTGATGAATCCCTACAGTTGGCTGAGCTCTGTCTTGTAGTTCAGGGGAAACCCAATGGAATTTCCACTAACATGTCCAGAGCACCTTCTATCTATGCACTTGCAAATTAGATGATAGCATTTAATATTCACAAGAACCCTGGTTGGAATGAGTGGTATGTTTTGGGAGTGGGGTGGGGAGTACCTAGAGCACTTGTTTTCTGCATTTTTATAGCAAGTACTATGCTTTTCTTAAATTGTATATCTGAGGAATGCATTGGTGGGAGGCTCTTGAAGATTAATGGGGGTGGGCTGACACACCATGATTGTATGCATCTGTAGCCCTTCCGCTACTCTCCCCTTACTCAGCTGAGTCCAACATTGCCCCCTTACCCTCCACTCCCTTCGCCAGGGGTCCTATCATCTTTCTTCCATTTTATTTTGTACTATTTGCCCCACCTTTCTGTGTTTCTTTTTCTTACTTTCCTTGCTTTCTTTTAGAGTGATTGAAATATTTTCTCAATCCATCTAATACCTACAAGTTTGAAAGTTTCAAAATCATATTTTCAAGTGGCTACTTAGGAGTTTTAACATGCATACCTCAGATAACAAAGTCTAAAGTTAAAGTTTATTTAATTAGATAAATTAAATAAATTAAATTTAAATTATGGATACTTTGTTCCCTTCTGAAAATTCAAGGACCTTTGAACACTTTAACTCTCCCCCCAGGCCTATATATGATTACTGTTGGCTATTTTAGTTCTATCTTTAAAAAAAAATTCCACAGACATTATTATTGTTGTTTTACACAGTCAATGTTTATTTAAATTTACCTGTGCATTTGCCACTTTCTCTACTCACCATTGCAATTCAGACTTTCCTTCTGGGACCGGCCTTCTTTTTTGAATTATATTCTTTAGACTTTTCTTTGGTGAGGGTCTGTTGGTGACAAACTCTCAGCTTAATATTTACCTGACAATGTCTTTGTTTCTTCCTTATTCTTGAAAGATAATTTTTCTCCATATACAAATCTAGGCTGACAGTTATTTTCTTTTAGACTTTGAAGTTATTCTACATCTTCTGGTTACACTGTTGCTGTTGATAAGAAAGTCACTAGTCTAATTGTTCTTCCTTTGGCTACATGCAGTGGCTCATGTCTTTAATTCCAGCACTTTGGGAGGCCAAGGTTGGAGGCTTCCTTGAGCCCAGGAGTTTGAGACCAGCCTGGCAACATAGCGAGACTTTGTCTCTACAAAAAATAGGGAAATAAGTCAGGCTTATTTCCTGTAGTTCCAACTACTCAGGAAGGCTGAGGTGGGAGGGTCGATTGAGCCTGGAAGGTCAAGGCTGCAGTGAGCTGTGATCATACCACTGCACTCCAGCCTGGGTAACAGAGTAAGATCCTGTCTCCAAAAAAATTTGTTCTTCTTTTATTGGTGATCATCTTTTTTTCTTCAGATTCACTATGATGTATTGAGATGTGGATTTCTTTTTTGATTTAATTCATTTAGAATTTATTAAAGACTTGAATCTGAAGATTGTTGTCTTTTATTAGTTCTGAAAATTCTCACTTATTATTTCTTCAAATTGTCTCTTTTCCTTGCACTCTCTCTGCTTATTCTAGAACTCTGATCAAATGTAGATTAGCTCTTTTCAGTTTTTCTGCATGCTTATTAGTTAATTTCCTGTATTAAAAAAAACCTCTGTGCTATATTGTAGAACATTTTCTTATATTTCTCTTCTAGTTTATAATTCTCCCTTTAGCATAGTTTTATCTGTTATTAAAATTATCTATTCAATTTTTAATTTTAATTGGTATGTTTTTCATTTTTAGAAGTTGTATTTGATTCCTTTTCAAATATGCATTGGTATTCTTTAGTTTCTTGCTCCTTACTGTTAAATAAAATTTATAGGAGGCTGTTGATTTGGACTGTGCCTCCTTCACCTTTGGCTGTGAGTAAAAATCTCCTTGAAGCTTCACCAGAAGCCAAGCAGATGCCAGCACCATGTGTCCCGTAAAGTCTTCAGAATGATGATCCAATGAAAACTCTTTTATTTATAAATTACCCAGTCTCAAGTATTTATAGCAATACAAGAATAACCTAATATACCCATCCCCAGCTCCTTTCCCCCAACTTCAGAGGGTGAAGAGTCCCTCCTCCTGTTTAAGGCCAACTCTCCACATGTGACATAGACTCCATCCTTCCTACTTCTCCTGGGCTTGTGTCATTGTTCATCCCCTCTCTTCTCTGCTTTCTATCTTCTCTCCAGCCTGTAAGCTTGTCCAAGTCCCCCCAGCACTTGCCAAATCCCAAAACACTCACCTGACACCACATTCCTTCCAAATACCACCCAGATATCTGCCCTCCACTTCTTATCTATAGGTCTTGGAAGAGTTGTCTATATACCCTGACTTCTTGTCTCTACCAACATCCTGTACTCATGCTTCTACCCCCATCTCCACTGACATGGTGCTTTCCAAGGTCACCAATGACTTCCTAAATCCAGAATCCTAGGGATACTTTTCGTCCTTGCAGATTTCTTGGTGGCTCTGCACCCAGTGTTCTTCTTCACTTCCTCTTTTATTCAACTAGTATTTATTAAGTGCTGTGGAGATAGTAGTGGAAGAAGACAGTCATAATCCCTCTCCTCATGGAGCTTAAATTCTAGTCGGGGATACAGGCATTGAACAAGCAAGTGAAAATAATTGCTGAGAGTTATAAAAAATAAGTGCAAGTTCTTGCAAAAGTACAGAAAACAGCTGAACTCAGCTTTTTTTTTTTTTTTCAGGAATTCATAGAAACTTTCCTGGAGGAAGCAATGTTTAAACTGAAAGATAACTCAGACTTTTCAAAGAGAAAGGAAAGAGGATTTCTGGCTGAGGGAGGAATATGTGGGAAAGCCTGAAGGCAACAAGGAGCAGTGTGCTCTGGAAGACCTGAGTTGGAGGCAGTATCAAGGGAGGGTGGAGGGAGAGCATAAGCTGGGTGGGGAGCAGTCGCTGGATTGAGCAGTTCCATGAGGGCTGAGTTAAGGACTTCCCCTTTGGCTGAAGGGCAAGGGAAGCCATAGAAGAGGTTTAAGCAGAGGAGTGATGTGGCCAAATCTGCACTCTGGAAATACTACTGGTTGTGGCATGGGGTATGCATCTGACAGAAGCCAGAGCAGATTTGGGAGGACCCGTTAGGAGACCATTGCAGTAGTTCATGTAAATATGATAGTGGGGTACACTTAGGCAATAGTAGTGGGATGGAAAGAAGTGGATGGATTTGAGAGCTCTTTGGAAAGTGCAGTCTGCTGAACATCCTGACAGATTGCATTCCAAATGCTACTCTGAGAAAAGTAGTGGATAGTGGGGCCATTCACTGAGATGTGGTACGCAGGTGAGGAACAGTTTCAGTTGGGGGTAAGAACATTGAGTTTGCAGTGCCTGGAACACAGGTGAGTGGGGATGTCAAGCCTGAATGTGGATATATAGAGTTTAGAGGAGTGGTTTGGGCAGGAAATATACACTTGAGAATTGTTGGCATACAGGTGGGAATGGGGAATTGTCCCCAGAGAGAATGCAGAGGAAAAGGGCAGGAGGCCTGAGACAGAACCCTGCAGCCACCAACATTTAATGGTCTGGTGCAGGGTATAGTAGTCAGCCTCTAAGATGGATCTTAATGTCTCTGCCTCCTGGAACTTATATCCTTGTGTAGCTCCTGCCACATTGTACCAGGCTGCAACTGTGTGACTAATAGAATATGGCAGAAGTGATGACACATCACATCTGAGACAAACTGAGACAAATGATAAAAGACATGATGGCTTCCTTTTTGGTTGCTCTCTATTTTTTTCCTTCCTTCCTTCCTTTCTTTCTTCCTTCCTTCCTTCCTTTTTTTCTTTCTTTCTTTCTTCTTCTTTTGTTTTTTTGACAAGGTCTCACTCTGTTGTTGTCCAGGCTTGAGTGCAGTAGTGCGATCACGGTTTACTGCATCCTTGACCTCTCAGGCTCAAGCAATTCTCCCACCTTTGCCTCCAGAGTAGCTAGGATGACAGGCACATACCACCACACCTGGGTTTTTTTTAAAAAAAATTTTTTTTTCGTAGAGACAGGGTCTCACTATGTTGTCCAGGCTGGTCTTGAACTCCTAGGCTCAAGTGATTCTCCTGCCTTGGTCTCCCAAAGTGCTGAGATTGCAGGTGTGATCCACTGTGTCACTCCTCTCCTGTGCTTTCTCTCTGTCTTGAATCACTTACTGTGGGGGGAAGCCAGTTGCTACGTTGTGAGCAGCCCCAGGGAGGGAGCCCCATGGTGTGGAACTGAAGCCACGTGTCACCAGCCCTTTCAGGTGACAGCAGCCTCAGCCAACAGCTTGGCTGCAGCCTTATTAGAAACTGCGAGCCAGAACCATTTACCTAAACTGCTCCCCAGTTCCTGACTCTCAGAAATTATGTGAAAAAATGATTGTTGTTTTTAGCTGTTAAGTTTTGGGATGGTTTGTTCTATAATAATAGATAATGAATACAGAGAAGAAGGAGCCAGTAAGGGGACTGAGAAGGAAGAGCCACCAGGTGCTTCTGGATGGAGAGGCTGTGTGCTGATTAATTTTATCTGTTAACTTGACTGGGCCACGTGGTGCCCAGATATTTGGTCAAACATCATTCTGGGTGTGTCTGTGAGGATGTTTCTAGTTAAGATTATCATTTGAATCCATAGACTGGACAAAGCCAATTGCCCTCCCAAATGTGAGTGGGCCTCGTCTGATCAGTTGAAGCCCTGAATAGAACAAAAGGGCTGAATTAAAGGGAACTCATGCTGCCTGACTGCCTTCTAGCAAGGACATCACTTTTTCCTTGTCTTTGGACTTGAATTGAGTCTTGAGCTTACTGGCTTGCACTGGAGTTACACTGTCACCTCTCCTGGTTCTCAGGCCTTTGGACTGGGACTGGGACTGGGACTGTATCATTGGCTTTCTTGGGACTCCAGCTTGCTGATAGCAGACCTTGGGACTTGTCAGTCTCCACAATCCATGTGAATAAATTCCTTATAATAAAGCTTCCTCTGTCTCTATGTTCATCCTGTTAGTGCTGTTTCTCTGGAGAATCCCAGATAATACAAGCTGCTTCTCCCTCATTACAGCTGGGTAACATGGATAGTGCTAGAAAAAAAAGATAAAGCCAAGGAGGGTGGCCAGCCACTGTGACCATCCTGCCAGACTGTCTGCTGTGACATCCTCCTGCCAGCTTCGTGAAGGCAGCCATGTGAGCTCCTAGTGGCTCTTTGCTTCCCCACTGTCCTTTCCTCTCCATTGCTTTGTTGGAGCTGGAGTTTGCTTTTCCCTTTGACTCCAGGTTGTACCCTCTGGGTGGACCTAGAAGATTAGAGAAGGCCCTGGGGTTTTTCCCTAAGACCTTGCCTTCTGGCCACAGAGCTCAGGACCCTCTGGCTACTGCAAGCTCCCTTGATTCTTCAGATTTCTGAACTAATACAGCTTCTAAAACTATTGCTGCTCCAGGCTCCCTCTGTGTAAAGCCCTGAGTAATGTATATCTCCACATGGACAGCTCACAGACTCCTGGTTGCCAGGGACCCCATCCCATGAGCTCTGGCTTCCCACTCTGGGCTCCATCACTAGAATAGCTCAGATGTCTCTCCTCCCTTCCCTGTGTAATTTTCCACCGGGGCTTCCAGCTCTGCTAGGGGACTTTCAGCCTCAATTAATGCACAAATCTACAGCACAAAGTTCTCTTTGCAGCTCTTTTGGTGACTTGATAACAAAGTCCCTCTCCTCTCTAGGACTTACCCATAGAATGAAAGACTTATTGCTAATGTTCTCAGCTCTGAGCTCTATAATTCTGATGGTAAGAAACTGATTAACCGACCATAGGCTGAAATGATGAGGGGTGAGGATGGGGACATTGTCCTGCATACATCCATAGACAGAGCAAGTTTGAGGGAGAGATCTCAGATTCTGAAGGAGGCTTCAGGGGCTTCATGGCAAAGAGAGCTGTCTTCATTGCACAGTGTGGTACTTGGCAACTCTGAGCAGCAGTCCCACCCTACTACCAAACTGGAAGCTTTCGTGATGCTGGAGGCTGTGAGATGCTGGGAGTTGCTGAGATGGCAGTTGTGGGTTGGCTGGGAGTCAGGACTCTGAGCTCTCCTTCCAGCTCTGCCCAGGATGCTCTGGGCCATGTCAGCCAGAGGAAGTGGTTCTCAGCCTGTGGCCCCTAAGCTGGGAATGGGGTCTTCTAGCAATTTCCATTCAAAAGGCAAAAGGCACTACTTACTTTCTAACTCCTTTTAATATCCCTGCGAGATGGTTGCATTTCCTACCTCCCCAGTCTCTGAGAGTGCCCTTTGCTCCTCCCTGGGCCTCCTGCTAGTGTGATCATTTCGGGAAATCTCCAGGAGCTTGCTAGAGTCCAAAGACCATTCTGGTTGTGTTTAACTCAGATGGGTTCCCTTGGAGCCAGAGGGACACCATAACTGCCACTAGAAGCTCAAGAGACCACCTCTTCATGGCCACTGCCACCACTGTTTCAACTTGTCACTGAGTTATGCCCCATCTGAGGCTGCTCCAAGCCCTGCCATGGAGCTACTGCACACATCACCCCTGCCAAGGTGGTGTTTTAAATCTAACATTTAAATTATGAGACAAGATGTCAAACAAACTGAAAATACAGAAAATAATTTAACAGAAACTTATGAACCTATCTTCTAGATTTAACAGATGTGAATATTTTGCCCTATTTGTCTCAGATGTCCCTTTCTATCTTTTTTTTTTTTAAAGATGGGAGTTTAGCTCTTGTTGCCCAGCCTGGAGTGCAGGGCTGTGATCTTGGCTCACTGCAACCTCCGCTTCCCAGGTTCAAGCAATTCTCCTGCCTCAGCCTCCCAAGTAGCTGGTATTACAGGTATGTGCCACCATGCCCAGCTAATTTTGTATTTTTAGTAGAGATGGGGTTTCACCATATTGGTCAGGCTGGTCTCTAACTCCTGACCTCAGGTAATTTGCCCACCTTGGCCTCCCAAAGTGCTGGGATTACAGGCATGAGCTACTGTGCCCGGCACCCTATCTTTTAAAAGCAGTTAAACCCTAGATACAGCTAAAACCCTACCTAATTATCCCTCTTCATTCCTTCTCTCCATAAAAATCTAATCTGAAATTAACGTGTATTGTTTCCATGCATGTTTTAATATTTTTTCTACATACGATGTGTGTGTATAATGCATAGTGTTGTTTTTGTATTTTAAAAATTTACATAAATGTTTATGTGTTTTTGCAACTTCCTTCCCCACCCTCCACCCACTTAGCTTTGTTTTTGAGATGTATTCTTACTGAGATATGTAAACTGGTTGATTAATTTTAACCACCATATGCTATTCCATTGCAGGGATTATTCAGTTTATATATCAATTTTCCTACTGAGGGGAAGTTGGGATATTTCTCCTTTTTTTTTTTTTTTTTTTTTTTTTTTTTTTTTTTTACCATTGCAGGCACAGCTACAAGGAACACCCTTCATTGGTCTCTGGGTATAATTATAGGAATTGGGTATGTGGCTAGAAGAAGAATCACTGGGTGGTGAGGTTTGTGCTTCTGCAAGTTTACCAAGCATTGCCACAGTGCTCTTCAGTTTATACTCCTCATAGAAATAGGTGAGAGTTTTTTTTTCTCCACATTCTGAACTCTTGGCATTGTCAAACTTGAAGATGTTTGCTAATTTGTTGAATGTGAAATGAACTTTCATTCTGGATTAACTTTTCATTTCCCTAATTTCTAGTGAGGTTAAACATTTCTCCATGTTTTTGGCCATTGATATTTCATTTATAAATTGCCTTTTTATGTTTTTTGCCCATTTCTTAATTGGTATGTTTGTCTTTTGCTTATTATTTGTAAATCTTTATATATTTTGGATGCTTATATGCTTTTTAAATATCTGATTCAGTCTGTGACTTGTCTTTCAATCTTGCTTATTAAATACCTTTTGTCATACACAAATTTCAAATTTTAATGTGGTAAAATTTATCCATTTTTTTCTGATCAGATATATCAATTTTTCCCTTATGGTTTAAAAGTTTTAAAGCTTTAACAAATTAATGTTTAGGTCTTTAATCCATTTGGAATTTTTAAGTATGATATGAGAGATCTAATTTTCCTCATTTTCATGTGGATAGTCAATAGTTATAGCATCATCTATTAATACTTAATTTATTCACACTGATTTGTAATGATACTTTCATCTTACATGAAGTTTTAACATGTTAGTCTTTCTGTTCCATTGTGACATTACCACACTTCTAAATATTATTATAGCTTTGAAAAGTCTTGATATCCCTATGAAGGCAAGTTCACTCTTACTCTTTTTCCAGTTCTTCTGGCTATACTTAGCCATTTATTCTTCCATAAGAATTTTAGGACCAGCTCAGTAAGTCCCACAAAAATTCCTGTTACTATTTTGTTTGGAATGGCATTGAAATTATGGATTACTTTAGGAAGAAGTGCCACCTTTGTGATACTGAGTCTTCTCATCCATGGATTTGGTATATTTCCCCATGTATTCACTTCTTTATACCTTAGTGGCTGGTGAGATGGGGATTAGGTTCCTTTCTTTAACAAACTCACAGGGTTTTGTGAGAATCCATGGAGAAAATGCTTGAGAAAATGCTTTCCAAAGTCTGTAGTTGTGCACATGTTTGTTGCAGCCTTGGCATATTATTAAGATCAATGAATTTCTGGTCCCTATCTCCCAGAAATTACAATTCATTAGAAACAGGCCATCAACTTTCCTAACAAGTTTTTCTTGCTTTTTTCCCCCTCTTAATTCAACTCAATAAGCACTTACTGACTTAACTATGGATGAACTGGTGGCCAGCCATCTCAGTATGCTCAAGACTTTGCTGATTTTACCACTGAAAGTTTCTGTGTCCTGGGAAACTCTTAGTCCCAGGCACATTGGGATGGTTGGCTACTGAGTTCTGTGCTAAGCCATGGGCCACCAGAGAGTTGAATTAGATAAACCCCTGCCTTTGAGTGGGGGAGGGGTCTTGGAGGGCCTTGGGAGGTACGATTGGAGAGTGAGGGGAGGAGAGCTTGTGAACAAATGCACTTTTATATAACAGACTAAATACAGGAAGGGAATCACAAACAGCCAAGCACAGCAGTGTGGCTGTAGGAATGAACTCTTAGAGGACTTCCTGGAGGAAGGGCATTGGTTATGAAAAGCATAGAATTAGGTAGGCAAAGGTTAGGGGTTAGAGGAGACAAAAAGTCAATTTTGCTTTTCTCTCAGCTGCTTTCAGTCTCCCGATTTTGTGCTAACTCTGCTCTCTATCTCAGGTGTAAGATATTGTTAAGACGCACTATCTTAGCATGAGACGGGACTTCTTCCAACCCTCCTATGGAACAGATGGGCAGACTGAGGACCTGAGAAGGAATCTACTTGCCCAGGATCACACAGTGAGTCCATGGCAGAGGCTGGCCTGGATTCAGCTCTCTAGCCTGATACACTGCCTAGCACACCACAAACTGTTTATTTCAGGAGCCTGATCTTATGCCCTTAGCCAAAGGCTCTAGGCTGCTCTGGAGGCAGACACCTGGCTTGCCTTACTGGGATCGTACTTGAATGGAACATAGCCAGCTCCTAGGCCTCCTGATTCTGTTTGTCCTGCCCGCATTCCACAGCCCTCTGTCTCCACTTCACACACACTCAGGCTCAAGTACCAGCCAGGGGCAGCTGGGATTACTCTGAAGCAAGTCTATTTCATGGGACAAGCTGTTCAGGAAGCAAGGAAGCCCTAGAATCCATGCTAGAGGCTGCCTCACTCATTCTTCTTTTATCGATCACCACTTACCCCAGAACAACTGCAAGTGAGAATATTAAGCTAAAATGTGCTGAGCTGTCAATGTGGGAGCTAGGTGCTTTGCACACATTATCTCTTTTAATCCTCCAAGCAACTTTACGGGTTAGAGGTGATGATAACCTCTGTTCTAAATCTCAGATTAGCAACCTGAGATTTAGAGAGGTTAAGAAACTTGCCCAGGGTTGGATTTGCATCTCAGGTCAGTCAGAAAGCCAAGCTGATGCTCTTAACTGAAGCTTAACTGACCGTCCCAGGCAGCTAGTATGCCTGATGAGGAGGTGGCGGAGCCGGGCATGGCTTTGATGGTGAGTGGCCTGAATGCCAGGCTAAAGGTTTAGCTTTTTCTTGGCCACCCCAGCCAGGCCCCTGAAGGCAGAAATGATTGAACTTTATATGGAAGATGCCAAATGGGGTGGGATTAGATAGGGCACAAAGGGTACGGTGTTAAGAGTCCACAGACTGGAGCCCACCCTCCTAGGGAACATGCCCTCCTACCTGGATTTCTCCAGAGGGGAGCAGAGCCCTCTCTGCCAGGGGTCAGACTGCCAGTGGGTCCAGCTATCTCCCAGGGGGAGCCACTCAGGAAAAGTGCTGAGTCATCATCCTTAGTGAGCGATGGAAGGGAAAAGGAGAAAAGAAGAGAGGGAGGGACCGATGGGGAGGGAGATAAACAAGGAAATAAGTCCTGTTGTAATGCCAGATGGAGCTTTCTCTGATGTGCCAAACATACACCTTTCCCCAACCGGTTCTGGAGCAATCGAGAAATACTGTTATCTCTTGTCTTGGTATCTGGGAAACTGGGTATTTACATGGGGGATTCCAAGCTTCACGATTTCCCAGGACCAGGCTGGAAGAGCTGCCCATTGACGCAGATCCATTGTACTATCAATGCAATAAAATGGGATTAGCACATATATTAAGCACCAGCATATAAACCCCACCCTCTGTCTTCCGACCCTTGTCACCTCAGCACCCTCCACCCACAGTCACATGACCATATGTCTTCATTTTAGTTCCCCCAAAAGCAGAGCTTGAGGGAAAGACTTGTTTGCCTGTAGTGATCCCAGGGAATAGGAGTGAGGGGCTCAGGAGGAACCCACAGGGAAAGCTGTTACCTGCTGGAGACAACCAGGCTTAGTCATGCTAGGAACCCTCTGAGGAACTGTGTAGAATCCACCTTAGAACTATTTGCCTGAGGCATGGAAAAGGAGAATGTTTATTTATCCACTCTTCTCCTGTTTTCCACTGGTCAGGGGTTGCAGGGATGTTAACTCCCTGGCTCTACCAGGTGTATGGGATCCCACCTGTGCTGAAATGGCTGAGTGGGCTCCTACTTGGCAGCAGGAGGGAAGTCCTAGGGCAGAAGGCAAGAGAGATGAAGTGAGGTAAGGTGCCCATAGGCTACACCCACATACAGCTGGCTGCTACAGCAATGGTCAGAGCAAAAAGGTGGGCTGAGGGGTGTGCAATGGAGCATAAAGTTTGCCAAAATTGACACATCACAGTGCACACTGGAGGGCACTTCCTAGACACCATCTGATTCACTGACATGGGACAAGCTGAGGCACTGAAAGCAACAGGGTTTCATCTGAGGTCACTTAGTGAGCCACAGGCAGACTCAAGACCAGAACCCACATTTTCTGATGCCCACACAAAGGTCTTTATTTTTCTGGGCTTACACAGGTGTGCTCTTCCCAGGAACGCAGTCAATTGGTAGGCAAGGGAATGCCTGCATTTTGGACTGGGCTCCTGGAAATATGGAGAAGAATTTTTTTTGTTGTTGTTGGCAGAACATTGTCAGAATGGGAGCTCCTCGTCTCTCTTGTGTATTAATTTATTTCAAGTACTTCAATAAATAGCAGTACTTATTTTATAGGTGCAATAGTAGGTGCTTGGTAAATACATGTTGATGAATGAACGAATGAATGAGTTTGAAAACTGATAGGAGAAAAGTGGTTTCTCTCCTCTTATATGCAGGTGAAGGAAATCTCTTTGATGTTTACCTTTCAAGCACTGGCCCATCTTTGTTCACTCGCTGCGACTCAGGCAGGCTGTTTTCTCTGTTCTGTGGTGCAGGTCTCTCTCTACCCTTCTCCTTCCATTTGCCAAGACTGTACCCATCCTTCCCAGGGATGCATCTCGTACTCATTTCCTGCAGAGTGTGACACAGCCACAGCTTGCAGTTTCACATGGAATCTAAAGTATCCCACCATCCTGGGCAGAGGGGCTGGGGACTGGTGTCCATGGGAGGGCAGGGATTCTGAGTCACATCATCCCCATTGTGCTGTATCTTTAGCTGTCCTTGTGGCAGAGCCATCTTTGGGGTGGATTGGAGCACCTTGGAAGAAGGTTGCCATGCTCTCTGGAGCCTCAACTCAGGACAAAGCCTGTAGAATGGCTGACTTCTGTCCAGCCCAGCTGCTTCACATTCCTCACTACCCTCCTGCCCTTCCCATCTCCACCCTCCACCCTTTTCCCCTGACACTTTCAGGACCAAGGTACTCAGCTAAAGCTGGTTGGGATTGCTCACAAACAAGTACAACCTAGATGGAAGGAGCTGGGCAAACTACAAAGATCAAGAAGTCTCAGATGCCCAGACAGGGAGTGACTTGCCTTCTTCCCCCTACCCACGTTGGGCGCTAACTGTAGCATCTCTCACACGGTGCATCAGTTTTATAACATGCATAGAACATTGCCATGATCACAGGATCCTTATGACAACTATGTGAAGAAGGCCATGTGAGCAGGAGAGACAGGTTGTGGGCCAGCACAGAGGACAGGGATGTGTCAGAGGCACCAGGTGATTCAAATGTGCAGCCAGGGTCAAGGATACCACTCTGGACACATCTTTTCTTCCTCTGAATATTACCTGGCTTTGTCTCCTCTGTCAAGAATTCACATTCAGTTTGCCTGACATCCCTGGGAGATTGAGGTATGGGTCCCTTTGAGGACAGTGGTGAGGTTTGAGCCCACCAAGCAGCAGCTACTGGGATCCAGTCACAAGAAGTGCTGACTGCATCAACCAGAAGGGCATCAGTACAACATTTCCAATATATTTCACATTGGTCAGTAAACCTTTCCTCACCATCTCCTCCCCATCTCCAGCTATAATAGCCAATCTCTTCAACATTCTTTCAACAAACTGTGAAAGGAAAATAAATCTTGGGGCCCCAAAATCACTAAGCTAAAGGGAAAAGTCAAGCTGGGAACTACTTAGGGCAAACCTGCCTCCCATTCTATTGAAAGTCATCCCTCTGCTCACTGAGATAAATGCATATCTGATTGCCTGCTTTGGAGAGGCTAATCAGAAACTCAAAAGAATTCAACCATTTGTCTCTTATCTACCTATGACCTGGAAGCCCCCTCCCTGCTTTGAATTGTCCTGCCTTCGGCCTTTGCTTCGAGTTGTCCTGCCCTTCCAGACAAAACCAATGTTCACCTTACATATGTTGATTGATGTCTCATGTCTTCCTAAAATGTATAACACCAAGCTGTGCCTTGACCACCTTAGGCACATGTCCTCAGGACCTCCTGAGGCTGTGTCTTGTGCACCTGTCCTCAATCTTGGCAAAATAAACTTTCTAAATTAACTGAGACCTGTCTCAGATACTCAGGGTTCACATTTTGATAACCATAGAGGGATTCTGAGTGAAGGTGCCCCTGAACTTTGACAAACCTCCCATTGGTGCATGGTACCAGCATGAGCTAACTTTATGGCTCAAACCGGCAGGACAATTTACTAAGGTCTGGGAGCACCCCTTCCAGAGAATCCTTGATCTCCCAAAATTTGGTGGAAATTTAAAGTTTACTTTTCTGCACAACTCCCCACCCTCACCCCACCTTTTTTGGGAGTTTTACTTGCTCCCAACAAGGATGGCAAGATTTCCTGCTTCCATGACGATGGAAGGCAGGTAACTCCTTTATGGAGTTTGAGCTTGCTCCCAGCAGGAAAGATGAGTTTGAGTTTTTCTTCCTGCTTCTAGGATGGTAGGAAGCGATCTTCAGCCTGAGACCCATCTCTAGGTAAGTAGCTGAATTGGGGTTTTGTCTTGGCTAAAGTTTAATAACCAGCTGGTCTTAATTTCTCCTTACTGTTAGAGTGTGCAGTGATCATATTGTTGGGGTTTTTTGTTATTTGTTCCAGTCTTTCTCCCATCAGATTTGAGCAGCTCTACCTCACTTGGTCAAATACAAGTGAGAATTCCAAATTATGGGTAACAAAGCCTCTCTAATTTGGCTAAAATTCCTTGCAGCTGAAAAAGAGACGGGTGGGGGGAAGAGCAAACTCCAAACAACCGTGCACTTGGTTTCTGTGTTTGCTTCCTGTGTTAAAAACAAACAAACAAACACATGTTCTTTCACTTACTTCCACCCTATACCTCCTTCCCCCTTTTGCCATCTGCAGTACCAAAAAAATCTAGAGAAGGCTTCTAATGACTTAAACCCCTTTGAAGAATTCAGAACAAAGGTACCACTCACCCCTTTTGGGGTGTTCTGTTTTCTTTGTGGAGTTTCAAGAGTCATGGGCAGATTCTTCTTAGGTCTAAATCCCTGTTTTCTTGTATTGCATAACCTAACCTCTTTGGCTTTGGGGTTACCAGAGATTACCTTGTATGTCCAGGAAATGCTTATAACAGCTGGTCACCCAGTGTTTTGAACACTCTTAGAGGTCATAGACCTCTGGAGAGAGACACTGAGACACGTAAGATGTTGGAAACAACTCAGTGGTGACACCCTGTGGAGCCCCACCCACAAGCAGCACACATCACTCCACCACACAAAAACCCTTGGCCACAGCTCACTTCCTCCTTTTAAGAAAAAAGTGTGGGAAACAAATAATCTAAGAATGAGGAGAAAACAAGGAGAATGAACTCTTGTGAGCACTCTGTAGGTTTTATGGCACCTCTGCTTGCCACAGTTTATGCAAAATGGAAGTAATATGGTCTTTGTGCACATTTACATTAAGGAAAAAGAGCCCTAAGGTTGACCTGGAAACTATAGAGTTCCTAAGTTCTCCCTTTTTTTTCTATTTTCTTTTCTGTCTACTTTAAATCTGCTGAAATTAAAGCTATTCAACTCCTCAAGTCCCAGGGACTATAATGAAAGAGGTAGGCATGTGAGATTATAAGGACCAATTTTGAGAGATAAAATATGTTCAGTTTCTCTATAAATTAATCATTAATGTCAAAGGCACACTGATGTAAGAACAGCATATGGGCCCCTGTGTCAGATTAACAAGAATTTCTTGAAGCATTAACTGACTCCTTAATAAAGGTTATAAAAGGCTTATGGAAGTTATGGTTAAGATTAAGATTTTATAGATTATTTATAAAATTTCCAAAAAAATTAAGTCTTCTCTCTCAAAGAATGAGGGTTTTTGCCTTTTTTTTTTTTTTTTTGAAATCCTTGAGTTATCACTTTGGTTAAACGAATTACTTATTTTGCAATGACCTGTGATATCAAGTGTTTTAAACCTTTGATATTTGAAAAACGTTCCAAAATCAAATTGTAAATTATATATTTTTCAACCTAATTAATCCTTTAAGATATTAGGTTCCCTAAAGTCCAAAAATGACATAATATGGCTTACTTGGTATAAAAATTATACAGGAAGAATTGTAAAATATGAAATGGTGTTTGGATTTCTTTGGGCTGTATTTGTATAAATATGTTATTGGTATGTGTTCCAAAATTATGGGAAACTCCTATAATTCTGATATGACTTAGTGCACATTATCAGTAATGATTATAATTCTGATGTTAAATTATTGTGTGGCACAGAGGTACAAATTTCCTTGTCAATTGTGTCTTTGGTTATGACTGCCATACAAATAGTTGTTTTGTTTTGGTCCTCTCTAGAAGGTGGTTTTTTTTTTTTTTTTTTGAGACGGAGTCTCGCTCTGTCGCCCAGGCCGGACTGCGGACTGCAGTGGCGCAATCTCGGCTCACTGCAAGCTCCGCTTCCCGGGTTCACGCCATTCTCCTGCCTCAGCCTCCCGAGTAGCTGGGACTACAGGCGCCCGCCACCGCGCCCGGCTAATTTTTTGTATTTTTAGTAGAGACGGGGTTTCACCTTGTTAGCCAGGATGGTCTCGATCTCCTGACCTCATGATCCACCCGCCTCGGCCTCCCAAAGTGCTGGGATTACAGGCGTGAGCCACCGCGCCCGGCCTAGAAGGTGGTTTTATAATCATCCATAAGACTCTAACAGGCATGTTTCTGATAACTTTGGAGACTGTGACATCAGAATAGAGGAAAGACTTCTAGGACTCATGAAGAGCTGAAATGTCCATGAATATCAAGCAGAACAGGAATTAACTGCATGGACTGAACTAATAGAAGACTAAAGTAATCTTTTTGGCTTTTTGATTAAAACTTTGCTGGTCCTTTGTTTTGTTTTTCCAGAGTCAAGGAAAGTTTTCTTTTGAGCTGTTGATAGCTTTTAACCATTATGCATACTCCTATGGACAAAATTTGGAGCATATTTGTTTCCGTCTACCTGATTTCTCCAGAATTTGGAAACTATTTGTGTGAATATTCTTAACTTACAGCATGACAGTTATTTGCATAAGTGCAATAAGAATCTGTTTTCATTTGTAACAGGACACAAATGGAGAAACTGGTTATTTTACCAAGGTGTTGACTGGAATGGTGTGCTTTCCTTTAAGGAATCAAACTTGACTTAGAGACCCAATAAAAGCCCACTGGGAAAGAGTTTTATAGCTGATTATAAGACCTCTTGGGAGAGAATTTTATAGCTGATGATAAGACCACCTAGAGAGGACCAAAACAAAACAAAAATTGTCTGTGGATGGCAAAAAGTTTTAGGGCAGCTATAGTTAAAGACACAATTGACGAGGAAATTTGTACCTCTGTGCCATCAGAGGTACAAATAATTTAACATCAGAATTATAATTATTACTGATAAAGTACACTAATTCATATTAGAACTATAGGAGTTTCCCATAATTTTGGAACACATACCGATATCATATTTATCCAAATACAGCCCAAAGAAAACCAAACCTCATTTCATATTTGATAATTCTTCCTGTATAATTTTTATACCAAATAGGCCAAATTATGTCATTTTTGGACTTTAGGGAACCTAATATCTTAAATGATTAATTGGGTCAGAAAAATGCATAATTTATAATTTGATTTTGGAAAGTCTGCCAAATATCAAGGGTTTAAAACACTTCATATCACAAAATAAGATCACACATTTTTTGTAAAATAAGTCATTCATTTAACCAAAGTGATAACTCAAGGATTTCAAAAAAGGTGAAAACCTTCATTTTTTGAAAAAGCAGACTTAATTTTCCAAACAATAAGCCCCAATAAAAACAGCATGAAGCCAATTAAGTTTGTTTTTCAAACGTTATAAAGTCTATAACATTTTAATCTTGACTGTAAGATTTAACTTCCATAAGCCTTTTGTAGCCTTTATAACCTTTGTTAAGGAGTCAGTTAGTGCATCAAGGAAACCTTGTTAATCTGACACAGAGGCCCACATACTGTTCTTACATCGTGTGCCTTTGACATTAATTATTAAATTATAGAGAAACTGAACTTATTTTGTCTCTCAAAATTGGCCCTTACAATCCCACACATCCACCTCTTCCTCAATAGTCCTTGGGCCTTGAGGAGTTGAAAAACTTTAATTTTTGGCCCCATGTCTCAGGAATTAGGTTTATTTTCTAAAATTGTTATTTTATTTTATTTTTCCATAAGTTATTGGGGTACAGGTGGTATTTGGTTACATGAGTAATTTCTTTAGTGTCTATTTGTGAGATTTTCATGCACCCATCACCCGAGCAGTATACACTGCACCACATTTGTTGTCTTTTATCTCTCGCCCCCTCCCACTCTTCCCCCCAAGTCCCCAAAGTCCATTGTATCATTCTTATGCCTTGTGTCCTTGTAGCTTAACTCCCACATATTAGCGAGAACATATGATGTTTGGTTTTCCATTCCTGAGTTACTTCACTTAGAATAATAGTCTCCAATCTCATCCAGGTCATTGCAAATTCTGTTAATTCATTCATTTTTATGGCTTAGTAGTCCATCATATATATATATATATATATATATATATATATATATATATATATATATATTTATATATATATATATTAATATATATTATATATAAAAATATATAAAATTTATATATATAATTTATATATATAAAAATATATAAAATTTATATATATAATTTATATATATAAAAATATATAAAATTTATATATATAATTTATATATATAAAAATATATAAAATTTATATATATAATTTATATATATAAAAATATATAAAATTTATATATATAATTTATATATATAAAAATATATAAAATTTATATATATAATTTATATATATAAAAATATATAAAATTTATATATATAATTTATATATATAAAATATATAAATTATATATATAATTATATATATAATATAAAATTATATATATAATTATATATATAATATAAAATTATATATATAATTATATATATAATATAAAATTATATATATATTGTATATATATAAAATATACAAAATTTATATATATAAAATATAAAATATACATAAAAATAAATATATATAATTTATATATAAATAATATATATATACATATATAAATACATATATATATATGTATATATATACACCACAGTTTCTTTATCCACTCATTGATTGATGGGCATTTGGGTTGGTTCCATGATTTTGGTATTGTGAATTGTGCTGCTATAAACATGCATGTGCAAGTATCTTTTTTGAATAATGACTTCTTTTCCTCTGAGTAGATACCCAGTAATGGGATAGATGGATCAAATAGTAGTTCTACTTTTAGTTCTTTAAGGAGTCTCCGCACTGTTTTCCATAGTGGGTGCACTAGTTTACATTCCCACCAGCAGTGTAGAAGTGTTCCCTGAACCCCACATCCATGCCAACATCTACTGTTTTTTGACTCTTTGATTATGGCCATTCTTGCAGGAGTAAGGTGGTATCACATTGCGGGTTTGATTTACATTTCCCTGATCATTAGTAATGTTGAGCATTTTTTCATATGTTTGTTGTCATTTGTATATCTTCTTTTGAGAACTATCTATTCATGTCCTTAGCCCACTTTTTGATGGGATTGATTGTTTTTTTTCTTACTGACTTGTTTCAGTTCATTGTAGATTCTCGATGTTAGTCCTTTGTCAGACATACAGATTGTGAAGATTTCCTCCCACTCTGTGGGTTGTCTATTTACTCTGCTGACTGTTCCTTTTGCTGTGCAAAAGCTCTTTAGTTTAATTAGGTCCCAGCTATTTATCTTTGTTTTTATTGCAATTGCTTTTGGGTTTTTGGTCATGAAATCCTTGCCTAGGTCATTGTTTAGAAGGGTTTTTCCAATGTTATCTTCTAGAATTTTTATAGTTTCAAGTCTTAGTGTGTCTGGAATTGGTAGGTTCTTGGTCTCACTGACTTCATGAATGAAGCCGCGGACCCTCGCAGTGAGTGTTACAGCTCTTAAGGTGGCGCGTCTGGAGTTTGTTCCTTCTGCTGTTCGGATGTGTTTGGAGTTTCTTCCTTCTGCTGGGTTCATGGTCTCGCTGGCTCAGGAGTGAAGCTGCAGACCTTCATGGTGAGTGTTACAGCTCTTAAGGCTGCATGTCTGGAGTTGTTCATTCCTCCCGGTGGGCTCGTTGTCTTGCTGGCTTCAGGAGTGAAGCTGCAGACCTTCGCGGTGAGTGTTACAGCTCATAAAAGCAGCGTGGACCCAAAGAGTGAGCAGTAGCAAGATTTATTGCAAAGAGCGAAAGAACAAGCTTCCACAGTGTGGAAGGGGACCCGAGCGGGTTGCCACTGCTGGCTGGGGCAGCCTACTTTTATTCTCTTATCTGGCCCCACCCACATCCTGCTGATTGGTAGAGCCAAGTGGTCTGTTTTGACAGGGTGCTGATTGGTGCATTTACAATCCCTGAGCTAGACACAGAGGTTCTCCATGTCCTCACCAGATTAGCTAGATACAGAGTGTGGACACAAAGGTTCTCCAAGGCCCCACCAGAGTAACTAGATACAGAGTGTCGATTGGTGCATTCACAAACCCTGAGCTAGACACAGGGTGCTGATTGGTGTGTTTACAAACCTTGAGCTAGATACAGAGTGCCGATTGGTGTATTTACAATCCCTGAGCTAGACATAAAGGTTCTCCAAGGCCCCACCAGAGTAGCTAGATACAGAGTGTCCATTGGTGAATTCACAAACCTGAGCTAGACACAGGGTGCTGATTGGTGTGTTTACAAACCTTGAGCTAGATACAGAGTGCCGATTGGTGTATTTACAATCCCTTAGCTAGACATAAAGTTTCTCCAAGTCCCCACCAGACTCAGGAGCCTAGCTGGCTTCACCCAGTGGATTCTGCACCGGGGTTGCAGGGGGCTGGTGGGGAGGTGCCTGCCAGTCCCGCACCATGCGCCCACCCTCCTCAGCCCTTAGGTGGTTGATAGGACTGGGCGCCGTGGAGCAGGGGGCGGTGCTCATCTGGGAGGCTCGGGCTGCACAGGAGCCCATGGAGGGGGTGGGAGGCTCAGGCATGGCGGGCTACAGGTCCCGAGCCCTGCCCTGTGGGAAGGCAGCTAAGGCCCAGTGAGAAGTCGAGTGCAGCGCTGGTGGGCTGGCACTGCTGCGGGACCCAGTACACCCTCCGCAGCTGCTGGCCCGGGTACTAAGCCCCTCATTGCCCGGGGCCGGCTGCTCCCAGTGCGGGGCCCACCAAGCCCATGCCCACCCGGAACTCCAGCTGGCCCACAAGTGCCACACACAGCCCTGGTTCCTGCTGGCGCCTCTCCCTCCACACCTCCCTGCAAGCTGAGGGAGCCGGCTCTGGCCTTGGCCAGCCCAGAAAGGGGCTCCCACAGTGCAGTGGTGGGCTGAAGGGCTCCTCAAGTGCTGCCAAAGTGGGAGCCCAGGCAGAGGAGGCACAGAGAGTGAGCAAGGGCTGTGAGGACTGCCAGCACGCTGTCACCTCTCATTAGGTTTAAGTCCTTAATCCATCTTGAGTTGATTTTTGTATAAGGTAAGAGATGAGGATCCAGTTTCATTCTCTTACATGTGGCTAGCCAATTATCCCAGCATCATTTATTGAAAAGGGTGTCCTTCCCTCACTTTAAGTTTTTGTTTTCTTGTCAAAGATCAGTTGGCTGTAAGTATTTGGGTTTATTTCTGGGCTCTCTATTCTGTTCCATTGGTCTGTGTGCCTATTTTTACACCAGTACCATGCTGTTTTGGTGACTATGGCCTTATAGTACAGTTTGAAATCAGGTAGTGTGATGCGTCCAGATTTGTTCTTTTTGCTTAGTCTTGCTTTGGCTATGTGGGCTCTTTTTTGGTTCTATATGAATTTTAGAATTTTTTTTTCTAACTCTGTGAAGAATGATGGTAGTATTTTGATGAGAATTGCATTGAATTTGTAGATTGCTTTTGGCAGTATAGTCATTTTCACAATATTGATTCTACCCATCCATGAGTGTGAAACGTGTTTCCATTTGTTTGTGTTATCTATGATTTCTTTCAACAGTGTTTCGTAGTTTTCCTTGTAGAGGTCTTTTGACCCCTTTGTTTGGTATATTCCCAAGTATTTTATTTTATTTTTGCAGGTATTGTAAAAGGGGTTGAGTTCTTGATTTGATTCTCTGCTTGGTCGCTTTTGGTGTATGGAAAAGCTACTGATTTGTGTGCATTAATCTTGTATCCAGAAACTTTGCTGAACTCTTTTATCAGTTCTAGGAGCTTTCTGGAAGAGTCCTTAGGGTTTTCAAGGTAAATGATCATATTGTCCATAAACAGGGACAGTTTGACTTCCTCTTTACTGATTTGGATGCCCTTTATTTCTTTCTCCTGTCTGATTGCTCTGGCTAGGGCTTCCAGTACTATGTTGAAGAGGAGTGGTGAGAGTGGGCAATCCTTGTCCTGTTCCCATTCTCAGAGGGAATGCTTTCAACTTTTCCCCATTCAGTATTATGTTGGCTGTGGGTTTGTCACAGATGGCTTTTATTACATTAAGGTATGTCACTTGTATGCCGATTTTGCTGAGGGTTTTAATCATAAAGCGATGCTGGATTTTGTTGAATGCTTTTTCTGCATCTATTGAGATGATCATGTGATTTTTGTTTTTAATTCTGTTTATGTGGTATATCACATTTATTGACTTGCCTATGTTAAACAATCCCTGCATCCCTGGTATGAAACCCACTTGATCATGGTGGATTATCTTTTTGGTATGTTGTTGCATTTGGTTAGCTAGTATTTTGTTAAGGATTTTAGCATTTATCTTCATCAAGGATATCAGTCTGTAGTTTTCTTTTTTGGTTGTGTCCTTTCCTCGTTTTCATATTAGGGTGATACTGTCTCCATGAAATAAATTAGGGAGGGTTCCTTCTTTCTGTATCTTGTGGAATAGTGTCAAAAGGATTGGTAGCAATTCTTCTTTGAATGTCTGACATGATTCTGCTGTGAATCCATCTGGTCATGGACATTTTTTTGTTGGTAATTTAAAAATTACCATTTCAATTTTGCTGCTTGTTTTTGGTCTGTTCAGGATATCTAATTCTTCCTGATTTAAGCTATGAGGCTTGTATTTTTCCAGGAATTTATCCATCTCTTGTAAGTTTTCTAGTTTATGTGCATAAAGGTATTCATAGTAGCCTTGAATGACCTTTTGTATTTCAGTAGTGTCAGTTGTAATATCTCCTGTTTCGTTTCTCAGTAAGGTTATTTGGATTTTCTCTTCTTCTTCTCTTGGTTAATCTTGCTAATGGTCTATCAATTTTATTTAACTTTTCAAAGAACCAGGTTTTTGTTTCATTTATCTTTTGTATTTTTTTGTTTTGATTTCATTTAGTTCTGCTCTGATCTTGGGTATTTCCTTTCTTCTGCTGGGTTTGGGTTTTGTTTTTTCTTGTTTCTCTAGTTCCTTGAGGTGTGACCTTAGATTGTCTGTTTGTGCTCTTTCAGACTTTTTAGGTACATGTTTAGGGCTCTGAACTTTCCTCTTAGCACTGCCTTAGCTGTATCCCAGAGGTTTTGATAGGTTGTGTCATTATTGTCATTCAGTTCAAAGAATTTTTAAATTTCCATCTTGATTTTGTTCTTGACCCAATGCTCATTCAGGAGCAGGTTATTTAATTTCCATATATTTACATGGTTTTGAAGGTTCCTTTTGGAGTTGATTTCCAGTTTTATTCCACTGTGGTCTGAGAGAGTGCTTGATATAATTTCAATTTTCTTAAATTTATTGAGGCTCATTTTATGGCCTATCATATGGTCTATCTTGGAGAAGGTTCTATGCGCTGTTGAATAGAATGTGTATTCTGCGGTTGTTGGATGTAATGTTCTACATATATCTGTTAAGTCCATTTGTTCCAAGGTATAGTTTAAATCCATTGCTTCTTTGTTGATTTTCTGTATTGATGACCTGTCTAGTACTGTCAGTGGAGTATTGAAGTCCCCCACTATTATTGTGTTGCTGTCTGTCTCATTTCTTAGGTCTATCAGTAATTGTTGTATAAATTTGGGAGCTCCAGTGTTAGGTGCATATATGTGTAGGATTGTGATATTTTCCTGTTGGACAAGGCCTTTTACCATTATATAATGTCCCTCTTTGTCTCTTTTAACCACTGTTGCTTTAAAGTTTGTTTGATATAAAAGTTGCTACCCCTGCTTGCTTTTGGTGTCCATTTGCATGAAATGCCTTTTTCCACCCATTTACTTTAAGTTTATGTGAGTCCTTATGCGTTAGGTGAGTCTCCTAAAGGCAGCAGATTGTTGGTTGGTGAGTTCTTAACCATTCTGTGGTTCTGTATCTTTTAAGTGGAGCATTTATGCCATTTATATTCAATGTTAGTATTGAAATGTGAGGTACCATTGCATTCATCATGCTCTATGTTGCCTGCATACTTTGGTCTGTTTTTTGGTTTTGCTTTTTAACTTGTATTTTTGTTTTATAGGTTTTGTGTGCTTTATGCTTTAATGAGATTCTGTTTTGATGTGTTTCCAGGATTTGTTTCAAGATTTAGAGCTCCTTTTAGCAATTCTTATAGTGGTGGCTTGGTAATGGTGAATTCTGTCAGCATTTGTTTGTCCAAAAATGACCATATCTGTCCTTCATATATGATGCTTAGTTTTGCTGGATACAAAATTCTTGGCTGATGATTGTTTTGTTTGAGGAGGCTGAAGATAGGACCCCAATCCCTTCTAGCTTGTAGGGTTTCTGCTAATAAATCTGCTGTTAATCTGATAGGTTTTCCTTTATAGGTTACATGGTGCTTCTATCTCACAGCTAAGATTCTTTCCTTCATCTTAACTTTGGATAACCTGATGACAATGTGCCTAGGTGAAGATGTTTTTGTGATGCATTTCCCAGGTGTTCTTTGTGCTTCTTTTATTTGCATGTCTAGGTCTCTAGAAAGACTAGGGAAGTTTTCCTTGATTATTCCCCCAAATATATTTTCCAAGCTTTTAGAATTGTCTTCTTCCTTAGGAACACCAGTTATTCTTAGGTTTGGTCATTTAACATAATCCCAAACTTCTTTGAGCTTTTGTTCATGTTTTCTTATTTTTTTCTTTGTCTTTGTTGGATTGGGTTAGTATGCAGATCTAGTCTTTGAGCTCTGAATTTCTTTCTTCTACTTTTTCAATTCTTTTGCTGAGACTTTCCAGAGCATTTCACATTTCTAAAAGTGTGTCCAAAGTTTCCTGAATTTTTTGTTGTTTTTTCTTTTCCTTTTCTCTCTCTCTCTCTCTTTTTTTTTTTTTTTATTGAGACAGAGTCTCACTCTGTCACCCAGGCTGGAGTGCAGTGGCGTGATCTTGGTTCACTGCAACTTTCACCTCCCAGGTTCAAGCAATTCTCCTGCCTCAGCTTCCTGAGTAGCTGGGACTGCAGACACCCACCACCACGGCTGTCTAATTTTTGTAGTTTTAGTAGATACAGAACTTCACCATGTTAGCCAGGCTGCTCTCAAACTCCTGACCTCAGGTGATCTCCTGCCTTGGCCTCTCAAAGTGCTGGGATTACAGGCATGAGTCACCATGCCTGGCCTGATTATTTTCCTTTAAGCCATCTATTTCTTTGAATACTTCTCCCTTCATTTCTTGTATCTTTTTTTGGGTTTCCTTGCATTGGGCTTCACCTTTCTCTGGTCCCTCCCTTATTAACTTAATAACTAACCTCCTGAACTCTTTTTCAGATAAATCAGGGATTTCTTCTTGGTTTGGATCCATTACTGGTGAACTAGTGTGATTTTGGGGGGGTATTGACAGGACTTGTTTTGTCATATTACCGGGTTGGTTTTCTGGTTCCTTCCCATTTGGGTGGGCTCTATCAGAGGAAAGATCTAGGGGTGAAGGCTGTTGTTCAGATTTTTTTTGTCCCACAGGGTGTTCCCTTCATGTAGTACTCTCTTCCTTTTCCTGTGGTTGTGACTTCCTATGAGCTGAACTGCAGTGATTGTGGTCTCCCTTCTGGGTCTAGCCACCCACCAAGTCTACCCTGCTCTGGGCTGGTACTGGGCATTTCTGCACAGAGTCCTGTGGTGTGAACTGTCTATGAGTTTCTCAGCCATGGATACCAGCACCTGTTCTGGTGGAGGTGGTGGAGGGTGCAGTGGACTCCATGGGGGTTCTTAGCTTTAGTGGTTTAATGCTCTATTTTCATGCTGGTTGGCCTCCTTCCAGGAGGTGGTGCTTTCCAGAAAGCATCACCTATAGTAGTGTGGAGAGAGATCAGTAGTGGGAGGGGCCCTAGAACTCCCAAGATTATATGCCCTTTTGTCTTCTGCTACCCGGGTGTTTAGGGAAGAACCATCAGGTGGAAGCAGGGCTAGGTGTGTCTGAGCTCAGACTCTCCTTGGGTGGGTCTTGCTGTGGCTGCTGTTGGGGCTGATGGTGAGATTCCCAGATCACTGGGATTGTATACCTAGGAGGATTATGGCTGCCTCTCCTGAGTAATGCAGGTTGTCAGGGAAGTGGGGGAAAGCTGGCAGTCACAGGCCTCACCAAGCTCCCAGGCAAACTGAAGGGCTGGTCTTACTCTCACTGTGCCCAAGGAATGTGTTTTATTTTGATTGGCATCTTCTACCAGGTCTGAAGATAAGGCTTTAATGGGTGTCAGTGTTTAAGATTTAGCAGGACTTGGTTGTGTTCTTCAGACCTAGGAGTCAAAGCCCTGTAACTCAATGTCACAAGTACTTTAAAAGCACATACAGAACAATACATGGATGTAATAACCTTAATTAAAAAACATTTTAAAAAAATCTGTTTTTCTAAGCAAACAAAAACTTGATAATAATGGCATATAAATTGTTTCAATAAACCGCAAAATCTGTTAGGCCAGTTACCAAAAGGCAAAATAAAAGACCTTCTGCACTGCACAGAATATTATATTGGAAGAAAACATTTTCTTTAGACCTTTAAGAAAACATTGTTAGCATCAGGCCACAACAAACAGAGCTCGAGGAAGAAAACTTACATGAGTTGAAAATGAGTTGAAGTAGAGCATTAGTATTTCATGGCCCTTAAAAGGGGAAAGAAAATTAAAAATGATATGCAATAAAAGTTAAACTTTGGGTTAAAAAAATTAAAATCTCTTATATATTAAGAGCAAATCAATCCCTTAGGAAAATTTCATTGTTTAACCAATTATTTAGTGTATAATTTTTTTTACCTCAAGCCAAATATCTAGAAAGACCATTATAATTTCCCTTTAATTACAGACAATTTGATCATATAAAAGTTTTTTGTTTTTAAAAAAATCCTCTTATTGTGACATACACAGACCATTCATGACATGCTTGGATTTTTGGCTTTGTCTTAAACATGCCCCTTTCGTAAACAACCTTGTCATTTTATTTTAGGACTAAATTTACCATACAATTTTTTTTCATTTAAAATTATTTCTCTGTAAGCTTTCTTACCAAAAAAGTACCTCTTTTTTTTTCTGTAACTTTTACATCTCTCTTATTTCCTGGTTCTTTTTACCTTGTTTTATAGATAACCTTTAAATAAGCTTTGAATTAGATAAAAATTTTTCACTTTTTTGAAAAGGGTATACTTTTTTTAATAAAGAATGTTTTTCTACACTATATTTTTATTGAAAAATACCCAAATAATGAAATATTGATTATTTAATTTAATATAACTTTAAATCCTAAATTATGACAAGTTTGTCTAGAAGTATTTATTCTATTACACTTACCTAATTATTTTATTTTAATCATTTACCTAGATTACTTATGAAAACTGTGGTAGTCATCATTTAAAGTAAGCTTATGGCACCACCATTGCAAAATTATAACTGAGACAGTGAAAAAGATCTGACTTAACTGACTTCATGTTGCTTCTGACCTCCAGGATATCCTTATTCATTCCTGGGTATAGGCTGCACTAACTTTGGGAGGAACTTAATTGATAGTTTAGCTTTGAAACAAAGATGATTCCCAAAACAAACCTCCTTACTGTCTGTGGACTAGACTGCCTAAAGCCATGAGATTAAAAGTTTTGCTAATCTTGCTAAATTCAAGATGTCCCTACTTTCATTAAACCAATATCAATGTCTTATTTATTAAAAATTACATGAGCAAATATCATTCTGTTTTGACTGCGTTTATAGTTTTGTAACCCTTATGCCAAATTTTGACACCTTATAGTATTTGGTAGAGATAAGTATGAAATTGCTTGAATACTACATGCAAATAAAAATGTATGCTGGCAATTCTTAAGACATTTCTAACATTACTTTAACAATAATTTTAAAGCTAGCTTATGTATTAAAGATTTTACTTAATCATGTAAACTTGAAAAAGTATTTGACTAGTCTTGCTTTTTTCCTGATAAATTTAACTCAAATGCTTCTATTTTCTTAAGCCACTTAATTTGAGCTCTTTTATATATTTTTACTAGTGAAACATTGTGTACACAACACATAAATACATAGTCATAGTAGGCATACCAATAGAAATACATCTTGTAGATTCCTAAAACCTCCTTTTTTTTTTTTTTTTTTTCCTATCTTAGACTTGAAAACTCTTGGTAACCTGTTTTATTGCCCTGGCAGTTGTCAGCTAAACAGCCCTAAATATGTGTATTGAAGGAAACAACTCTTAAATTAAAAAATCAGGTAGCAAATTTGCATGTTAAAGTACAGAGAGAAAATGTCTTGTGGCGCTAGAGAAAAATTAAAGATAGATGCCAAATCAAACATAAAATTATAGAAATGTGTCATAGGATTGTATAGGGAGACCAATTTTATTTAGATAGGGACTTCCTATCTTTTAACTGGATCTCTGAGCTTTGGACAAGCCCACATTGAATCCTGGGTCTCCAAAAAGGAAGAATTATTATCAGGCCATGTGATGCTTTTACAGTGCACTTTTTTTTTTTTTTGTGATGGAGTTTTGCTCTTGTTGCCCAGGCTGGAGTGCAATGGCATGATCTTGGCTCACTGCAACCTCCACCTCCTGGGTTCATGCGATTCTCCTGCCTCAGCCTCCTGAGTACCTGGGATTACAGGCACGTGCCACCACACCAGGCTAATTTGTATTTTTAGTAGAGACAGGGTTTCTCCATGTTGGTCAGGCTGGTCTTGAACTCCCAACCTCAGGTGATCAGCATCCCAAAGTGCTAGGATTACAGGCATGAGCCACCCTGCCCGGCTTTTTTTTTTTTTTTAAATGAGGACATTTTTAAGTATCTAAGTTACACTCTTCCTTAAAAACCCAGGAGTAGCCTCTCTTGCAACAACTATTTTAGTCAAAAAATTAGGTAACACAATACAAAATCAAGCAGCTTAAGAGCTGAGACAAACTTGTCTATTTACACTCTTGGGGTTCCATAAAGAAAAAGAGAGGTTTCTCCCCAGTGGGAGTGTTGTGCCTTCTCCATTTTCTTTAAGGAACTCCAGGCTATTATAAATTATTTTAGGTCTCTCATGCAGCAGAGGGTGAAAGAGAAAGGAGAGACAGCAGAAGTAAATGAAGAAAACAGTATTCAGTCAACGGAGAAGAAAAAAAACTTTGCTAAATAAAAGGCAAGTTCTAGGAGAGAAACAAAACAAAAACAAAAGCATGATGGCCTTTTAAATACAAACACATATACACACACATACAGACACTTACCTTGGATGTTAGCTTAAAAGCTAACTTATTAAGCTGACTTTTAACCACTGAGCTCCTTTAAAAAAATCTTTTAAAATCTCATTACCACATTTCAGCTAGGACAAATTGCTGCTATTTCAGAAGTACCAAGTATCAAACCAGAAAGGGCTTGATTTAGGAACCAAATCCAGGGTGTCGTGGTGGAAAAAAAGGGGGCAGAACTTTAGCTATCCAACTGCAGTGTGGGGTGACAGCCATAGTTCTTTCAGTTTGGCCTGGTTAGCAAAAGCCTGGCATTGTTATGTAAATAAAGACCCTTAAGTAGTCAAAATAAAAAATCTTTTTTCCCCCTTTTGCTGGCTGTTTTCTCCCCCCCACCACACCACCTTTTTCTGTGTGTGTGTGGGAATTTAGCCACTTCAGAGGTCTTGTTCCCCATAATTTGGAACTTTCCTTCGGATTTGATCAAGTTGGATAGAGTTGGTCAAGCTCAGTGGGAAAAAGACTGAAACAACGGCAAAAATGTAAACAACCAAACAACAACATCAACAAAAACCAGTTAAGCAAAACAAACAATTGCTCAACTTATATGATTACTGAGCACTGTAATGGTAAGGAGAAATTAAGATCAGCGGGTTGTTAATTTTAACTTTAGCCAAGACAAACCCCAATTCAGTTACTTACTTAGGGATGGGTCTGAGGCAGAAGACTGCTTTCCACCATCCTCAAAGCAGGAAAAAACTCAAACTTGTCTTTTCTTGGAAGAGAGCTCAAACTCCATAAAGGAATTACTCATCTTCCATCATCATGGAAGCAGGAAAACTTGCCTTCCTTATGTTGGAAGCAAGTAAAACTAAAAAAAAAAAAAAAAAAAAGAAAAAGAAAAAGTCATACGGCAAAATAAACTTAAGGTCTCCATCAAATTTTAGGAGATCAGGGATTTTCTGGAGAGGGTGCTTCCAGGCCTCAGCAAATTGTCCTATTGTCCTTCTGGTTTGAGCAATATAGATAGCTCAGGCTGGTACCAAGCACTAACAGGAGATTTGTCAAAGGTCGGGGCACCTTCACTCAGAATCCCTCCATGGTTACAAAATGTGAACCTTGAATATCTGAGACAGATCTCAGTTAATTTAGAAAGTTTATTTTGCCAGGGTTGAGAGATGCCTGTGACACAGCCTCAGGAGGTCCTGAAGACATGTGCCCAAGGTGGTCAAGGCACAGCTTGGTTTTATACATTTTAGGGAGACATGACACATCAATCAACATATGTAAGAAGAACATTGGATCGATCTGGAAAGGCAGGACAACTTGAAGCAAAGGCCAAAGGCAGAACAACTTGAAGTGGGGAGGGGACTTCTAGGTCATAGGTAGATAGATAATGTGGGGAAAAGAAAGAGAGATCAGACTGTTACTGCGTCTATGTAGAAAGAAGTAGACATAAGAGACTCCATTTTGTTCTGTACTAAGAGAAATTCTTTTGTCTTGAGATGCTGTTAATCTGTAACCCTAACCACAACCCTGTGCTTGCAGAGACCTGTGCTGTGTTGACTCAAGGTTTAATGGATTTAGGGCTGTGCAGGATGTGCTTTGTTAAAAAAGTGCTTGATGGCAATATGCTTGGTAAAAGTCATCGCCATTCTCTAATCTCAAGTACCCAGGGACACAACACACTGCGGAAGGCTGCAGGGTCCTCTGCCTAGGAAAGCCAGGTATTGTCCAAGGTTTCTCCACATGTGATAGCCTGAGATACGGCCTGACCATCCCCCAGCCCGACACCTGTAAAGGGTCTGTGCTGAGGAGGATTAGTAAAAGAGGAAGGCCTCTTTGCAGTTGAGATAAGAGGAAGGCATCTGTCTCCTGCTCGTCCCTGGGAATAGAATGTCTTGGTGTAAAACCCGATTGTATGTTCTATTTACTGAGATAGGAGAAAACCACCTTAGGGCTTGAGGTGAGACATGCTGGTGGCAATACTGCTCTTTATTGAACCGAGATGTTTGTGTGCATGCACATCAAGGCACAGCACATTTCCTTAAACTTATTTATGACACAGAGACCTTTGTTCACATGTTTTCCTGCTGACCCTCTCCTCACTATTACCCTATTGTCCTGCCACATCCCCCTCTCCAAGATGGTAGAGATAATGATCAATAAATACCAAGGGAACTCAGAGACCAGTGCAGGAGGGCACAGGTACTCCATATGCTGAGTGCAGGTCCCTTTTTCTTTCTTTCTGTCTTTTCTTTCTTTCTTTTCTTTCTCTATACTTTGTCTCTGTCTCTTATTTCTTTTCTCAGTCTCTCATCCCACCTGAGGAGAAACACCCACAGTTTGTGGAGGGGCTGGCCCCCTTCAGATAAGAGACAAATGGTTGCATTCTTTTGAGTTTCTGATTAGCTTCTCCAAAGGAGGCAGTCAGATATGCATTTATTTCAATGAGTAGAGGGATGACTTTGAATAGAATTGGAGACAGGTTTGCCCTAAGTAGTTCCCAACTTGACTTTTCCCTTTAGTTAGTGATTTTGGGGGCCCAAGATTTATTTTTCTTTTACAAGGATAAGACAAAGATAAGAGAAATAACTGCTACAAGACTGAAAGTGAATGCAGCTAAGAAAAGTTGCAGACTGAGGTGGAAGATTTAGAAAACTGGCCTAATTGGCGTTTCTGAAGTGGAGGCGTGTGGAGGATGGCATCCTGGAGGAAGAGAGCAGTTAGGAAGGACTTGGATAAAGGCGGTCTCATTATGTCCATCTCTTTGCAGCCTCCCTTCCCTACTCCCATAACCCCAGACCTCTTCAGACACATGGGAATTAATCTTTGCTAAAGGCCTAAAGATTTTTTTCCCAAGGAGTCTGAAAGGGAGGCTTCTAGTCTTGCCCTACAGTCCTGTATAACGGAGATCTCTTAGGCAAGTACCAGTGGTCAAGGAGAGCTGCTATAGTAACTCTGCAGCCCGGGGGTTAGGATCAATGGTATGTTTGAAAGTGTTTAACAACTGGCTTCTCAGGGGAAAAAGTGGGATTTGTAGCATTTGCCAATTTCTGTCATGTAAATATTAAATACTCCTATGATAGCCAATTTCAAGCTGCTAATGTGACACCAAACCTAGAGTTGGGAAGTGATATACACAATCTGCTCTTGAGAGCCAGTGCCAGCCTGTTCAGTACACTAATGGACTGGGGGCCATCTACAAGCCTTTTTTTTTTTTTTTTTACAGTTGAAGTTTTCTATGGGACTCTTAAAGGAAGAACTAAGACTACTGGGTGGAAGCTTCCAAGAACTTTGGCTTCCACAAATCACACTGCCAAGATGGTCAGGGTATGTAGCTAGTAGGATCAGGACCTGGGAGTTGACTGAAGCCTAGCCTCTGGCTCTGGTCACATGATGACTTGTTTTTTGCCCTAAAAATGTGGGTGGCTGCCAGATTTCAGCCAAGGGGTGGAGAGCAGGGTGTATGGAAAATAGATCACGAGTGCTGGGCTATATTTCTGGCAGGAGAAGGTATGTAGGACCTCTGAGGCACAAGCAACATCCACCCTGCTCATTCTCCCTCTGACTTCCTCTCCCTGCCTGCCAATCCACACTGAGCTCCAGCCCCCTTGCACCCCACCAGCCTTGACTCATGCCTTCTGCCACCTCCCTGTCCAGGTTTGTCATCTTCCACAAAGATCAGTGCATTGATAGCTTCCTCTCTCCTCTCCAACCCTTCTGCAGGCCCCACCCCCACCAGCCCAAGTCATTGCACACATACAGAGGAGGTGATCTTTCTGGACCTCACCTCTGATCACCCTTGTCTCTCTGCTTAAGGCCCTCTCCATGGCCCCCTGCAGCCTAGAAGACAAAGTTTAGTCTCCTTACCCCTCTATGCTAACCCTGCACTTGACACTCCAGTTTCCTAACATGTTCCTCTCCTTTGTGTTTTCTGCTTGATAATGTCTCAGATATCTGCTTCTTCTCTAAACTATGCCCCTCACTTTCACCATATCCAGATTATTGCTTGCTCCTATCTTATGGAAGCTTTGCCCAGGCTAATACCACTTAGAACTTCTCTATGAACTCCCTCAGTATTTCCCAGGCAAGCCCCACTGCTCAAAATGTACCAAGATAATCCCACTTGTCCCTTCCCAGGTTAATTTCATTCAGTTTGTCCCAAGCTAACCCCCTAAATATGTTTCAGCCCAATTTAGCCAAGGCTTTCTCATTTTCCCAGGTTTTCCCTAGTATATCACATAGAAATACTTTGGTTTCAAGCAGCAGAAAACCCAACTCAGATTGAATTTAAACAAAGGCGATTTGTTGGTTCATGTAATTAAGAGTCAAAGCGTTGGCCTAGGCAAAGAATTTATGACTAAATCCTCAAAAGTAAATGCAAAAAAAAAAACAAAAATTGACAACTGGGACCTAATTAAACTAAAGAAACAACAAAAGAAACTATCAGTGGCCAGGCGCAGTGGCTCATGCCTATAATCCTAGCACTTTGGGAGGCTGAGGGGGGCGGATCACGAGGTCAGGAGATCAAGACCATCCTGGCTAACACAGTGAAACCCTGTCTCTACTAAAAATATAAAAAATTAGCCAGGCGTGGTGGTGGGCACCTGTAGTCCCAGCTACTCGGGAGGTTGAGGCAGGAGAATGGCATGAACCCGGGAGGTGGAGCTTGCAGTGAGCCGAGATCGCGTCGCTGCACTCAGCCTGGGTGTCAGAGTGAGACTCCATCTCAAAAAAAAAAAAAAAAAGAAAGAAAGAAACTATCAACAGGGTAAGCAGACAAGCTACCGAATGGGAGAAATATTTTCAAGCTATGCATCCAAAAAAGGACTAATATCCGGAATCTATAAGGAACTTAAATAAATCAACAATAAGCAACCCCATTAAAAAGTGGGCAAAGGACATGAATAGGCACTTTTCAAAAGAAGACACACAACTAACTGAGAAGCATATGAAAATGCTTATCATCATTAATCATCAGAGAAATGCAAATCAAAACCACAATGAGATGCCATCTCATACCAGTCAAAATGGCTATTACCAAAAACTCACAAAATAACAGGTGTTGGCAAGGTTGTAGAGAAAAGGGAACACTTACACACTGTTGGTGGAAATGTAAATTAGTTCAGCCACTGTGGAAAGCAGTTGGAGATTTCTCAAAGAACTGAAAAAAGAATTACCATTGACCCAGTAATCCCAAAGGAAAATAAATTGTTCTACCAAAAAGATATCTGTACTTGCATGTTTATTGCAGCACTATCTGTAATAGCAAAGACTCAATGGAATCCACCTAGGTGCCCATCAGCAGTGGATCAGATAAGAAAAATGTGGTACATATACACCATGGAATACTACACAGCCATTACAAATAATGAAATCATGTCCTCTGTGGCAACATGGATGCAGCTGGAGGTCACTTTTTTAAGTGAATTAATGCAGAAACAGAAAACTGCATGTTCTCACTTATAGGTGGGAGCTAAACACTGGGTACAAATGGACATAAAGAGGGAAACAACAGCCACTGGGGACTCCAAAGGTGGGGAGGGAAGAAGAGCAGCAAGGGTTGAAAAACTTCCTATTGGGTACTATGTTCACTATTTGGGTCATGGGTTCAACTGAAGCCCAAACCTCAGCATCATACAATATAGCCATGTAACAAATCTGCACATGTTCCCCCGAGTCTAAAAAATAAAATGAAATAAAATAAAATGAAATAAAATAAAATAAAAAGTGAAAGGTAATTCTAGCTTCAGGTGAAGCTTGATCCAGGAGTTCAAACAATGTGACTGATATTTAGTTCCTTTTAGTATGTTTCTCAGTTCTGTTGCTATGGTGTTGAGTACATTCTTGTCTGCCTCTTTCCACATTGATGGCTTCTGAGATTACATGCTCTAGGATCGAATTCAATATTAAAGAGAGAATCTGTTTCAAGATAGCTTAAATTAAATACTGGAAATAGATTTCATTCGCCCTGATTGGCTGACTTTGTTCGTGTGCCTATTCTTGAAAGAATCAATTATTGTGGGCAAGATGAATGCAGACTATGTTAAATAAATATAAGACCATACTGGAGTTGAGGGTGAGGGCAATCTGAATGCACCCAAGGCTTGCAAATTCATGGTACTGGGTGGAAGGGGGAAGCAAGGAATGGATGCTGGGGAGTCATTCAACTGACGTCCACTCTACCCACTCAACATCTTCTAGGCTAACCCTATTCCCTTCCCAGGTGAATCCTATGTGGTCCTTGCCAGGAGCCATGGCTCTTTCATCAGGTGGGAGCCCATTTAGGCTTTCCCTGAAACACTCCATCATATGACCAGGCTGAAACTATGCTGATAAATGAATTCACCATCAAGAATGGAATTCTGCTGATAGCTCATCATGTTTCTTTATTCTCTGACTCAAGTGACTTGCTTTTTAAAAATTTTTAAAATATACTTTAAGTTCTAGGGTACATGTGCACAACGTGCAGGTTTGTTACATATGTATACATGTGCCATGTTGGTGTGCAGCACCCATTAACTCGTCATTTACATTAGGTATTTCTCCTAATGCTTTCCCTCCTCCCCCCGCCACCTGACAGGCACCGGTGTGTGATGTTCCCCATCCTGTGTCCAAGTGTTCTCATTGTTCATTTCCCACCTATGAACAAGAACATGCAGTGTTTTGTTTTCTATCCTTGTGATAGTTTGCTCAGAATTATGGTGTCTAGCTTCATCCATGTCCCTACAAAGGACATGAACTCATCATTTTTTATGGCTGCATAGTATTCCATGGTGTACATGTGCCACATTTTCTTAATTCAGTCTATCATTGATGGACATTTGGGTTGGTTCCAAGTCTTTGCTATTGTGAATAGTGCTGCAATAAACATACGTGTGCATGTGTCTTCATAGCAGCATGATTTATAATCCTTTGGGTATACACCCAGTAATGGGATGGCTGGGTCAAATGGTATTTCTAGTTCTAGATCCCTGAGGAATCACCACACTGACTTACACAATGGTTGAACTAGTTTACAGTCCCACCAACAGTGTAAAAGTGTTCCTATTTCTCCACATCTTCTCCAACACCTGTTGTTTCCTGACTTTTTAATGATTGCCATTCTAACTGGTGTGAGATGGTATCTCATTGTGGTTTAGATTTGCATTTCTCTGATGGCCAGTGATGATGAGCATTTTCTCATGGGTCTGTTGGCTGCATAAATGTCTTCTTTCGAGAAGTGTCTGTTCATATCCTTCACCCACTTTTTGATGGGGTTATTTGATTTTTTCTTGTAAATTTGTTTAAGTTCTTTGTAGTTTCTGGATATTAGCCCTTTGCCAGATGGGTAGATTGTAAAAATTTTCACCCATTCTGTAGGTTGCCTGTTCACTCTGATGGTAGTTTCTTTTGGTGTGCAGAAGCTCTTTAGTTTAATTAGATCCCATTTGTCAATTTTGGCTTTTGTTGCCATTGCTTTTGGTGTTTTAGTCATGAAGTCCTTGCCCATGCCTATGTCCTGAATGGTATTGCCTAGGTTTTCTTCTAGGGTTTTTATGGTTTTAGGTCTAACATTTAAGTCTTTAATCCATCTTGAATTAATTTTTGTATAAGGTGTAAGGAAGGGATCCAGTTTCAGCTTTCTACATATGGTTAGCCAGCTTTCCCAGCACCATTTATTAAATAGGGAATCGTTTCCCCATTTCTTGTTTTTGTCAGGTTTGTCAAAGCTTAGATGGTTGTAGATGTGTGATATTATTTCTGAGGGCTCTGTTCTGTTCCATTGGTCTATATCTCTGTTTTAGCACCAGTACCATGTTGTTTTGGTTACTGTAGCCTTGTAGTGTAGTTTGAAGTCAGGTAGCATGATGCCTCCAGCTTTGTTCTTTTGGCTTAGGATTGACTTGGCAATGTGGGCTCTTTTTTGGTTCCATATGAACTTTAAAGTAGTTTTTTCCAATTCTGTGAAAAAAAGTCATTGGTAGCTTGATGGGGATGGCATTGAATCTATAAATTACCTTGGGCAGTATGGCCATTTTCATGATATTGATTCTTCCTATCCATGAGCATGGAATGTTCTTCCATTTGTTTGTATCCTCTTTTATTTCATTGAGCAGTGGTTTGTAGCTCTCCTTGAAGAGGTCCTTCCCATCCCTTGTAAGTTGGATTCCTAGGTATTTTATTCTCTTTGAAGCAATTGTGAATGGGAGTTCACTCATGATTTTGCTCTGTGTTTGTCTGTTATTGGTGTATAGGAATGCTTGTGATTTTTGCACATTGATTTTGTATCCTGAGACTTTGCTGAATTTGCTTATTAGCTTAAGGAGATTTTAGATTTTGGGTTGAGATGATAGAGTTTTCTAAATATGCAATCATGTCATCTGCAAACAGGGACAATTTGACTTCCTCTTTTCCTAATTGAATGCCCTTTATTTCTTTCTCCTGCCTGATTGCCCTGGCCAGAACTTCCAACACTATGTTGAATAGGAGTGGTGAGAGAGGGCATCCCTGTCTTGTGCCAGTTTTCAAAGGGAATGCTTCCAGTTTTTGCCCATTCAGTATGATATTGGCTGTGGGTTTGTCATAAATAGCTCTTATTATTTTGAGATACATCCCATCAATACCTAATTTATTCAGAATTTTTAGCATGAAGGGCTGTTGAATTTTGTTGAAGGCCTTTTCTGTATCTATTGAGATAATCATGTGGTTTTTGTCTTTGGTTCTGTTTATATGATGGATTACATTTATTGATTTGCATATGTTGAACCAGTCTTGCATCCCAGGGATGAAGCCAACTTGATCATGGTGGATAAGCTTTTTGATGTGCTGCTGGATTCCGTTTGCCAGTATTTTATTGAGGATTTTTGCATCGATGTTCATCAGGGATATTGGTCTAAAATTCTCTTTTTTTGTTGTGTCTCTGCCAGATTTTGGTATCAGGATGATGCTGGTCTCATAAAATGAGTTAGGGAGGATTCCCTCTTTTTCTATCGATTGGAATAGTTTCAGAAGGAATGGTACCACCTCCTCTTTGTACCTCCGGTAGAATTCGGCTGTGAATCCGTCTGGTCCTGGATTTTTTTTGATTGGTAGGCTATTAATTATTGCCTCAATTTCAGAGCCTGTTATTGGTCTATTCAGGGATTCACCTTCTTCCTGGTTTATTCTTGGGAGGGTGTATGTGTCCAGGAATTTATCCATTTCTTCTAGATTTTCTAGTTTATTTGCATAGAGGTGTTTATAGTATTCTCTCATGGTAGTTTGTATTTCTGTGGGATTGGTGGTGATACCCCCCTTCATTTTTTATTGCGTCTATTTGATTCTTCTCTCTTTTCTTCATTAGTCTTGCTAGCGGTCTATCAATTTTGTTGATCCTTTCAAAAAACCAGCTCCTCGATTCATTGATTTTTTTGAAGGGTTTTCTGTGTCTCTGTCTCCTTCAGTTCTGCTCTGATCTTAGTTATTTCTTGCCTTCTGCTAGCTTTTGAATGTGTTTGATCTTGCTTCTCTAGTTCTTTTAATTGTGATATTAGGGTGTCAATTTTAGATATTTCCTCCTTTCTCTTGTGGGCATTTAGTGCTATAAATTTCCTCCACACATTGCTTTAAATGCATCCCAGAGTCAAGACCCATCAGTGTGCTATATTCAGGAGACCCATCTCATGTGCAGAGACACACATAGGCTCAAAATAAAGGGATGGGGGAAGATCTACCAAGCAAATGGAAAACAAAAAAAGGCAGGGGTTGCAATCCTAGTCTCTGATAAAACAGACTTTAAACCAACAAAGATCAGAAGAGACAAAGAAGGCCATTACATAATGGTAAAGGGATCAATTCATTAAGAAGAGCTAAGTATCCTAAATATATATGCACCCAATACAGGAGCACCCACATTCATAAAACAAGTCCTTAGAGACCTACAAAGAGACTTAGACTTCCACACAATAATAATGGGAGACTTTAACACCCCACTGTCAACATTAGACAGATCAACAAGACAGAAAGTTAAACAAGGATATCCAGGAATTGAACTCAGCTCTGCACCAAGCGGACCTAATAGACATCTACAGAACTCTTCACCCCAAATCAACAGAATATACATTCTTCTCAGCACCACATCGCACTTATGCCAAAATTGACCACATAGTTGGAAGTAAAGCACTCCTCAGCAAATGTAAAAGAACAGAAATTATAACAAACTGTCTCTCAGACCACAGTGCAATCAAACTAGAACTCAGGATTAATGAACTCACTCAAAACCGCTCAACTACATGGAAACTGAACAACCTGCTCCTGAATGACTACTGGGTACATAATGAAATGAAGGCAGAAATAAAGATGTTGTTTGAAACCAATAAGAACAAAGATACAACATGACTTGCTTTTTAAATGGTGCACTCAATGTCTCGATCCTATAAAATGAAGCACAAATGTGAAATTTCAGGAAGTGTGACAGACCAATGGAGAAGACACTTTTGGAGTTCTTTCATTGTACTCTCTTCTTGCTTTCTCTGCCTATGGGTAAGATTGGACATTATGTCTCCCCAGCAGAGGAGGAGGCTTGGTCTCTTGTGCCAGAGGGGATAAGGCAGCCATGTTGATGGCTTATCATTCTCTGAATTAGAACCTGTGATCTGAGTTCTGAGATTTGAGATCCAAGTCCACCTGATTGCTGGTTTTTTTCCTGCCACCTCCCTGCCAGACTGTCCTTGCTCTTATCTTGCTGGGAGGCTGACTTCTGCAGACTGACTCCCCAGGCTCCTTGCCATTTCACTTCTGATTGGCTTGGCTGATTGGAGACACTAGTAGGAGATGGGAGATGGCAGATGAAAGAGTTTAGGACATTTTTGCTCTGTTCTTCCACTGTTCCAGCATCACTTCTCTCGCACTAGCTGTGTTCCCCATAAATACAACCCCCACCAAGCTACAGGATCATGATTTTCTTCCCTTCTTCCTTTAGTCCTGGGGTATTGATGCATTTCTTGTTGTTTCAAGTCTCTGCATGCCACATCATATCTTGTTTGATTTCTTTAATCTGCCTGCCTCTGCAAATAACATACCCTCCCCAGGCAAGGCAGTGGTCTGAGCCAAACTTGTTCTTCCACAGAAGCCTGGGCTGTGGCACTGGGAGCTGCCAATTTCTTGCTGTGCAACTTTGGATATTTCCCTACCTCTCTTGAGCTTAAGTGGCTCCATCCAGCCAGGAGGGATTGAATTTGATGACCTCTCATCACCCTGAAAGTTCTATGTTCCTAAGTGTCAAAATGGCACTATTGTTTTAGGGGTGGAGTTGGCCCCTTTCTGACCTGGTATTTCCCTTTTGGGGCTAGAACCTTGTCTCTGAAGGTGCCTCACAAAAAAGAACTCAAAGCATTGCGAGCCTAGCATAAATGCCAGCTCTCTTAAGGGTTCACATTGAAGGGGACACTGGAAGCTTTCTTGAGAGAAAGCATAGGCAAGCTGAGCCTCAGCTTCATTATCTGGGAAATGGGTATAAAATGTGAGTGCCTCTGACCTCCTTGCTGTTTGGGTTAAATGAGATAGTATGTAAAAAGTGCCTGAAACATTCACAGTGCTTGTATGAGAAGACAGTGGTTATTATGCTGATGATTACACCAAGAATTGCCATCTGTTTGTTCTAAGGAATCAAGGTGGGATACCCATTGCCTGTTTTTTTTGGAGTCCACTATTAGGTTTCTCTTTAGCTGAATTTTGGGAGAAGGCCACTAGGCTCTCTCCTCTGTTGTTTGCAGTTTTGGAGGTTGCTGTCTCCGCCTTATGGCACTCAGCCCAGCCTTGGCTGCTGCTGGCTGCAGGGAGTGGCTAGGGCTGGACGCTGACAAGATGCATGGGTCCAGAGTATAAAGGAACCCAGGAGCAGCTGAAGGCAGGTCAGATGAAGGCTAGGTGGCTGGAACTGCAACCATGGTGCCCAGCTTCCTCTCCCTGAGCTTCTCCTCCTTGGGCCTGTGGGCTTCTGGGCTGATCTTGGTCTTAGGCTTTCTCAAGCTCATCCACCTGCTGCTGCGGAGGCAGACGTTGGCTAAGGCTATGGACAAATTCCCAGGGCCTCCCACCCACTGGCTTTTTGGACATGCCCTCGAGGTATGTGGAGGTCGGGAGGGTGGGGGAGAAAGAAAACATCCTCCCTCCTTTCAGAGAATCAGGCCTAATTCCCAGGGGGCTGTGGAGGGAGACTTCAAACTTGGGCAGGGGGATGATGTCCTGGGATCCATGGCTTCCATTCAGCTTTCCCACCGGAATTTCTCCTTCACTCCAGCCTTTCAAGCTGACTTCAGAAGTGGGGGCAACTTCCAAGTCAGGGCTCAAGCATGGCACAGACACCTTCTCCTCATTCTGAGGCCCAAAGTTTGGACCAGGTTCTGCTAAAAGCTCAGCAATGACAGAAAGGCAATGGCAGAAATCCAAAACCTCTGGATAGTACATAGAAGTAGGCAATCCATTGAAAGCTCAATCAGCGTCCGTGTTGTTGTGTGTAGTGTAAAGATTTCCATTTGTAAGGCAGGAAATGAGAGTGAGCATGAAGATGAGTACCGCCACATGACAGACCTCACCGAGTGTCTAAGCGGTTGGTGTCCCCAAAGGCAGGGCTCTCCCGGCCATGCCTATGGGTGGCTCAGGAGCCGTGACACCTTCCCAGGTTCAGATCATGGTTCGTCTTCCTGTTACTCCAGGGTGGGAACCACCTTAGCCCCTGCTCTCAGGAAGATCTCTTAGTTTCCTACTGTATTGGGGATCTAGACCAGAGGTTTCTAATTAGACACAGGGCAGGGAATTGGAATCAACTGGGAGGAGCAAATTCCTGGACCTCCAGTTCCTGGAGATTCCAATTTGTCAGATTGGAACTAGGAGTTTACATTTATAAACCTGTCCAAGTGTTAGTGTTTTGATCTGCAGCCAGCTTGGGGAATCCAGGTAGAGATGCCAGAGACTTTTCTTTCTTTCCCTCTCTTTTTCCTTTCCTTTCCCTTTCCCTTTCTTTCTTTCTTTTTTTCTTCTTTCTTTCTCTTTCTTTCTTTCTCTTTCTTTCTTTCTTTCTCTTTCTCTCTTTCTTTCTTTCTTTCCTTCCTTCCTTCCTTCCTTCCTTCCTTCCTTCCTTCCTTCCTTCCTTCCTTCCTTCCTTCTTTCCTTCCTTCTCTTTCTCTCTCTCTCTTTCTTTCTTTCTTTTTTTGATGGGGAGTTTTGCTCTCTCTCCCAGGCTGGGGTGCAGTGGCGCAATTTTGGCTCACTGCAACCTCTGCCTCCCAGATTCAAGCAATTCTCGTGCCTCAGCCTCCCAAGTAGCTGGGACCACAGGCACGCGCCACCATGCCTAGCTAATTTTTGCATTTTTGTAGAGATGGGGTTTCACTATGTTGGGCAGGCTGGTCTCAAACTCCTGACCTCAAGTGATCCACCTGCCTCGGCCTCCCAAAGTGCTGGGATTATAGGTGTGAGCCACCGCGCCTGGCTGACATGCCAGAGATTGAGGCTCAGAGTGAGGCAAGTTCCTTCTCCTACCTTCTGAACTCACTTTCCTCATTCTCAGTCTGGATGGGGGCACTGCTTCTCTTCCTTGATTGACACTAGAAATGAGCTTGACCTCTAGGCTTATTCTTGCCCTGACAGATAACCCTGTAACATGCATCCTGAAGACATCCAGGAAAGGAAAGTGTGGGTCAGAGAGATGAATCAGACCCAGGCCTGGGGTTCAAAGAGCTTACGGTCTGAAGGGAAAACAGACACCAGAGCCTTGCTCCCGAGCTGGGCGAGGTTCCTCCCCAGGATTCTGCCTTAGCCGCATTATTTTGATCTCAGCACCTGTCCTGTTGGATTGAAGTCTTCTGTTTACCTATTCAACTTCTGCACTAGACTTTGGCTCCTGGAGGATGGAGATCTGATCTGATTCATCCCTGTACCCTCAGGGTCCAGCATAAAGCCTAGCATAGTGTAGGCATCACTAATGAACCAGTAGTGAATGTTGGAGGGTAGGGAGAGTATCCACAGAGGAGAAAGCATGAGGGAGAAGAAAAGCAAAGGGACCAGGAGGGCTTGGGAGAGGCTTTGCTAAGTACACAAGAGGGCCAAGGGAAGGTTGAGGTCTGACGCTAAAAGGGTACAAGAGGTATTTAGAGAGAACTTTCTCCCTTTCTTCTTGTTCCCTCTCCACTTCTACCTGCCTTCGTCAAAGTTGTGTTTGCCCTCAGCCAGGGACTTCTTTAGGACAGGGACCTTGCACCCCCACCTCCATGTCAGAGCTGGCTGTTTTCTTCCCCTTAACGGCCCCCACCCCCACCTTGAGAGTATGCAGAGGGCCTGGAACACAGTCTAGCTTTGGCTTCTTGGCTCTAACACAACTGTCTGAAGGGCCTTCTCTTGGCATCAGGTTGAGCAGACAAAGGCTGGAGGAGTGACTACTTGTGGGAGCTACAAAGGTTTCCTGGGGAACCATTGCAAGCACAACTCCTGCAGTCCTCAAGGGCTTGGCACCTCTGTTCTTGCCTGGATTCATACCTGAACTTGAGAAATGGGTTGGGCAGAGAGGGGATTATTTTCCCTAATGTAAAAATGAGGACATTGAAGTTCAGAGAGTGCAAAGTATTTGTCTATGTCTGTTTAGTAGCTCAGGAGTTAGGTCGAGACTGGGCCCAGGACTTCTGCATTTTAATTCGTAATGTTGTCAGACCATAAAAGGTTACTGCAAAGTTGATTCTTAGGCCCAGCAATGATGGGAGTAGGAAGGGGAGGAAGACTGATGGGTAAAGGGACTGGGGGCAGGGAAGAGCTGTCCGTCAGGATTAATTTCTCCTTCTTGGTCTCTGATTACAGTCTGGAGGCCTTGGTAGCATCTACCTGTCATCCTCCTCAATTCTCAGAATGTGTCTTCTGGAGGTGGGGACATGTCCTATTCTTCCAGGGTCCCCCTCATTCCAGTCTAGGAACCAGGGAGGACTTTGCACATAGTAGGTGCTCAGCTATATTGTTGGCCTGAGGTTGGAACCCTTGAAAGAAGCCAACAAATTGGTGTGTGTGGGTGTGTGTGTGTGTGTAGAATGCCAGCTCCCAGATCAAGGAAATGAGATACTCTGAGACTGCAGAGGCCTCTTTCCCAGCCATGCCCTTTGCTGTGAGAGTGCCCTTGACCTTGTGCTGTGTAGTGAAGACAGGGCTGTGGCTCATTTTCATTCAGTAAACATTGATTACAGGCCTTCGCTGTGCCCAGTTAGCTAAGCCACTTTACCTCTCTGTGCTTCTGTTTCCCTGTCAACAAAGTGGAGATAATCATTTTTACCTTACTGGGTTAGAAGGGGATAGAAAGAGATAAAGTATAGGTATTTTGCAAACTACTGGGCAGATAAACGTCAGGTGTTAAATCATCATAGAGGGATTCTTGCTACAAAACACCCTGGGGCATTTGCTTTCTTCATCCCCTTCCTTCTTCTCAAATCAACCCAGTCTTTGTGAACCAGATATGGTCCCTCTTTCCTAAGCAACCAGCAGTGTCTGATCAACAACTCTGGGTCTGGTCCTATGCTGAGGCCAGAGGATGAAGAATCAAGACAAAGAGCTTGCCTCAGAGGAACTAGGTCTGTAGGAGAGATGAATAACACAGCACATGTGTTACCAATCTTTGGGCCTAGAGAAGGGCCCCTCTCGGCGTGGGGAGTCAGGGAAGGTCCAGGGAGGTGATGCTGAGGCACATTCTCAAAGATCTGGAGGTAGAAACCTGTGGCAGGAAGTGCAGAAGAAAAGGCAGAAGGTGCTCTCTGTGCAAAAAGGCACACAGGCTGGAAAAAGCAGTGTGTTTAGGAAATTAAATTGTCTTTTGGGGTCTAGGACATACCTGTGTTAGTACCTCAGCGCTTCTGCAGTGGTGACAGGGAGGACAGAATGGAGAGGATGAGGCTGGAGGTAGACGGGGCAGTCACACAGATCCTTGAGGCCAGGTCAAAAGGCTTTACCTTATTTTGAGGACGATGGGGAATGATGGAAGGAATTTAAGCAAGGGAGAGACAAGCTCAGACTTATGTTTTAGAAAGATCACTTTGGCTTCAAGGTGGCGAACAGATTGACAGAGGGCAAATAGGAGGCAGGGAGGCTAGGGTGGAGGTGATCCAGGCCTCCACCTTGTGTTGGGGAGTGAGCCAGTGGGCTGGAGGAAAGTGGAAGGTAGGGCAGGCCAGGTCTTGGCATGGTAGCCACAGGAGAGAGAGGCGTTGAGACCTCCACCATAGCCAGATGTGAGGGTCAGTGAGGGCTCCTCCATGTAGCAGGAAAAGGAAACAAGGATTACCCTTGGAGCTCTGTTAATTGGAGGCATCAACACAGCTGGACTAGAGCAGAATCTAGCGAAAGTCATCAAAGGAGAGCCATAAGACTGGATTGTAAACAGGAGGAATGAATTTCTATGTCTCAATTTTAAAATGTGGGCATCTGAGACCCAGGAAGAGGAGGCTCAGTGGTGGGCAGCACTTGTCAGTGTCTGGGTATGGGATCCTCGAGTACTGGTTTTGGAGAATTCCGTGGCAGAGTCTCCTCCCATGACCTGCTACATCTGGTTCTTTTTGCTCTGGTTTGCTGATTTCAATGTAAAAATCACTTGGTGGGCCTGCAGGGAGGAGGGGCTGCCTCCACAGGGCATCCCTCTTCATATTGATATAAACCATGGAGAAAACGACATTCCATATTCCTGGCTAGTTTTTGGGTGGGTGATGGTACCATCCCCAGGTTCAGTAGGAGAGGCAGATTTTGGGGACAAAAGTGTACGAACATGTGTATGAGTGTGGGTTTGGAAATGCTGGGTCTGAAGAATCTGGAGGGTGTCATGCAGAGAGTTCCGGGGGTTGATTATGATTCTGGACCTCAGGAGAAAGGTAAACTGGAAAGAGCTGTCAACTGAGAAATTGTTGGTAGGTAGATGGCACAGGAAACCACAGAAGCAGGTGAGAGCTTTCAGGGAGAAGACGCAAGGGAAGAGGCCAAGGACTGGATCTGGAGGAACAAAGAGTGGGTGAGGAGCTGCCCATGGCAGCCACTGGGAGAGAGGGGAGGACATCCAGGAGACAGTGCATGAGAGACAGGGAGTCAACTGGGCTCAGCGCCAGGGAGGGTGCTGGATTCCTTAGCAAGATCAGCATAGGAGAGGTGGGGCCATCACAAGGAATTGGAAACAGTGGGCACAGCTCTTTAGAGAAGTTAGATTATGAAGGGATGAGCAAATAAGGTGTTAGCTGGAGGAGGAAGCTGAACAAAGGGAGGTTTGGTTTCATTTTCTTTCTTTTTTTTTTTTTTAAAGTGAGAGACTTGAACAAATTTTGAATGAGGATGGGAAGGAGCCTGCAGAGAGGGTGAGGTCTGTGATTTGGGAGAGAGGGGCTGATTGATGGGTGAGGTGCCTTGTGGGGAGGGTTGGAATCCAGATGGACTGGTCTTGGACAGGCCCTGCATGCTTCTCTCCTGAAACAGAGGGAAACAGAGAGGCTGGGTGCAGGTGGGGTGGTCCTTCAGGTCTGCCAGCTGACTTTTTGGGGTTTCTTATCTGATGGTTTCTATTTTCTCTGGGAAGTACAGCAAGGGTGATCTGCCAGGAGTGAGGAGGGGAGAGGTAGAGAGGGCAGTTGAAATAAAAGTTTTTGAGAAGCAGATTGTGGCTGATGCCATGGGGCTTTCCAGAAGGCATTTCTGCTGATCTTTGCTGAAATGTCACCTTAGAGTGGCCTTCCTGACCCACCCCCATCCATAGTGGCAGCCCTGCCCCTTACTCTGCTTTTTTTCTTTCTGGAGTTATCACTACATGAAATTGTATTCTTGGTGTATTTGATTCTTTTTATTTTCTTTCTCCCCACTTGGAATGTATGCTGGTGGGGCAGGGCTTTGTCTTGCTCACCACTGTAACCAGAAACTAGCACTGTCCCTGGCACAATGCCCATGTGTTGGAAGAGTGGATGAATCTCTGGGGGGAACCAACTCTGGGCAGCAAAGCCACCCATGCGGACTGAGGACAGATGACTGCATCCCCTTGGACTCTTGGGCATTTCTTGGGTCCCTGCCTTCCTGCCTTTTTAGCTGTTTGGATGTTTTCCTGCATTCCTCCTCTCATCTGATTGGGTGCTCCTGAGTCTGGAGTTCACCTTTGGATGCTGAAGACAGGAGGGATGTTGGGGGCAGAGCACAGGCTTTGGAATCTAAAGACTGGGGCACGATGCTAGTTGTGTGACTTTGGGCAAAGCCCATCATCACTTCCTAGCCAAGGCATGGTGGCTAGAGAGTCCTGGTGACCACACTGATCTCACCCAAAGTCTCTTTGCTCCTTCTATTGAGCTAGGGGTTCTTTCTGTATGTTATCTGTTCACATGTACATGTGTAATGGTTTATTTGTCTTTGAAAGGGAGGATGGAGGATGAAGTCATGTTTGTCACCAGCATGGGAGGAAGTCACCTCTCTGCTCCCTGGGGTATTTTGCATTCGATCCCCTCTTTCCAGGCTCTCCATGGCTCTGTTCAACCTCACAGCTGAATCCCCAATGAGTTTTTGTACATTGAGTCTGCTTTTCCCACTGATTTTTATAGTTATTTCAGAGATGCTACATCTTCTCCCTTTTGGTTGTTTTTTTCTTGGCTTCTAGCTCTTTAGCTTTATTTAAAAGCTTGGCAGTGGCTTGGACTCATGCACACATGGAGCTCTGGTAATTTTGGGGTGTGGGGAGAGGGCCCATAGTAGGGAGACAGCTGAGACTAGGGCACCAAAGGGCACCTAAGGGTGTCCATCCTGAAGGAGAGCAGTCCTAGGGGGTTCTAGCCCCCAATTCCCAATCCCTGCAGGACTTCCCTGGGCAGTGGGAGCCTGTGTGGTCCCAGAGGGAGACCCATGGGGAAGGCTATGGGCAGGTGTCTTTCACTTTAGCGACTAAGAAGCCTTTTGAGGAATTAAGACTGTCCAAAGATGGTTGGGGTATTTTGAAAAGAAGTTTCCTGTCACTAGAGATGTTTGAGCACTTGGGCAGGGATTCTTACTGGGTGAAGGTGCTGGGCAGGCACCCTGTGTGCTGGGAATCCGAGACCGACATGACCTGCCTTGAGGGAACTATGACATGCTGCCGAAAAGGAAACCCCTTCGTCTTTCTCCTCCCTCACCTTTTGTTTTTCGAAACTCTTATCCCCATTTTGTGAGCAGACTGATTTTCATTCTGAAGCAGCCCCCTGGGGCACTGTAGCTGCAGCACACTGGTCAAGGGTAGCTTGTTTCTTGGACACTGGCCCACTGAGCTTCGGGTCAACTGGCTGATGGCTTGAGCAGGCTTGCTAACAAGGGCTGCAGAAAGAGACTAAGCCAGGATCCCTGGTCTCCCTTAACTCATGCTGGACTGTTCCCTTTGGTCTTTGTACCGCACGTTTCCACCTTTAAAGAGAGGTCAGGGTTCCACTAGGCAATGTTGAAATCCTTTTCCGATCTGATTCTTGGAGCAAAGCTTACTTTAGGCTCTTGAGAAGCAGAGAGGAAAGTGGTGACGTATGCTTGCTCTTCCCAATCCCTCCAGTGGTTTATTTCTGGTGAGGTCAACAAGGAGTGCCAATGTGAGGGTGGGAGGTGGGGCTGGGGAGCTGGGATCAGTGAATTATTTTCATACCCTGCTCTCTTCCTGTTTCCTTCCTTCTGGAGAAAAAACAAGCCGTCCCAGAACTTCCAGTCCTGTAAGTGTCCCAGCTCAGGCATTCTGAGGGCGAGTCTGAGGCATGCAGTTGTGTAATCCAGAGGAACTGTCCAGGCAGTCACGTGTACCCCACAGGGAGGATGCCTCAGCCCTCTTGAGGGGCTGCAGCTGCAATAGTGGGACCAGGTGCTGGGAGCTGTCCTCCTTCTTACCAGGCTCCCGGGGTAATCAAGGCAGGTGCCTGGCAGGTGCTTCTAGTTCTCTAGCTTTATTTAAAAGTTTGGCCATCGCTTGGGCTCATGCACATGTTTTTTATTTATCTTAGTTTTCTTTATTTCTTAAATAAATCTAAAGAGCTAGGAGAAAGCTGGGCACAGGGAGGCAGTGGCAAGCTGGCTGCGACCTCGATCAGGGCACAGGTTGTGAATGTGGTCAGCATGAGACCAGGGTCTACTGTCCCTTGTGGGGTTGCTGCAGAGGTGCACAAGCATAGCTGATAAGGAGGGAAGTGGGGCTTGGATGAACCAGATCAGCCAAAGGCTCCTTCCAATCCTAAGATCCTATGAGTCTGGCTTTTTTGTGACTTAAGCCTTTCCTTGACCCATCCAATTGGGCTTTCTGGACCTGGTAGGGATGGAGAGAAGGGGAATGGCCAGGTGACCAGGAAGTTGGCAAGGAAAACCCAGGAGGGCAGATGGAAAAATAAGACAGACACCAGGGAAAGGAGCACTTCCAGGGATACCAGCCAGGAGGGAGGCAGGCATACAAGAATGTTTCCCCTTGCCTGTGGGTGGAGATGATTTTTATCACTTTGTGTTCTTTTTGACATCGTGTACTCAAGGGCAGTGAAAACTCTTACAGCCCTGTTGGGTTGAACTCAGGATTCTGCGTTCAGAGGCAGTGAGGGAAGGGATCAATGGGATGATTACAGACGACTCCACAGAGGGCCTAGGAGGGGAAGAGCCCTAGAGAAGGCACAGACGGGTGGCTGGAGGCCAAAATAGGCCCAATCCCATGAGCCCTTGGAGATAGTGGCTTGGGCCAGAAAGGATCCCTGGGGGCTACATTATCAGATGCCTGTGTCCTTCTTTAAGAATGTTCCCTGGAAGATACAACATGGATGTCTTAGTCCTTTGTGTTGCTGTAAATGAATACCTGAGACTGGGTAAAAGGTTTATTTGGCTCACAGTTCCACAGGCTGTACAGGAGGCATGGTCAATATCTGCTTCTGGTGAAACTGCTATTCATGAGGAGGAGCTTTAGGAAACTGCTATTCATGAGGAAGAGCAGACATCACATGGCAAGAGAGGAGGAAAGGAGAAAGAGAGAGAGAGAGAGAGAGGTGCCAGACTCTTTTTAACAAACAGCTCTCAAATGGTATTTCTAGTTCTAGATCCCTGAGGAATCGCCACACTGACTTCCACAATGATTGAACTAGTTTACAGTCCCACCAACAGTGTAAAAGTGTTCCTATTTCTCCACATCCTCTCCAGCACCTGTTGTTTCCTGACTTTTTAATGATTGTCATTCTAACTGGTGTGAGATGGTATCTCATTGTGGTTTTGATTTGCATTTCTCTGATGGCCAGTGATGATGAGCATTTTTTCATGTGTTTTTTGGCTGCATAAATGTCTTCTTTTGAGAAGTGTCTGTTCATGTCCTTCGCCCACTTTTTGATGGGGTTGTTTGTTTTTTTCTTGTAAATTTGTTTGAGTTCATTGTAGATTCTGGATATTAGCCCTTTGTCAGATGAGTAGGTTGCGAAAATTTTCTCCCATTTTGTAGGTTGCCTGCAGCCCTCCCATTACTGGGTATATACCCAAAGGACTATAAATCATGCTGCTATAAAGACACATGCACACGTATGTTTATTGCGGCATTATTCACAATAGCAAAGACTTGGAACCAACCCAAAGGTCCAACAATGATAGACTGGATTAAGAAAATGGGGCACATATACACCATGGAATACTATGCAGCCATAAAAAATGATGAGTTCATGTCCTTTGTAGGGACATGGATGAAATTGGAAATCATCATTCTCAGTAAACTATCGCAAGAACAAAAAACCAAACACCGCATATTCTCACTCATAGGTGGGAATTGAACAATGAGATCACATGGACACAGGAAGGGGAATATCACACTCTGGGGACTGTGGTGGGGTGGGGGGAGGGGGGAGGGGTAGCATTGGGAGATATACATAATGCTAGATGACGAGTTAGTGGGTGCAGCGCACCAGCATGGCACATGTATACATATGTAACTAACCTGCACAATGTGCACATGTACCCTAAAACTTAAAGTATAATAAAAAAAACCCAAAAAACAAACAAAAAACAAAAAAATAAACAATATGCAAAATCCTTAAAAAAAAACAAAACAAAACAAAACAAAAAAAAGCTCTCATGGGAACTAAGAGAACTCACTCAATCCTGCCAGAATGGCCCCAGGGCCATTCATGAGGGATCCACCCCTATGATGCCAACACCTCCCATGAGGCCCCACCTCCAACATTGGAGATCAGATTTCAAAATGAGATTAGGAGGGGACAAATGTCCAAATTATTAAGGTTTGGACATTTTTCCCTTCCTAATTTGTTTGGATACTATCAGTGAATAGGTGGCAATTGTGAGAGAGAATTTTACGGAGAGAAAAAGCAGGCCCAGCACAGGCTCAGGCCTCAACAGGAATTTTATGGGACTGTAACCTAACCTCTCTATTCCTTAGGCTCCTCTTCCCTAAAATGGGACCACTTAGAGTTGTTGTGAGGATTCAATCAGGTCAAAATGTAAGGTGCTTAGAACAAGGTCTAGCACACAGCAAGTGCTTAATAAAGATTAGTCATTACCATGCCTCCCCACAAACTCCAGAGCTTGGACCTTTTCCAAGGCCCCTGGGCAGGCCACTAGGAGTGTTAAGTGTATCTTTGAAAGACTCCCACTAAATGGGGAAAAATAGTTAAATACATTATGGTACATCCTTATAGTGAAATACTACACAACTGTTAAAAATAGTAATGACAGTTAAGTGCACTAGCTTGGAAAGGAGGACAAGTTATGTTCAATGAAAAATGGCTGGTTTTGCAAAAATATTTATTGTATAACTTCATTTACTTAAAACACCTCTGGGTGAGTAAACGTGACTAGAAAAACCTCCAAAGGACATGTACCACCCTCTGGATGACCTATTCAAGCTCATCCCAGGTGACTGTCCCACCATGGGGCAGCTCCTGGAAGACACCATGATCTTTCCCAACCCAGCGCGTTTGTGCTTTCTGTTTTCTCACCTGGAATGCTTTTCCTTTATGCTTCACATGGCCAGAGACTCACCATCCTTCAAGTTTCACCTTAAATGTTGTCTCCAACAAGAAGCCTTCCAAGATTACCCTATCTAAGCAGGCCCTCCCTGTTAGTGTCTCTCATAGCACTGTTTTTATTCTGAGCACTCACTATTGTCTGTGATTATTTTACTTAATTGTCTACTTGTCTATTATCTGTCTTCTCCATAGAATGAAAGGGCAGAACTTGTCTGTCTCATTCCCCTGAGATGTCTAGAACAGAGCCCTGCACATGTAGGCCCTCAATAAAAATGTGTTGAACGATACGGCAGGGGTGGAATTGAGGCCATTTCTCTATTGCACAATGAGCAAATATTACCTATCTTTATAATTAAAGAGCTTTAATGTGGAGAAGAAAGCACTTTCTGGCTGCAGTGCAGTAGAGAGTTGGTGGCAGGTGCTAAATGGAAGCAGGTTGGCTACTTTGGGGATGTTGAGCTAACCCCGGTGTGAGAAGAGGGCGGCTTGGAATTAGAGCAGTGGTTGTGGGGCTGGAGAGGGGACTAAGCCCAGGGATGTTTAGGAGAAGAGGGTGCAGGAGAGGTAAGGAAGCAACCAGGGCCTGCCTGGGCAGCCTTCTCCCCTGCCCTCCCAGGGACTTGGGGCCTAGCTGGTGACAATGTGTTCCTGAGTGACCTTGGCCTTCTGTCATCATTTCAGATCCAGGAGACGGGGAGCCTGGACAAAGTGGTGTCCTGGGCCCACCAGTTCCCGTATGCCCACCCACTCTGGTTCGGACAGTTCATTGGCTTCCTGAACATCTATGAGCCTGACTATGCCAAAGCTGTGTACAGCCGTGGGGGTGAGGAGAGAGGATGGGGATCTCAGGAGAGGGTGGGGCTTCCTGAGAACAAAGGGCTCAGGGCATGATATGGGGAGGAAGCCTGGGCCTGTGTACTAAGTCTGCGGAGCTGAGGTTCCCACCCTACTCATAAATGAGCCTCCTCTAGGAACCCCGGGTCCCTGCTTGACCTGATTGTCTCCTCCTGCAGACCCTAAGGCCCCTGATGTGTATGACTTCTTCCTCCAGTGGATTGGTGAGTGAGCACCTGCCTTCCCTGCCCTGCCAACCTCAGACCCGTGGTGCTGGGTGACTAGGATCCTGGCCTGTCCCACTCAATTGGTTATCCCAGATGGCCTAGTTCTCGGGTGCCCATCCTAAGCTCAGCTGCTCAGTGGAGAGACAAGGGAGGAGCAGGAGAGCCCCCAGCTGTGGGGCCAAGGCATCTTCTCTGGCAGGGCCTGATTCTCTAGACAGGGCAAAGGCTTTGGAGAATGTGTGAGTGCGAAGAACAGTTTCCTGAAGGAGGTGGCACTAGAGTTGATCCAAAAGGAGATTTAAATAGGTAGTGCTGGCCAGGGCAAGGGCCTAAGGAAATGGTGTGGTGGTAGGACCACGGCTGGTCACCAGAGGCTGTGAGGCTGTCGGGGTGGCTACAAGGCAGAGCCCAGCTTGGAGATGATGCTGGGCAGGGAGGACAGGCCAGCCTTGACTGCCAGGATAAGGAGGTGATTTGATGTTGAGAGTAGGTGGGAGTCATTGAGTATTTTATTTTATTTTATTTTACTTTTTCCTTTACAGAGGTACTCAAGTTAAAGCCATTGAGTATTCTTTAGCCAAGGCCATATGCTTCTCCAAAGCTCCTCTTTTACTCATGATCCTATGGTGTCTTCAGCGTTTTCCTGGGAGCTGAGAAAGGGCAGGGCCAAGAGGGAGAACACATTCCCAATCCTATTTACTCACCGAGTACCACTGGGAAGACTTTTTGCTTCTAACCCTCTTTTTAGTTATCAATGGGAGGATAAAATTAGAAGGCAGACAGAAAAGGGTTAGGAAAATGAAGAGGTGGTTTTGAAGACAGGAATGCATTTCCATTGCTGGGTGTGTTGGAGTGGGGTAGGAAGGGTCCCACCTGAGGCCATGAAGCACGAACACGGTGGGACATTCCCTAAGTCCTGAAGCTGTGGCCAGTCTCAGCAGCTGAGAGTCAAGGCTCAGCAGGCTCCCCCTCTGCTTGGCTGTCCCCAGGGGGATGCGTGTCCTTTGTCTCACATCTGGCAATGTCATCTGACACAAGTTCCTGGACCCAGGCTTTGTGGGTGCAGCTGAGATACAGAAACTGAGTTATCCTGTCCTAAGGAAGGAGCTCACTCAGCCAAGAACTGCTGCCACCTGTCTCCTGAGGTCCTGGTAGCCTAGGGTGAGGGCATGGAGGGCAATACTGGGTCGCTTAGTGGCCCACCCTTGGAGGGTTCCAGGCTCAGGGATGGAGTCGTGTAGGATGTGCTTAGCCCCAGGCTGCCAGGGCCTGGACTGACCAGCCCTCTCTCTCCCATCCCTTCCCCAGGGAGAGGCCTGCTGGTTCTTGAGGGGCCCAAGTGGTTGCAGCACCGCAAGCTGCTCACACCTGGCTTTCATTATGATGTGCTGAAGCCCTATGTGGCCGTGTTCACTGAGTCTACACGTATCATGCTGGTGAGCTCCCTGTGCCAGAGTACTGGAGGCTGTTGCCTGCTGGGCTAGCCCCTCTCCACCCTGATTTTGTCCTGGGGAGAGTAGGTGGTGCTCTGCAGTAAGGAGAATAGCTGAGCCCCAAGGCCTGTTCTGCCTGCAACAGCAGTGCCAAAGCCCTGCTCTACTGACATGTGCCGCAGGCTGCCACTGAGTCGGTGCTGAATCTCTAAGTGTCCTGGCAGCCCGATCCTTGTCTCCACCAGGAGACCCAGCCCTCTTTCCTCCCAGGCCAAAGGGTCTCTGTGAGAACTTAATAAGGCTCCTAGCATAGCAGGTTTGAGGACTGCCTATATTTGAGAGTATGGGGAAAGGCTTTCACATCTAAAACGTGTCTCCTCATTTTCTGTCTACCACAGCTGCCCAGAATTATGTCAATACAACTCATCTCTAAGAGGGATGTCAGAGGTCAGGGTTAGAGTCTTAGGGCTGGGTAATCCCTAAGTTATCCAGGCTAGTCTTTCCCCTTGTAGGAAACTCCCCTCCAGGATTACTTACATATACACCATGCGGGGGAGCTCACCACCTCTCAGCCATCCTACTCCCTTATAGGCTGCCCTGACTGGGAGAAAACGTCTGTGTGCTGTGCAAGATCTGCCTCCTGGTCCTGCCCTCTGAGCCTGAAGCCCAGAGGCTTCCAAACTTCTACCCACCCTATCCTGATATTCCAGCAGGATGGAGGGCAGGACAGGGACTGGGAGTGTGTGAAGGGGGCTTGGTGGTGGAGGATAGGCTACGGGTCCTGGAGGGCAGCTTGGGGCATCCAGCCCAACTAACCCCTGCATCGCCTCCTACACATTGCCTCCTATCCCTGGACTCCAGGACAAGTGGGAAGAGAAAGCTCGGGAGGGTAAGTCCTTTGACATCTTCTGCGATGTGGGTCACATGGCGCTGAACACACTCATGAAGTGCACCTTTGGAAGAGGAGACACCGGCCTGGGCCACAGGTCAGGAGCCACCTCGGGGCTGACCGCACTGTCTCCAAAGCCATCTTAGAGGGGAGAGTTGGCAGGGGTCCTGGGCTCTGATCTGAGAAGAGATAGGGTCCTGCCCCAGGGAGCCTTAGCTTGCGGGGAGACAGGACCTGCTCATGGTGGGGTAAACACCTGGCTTTAGCAAGGAGGCTTAAGGGCAGGGAGAAGAAGAGCAGGATGCTCTGTGGTTGGGGCTAGATTCCTGGAATGGAGTTTCTCTGGCTCTGCTCCTGGGCCAGTGTCTAAGCCAATCCCTCCTCCTACCCTCTGCTTAGCAGGGACAGCAGCTACTACCTTGCAGTCAGCGATCTCACTCTGTTGATGCAGCAGCGCCTTGTGTCCTTCCAGTACCATAATGACTTCATCTACTGGCTCACCCCACATGGCCGCCGCTTCCTGCGGGCCTGCCAGGTGGCCCATGACCATACAGGTGGGCCTTTCCCACAAGGCTCACCTCTAGGAAGCCTGGGTTCCTCCTCCTGGCCCCTCTATGCCCCCTCCCATTATAGGACCCCAGTTCCCCTTTGGACAAAAGATGGCTTCCCAGGCAGTGACACTCTGTGCTTTTGGTTCAGACCAGGTCATCAGGGAGCGGAAGGCAGCCCTGCAGGATGAGAAGGTGCGGAAGAAGATCCAGAACCGGAGGCACCTGGACTTCCTGGACATTCTCCTGGGTGCCCGGGTGAGTACATTGTTGCCCACCCCTACCTGAGGACTGGTCCCAGAGAGGTCTTCAACCATCCTCCCAGGACAGCAGAAGGAGCTCTTAAGCATTTCCCCCTTTCCTCAGCAAATATAACCTGTTCCTCGTCCCATGAAACATATTAGCAGGGGTTCAGAGGTGGGCAGGTGTAGGGTGTGTGTGCCTGAGCTGTGGAGTTGGGAGCCTAGGTCACGTGGTAGTGGCTGGACGACATTTCTAGACTTCTAAGATCCCCCAAAATGTTGGCCTTGTAGAATCCTAGAATCTTAGACTTCATTCATTCATTCATTCATTCAGTAAGTTCTTTATTCATCAATTCTAGAAACTCACTGAGTTCTGACTCTGGGTCATTTCCGTGCTAGGATGCAGAGATGGGAAAGACCTGGCCCTTCCTTCCAGATGCTTACAGTCCAGCAGGGGAGACAGTAGGTAGATGTTGACCAAAATGTCTTCCTCTGGCAGGTGGTATTCTATGTGCCCAGTGAGCAGAACAGTCAGGGCTGGACAAGGTCACAAGTCATTTGGCCAGAGCATTTAGGGAGGGCTTTGTGGAGGAGGAGGCATCCAGGCTGAGCTTTGAAGGAATATAGGAATCTGGGGGAAGGTCCTAATCCACCCTCTGAAAAGGAGCTTTCACTCCCTCCCAGAGACCTTCATTTGACAACCACCATTATGAGTTCTTCTTGTTACCCACCTCCAATACCTCAAGCTGTCCTATTATGCCTTCCCTAACCCAGGATGAAGATGACATCAAACTGTCAGATGCAGACCTCCGGGCTGAAGTGGACACATTCATGTTTGAAGGCCATGACACCACCACCAGTGGTATCTCCTGGTTTCTCTACTGCATGGCCCTGTACCCTGAGCACCAGCATCGTTGTAGAGAGGAGGTCCGCGAGATCCTAGGGGACCAGGACTTCTTCCAGTGGTGAGTCTGAGGGTGGGCCCGGTTTATCCTGCTCAGCCCTTGGGAAGGGCGATGCCCATCCTGTCCTGAACCATCCTGGAAATCAGGTGAGGTGGCGGCTGCTATCCTGTTACCCCCAGTGTCATACCTTTTGTGGTGGTGGGGGGTGGGGAGAGTGGTTGGCTGGGCACAGATGCACCCCTGAGCCCATTCTCCCAAAATGGAGCCTTTCAGAAGTGTTATGTAGAGAAAGTTGTCAACAAGAGGCTGATATTTTGTGTGCTAACTTCTTCTGACGGTAGAACCTGATTACCCTTCTGGGTCCCTGGATAGAGTAGGGAGAGCTGGGAGAGAAAGAGGTGGAAATGTGGGGGTGAACAGAGCTGAGACAGCTGGGAGAGCCAGTTCCTTGCTACTTGCCTTTGGATGGCAATACTCAGCTTCCAGATGCCATATCTCTCCTGCTGGTGAAGGAGAAAAGACTTCCCCAAACTTCATCACTTAAAAACTTTCCATTGTTTTCCCCTGTTTCTTGGCTCAAGACTGAACTCCTAAACACTTAAGGATTGACCCTGACCTCTCTGCAGTGTGATCTCTGGGAGTCTCTCAAGAGGCTCCTTCACCCTTGCTGGCTGCCTGTTCCCCTCAGGCCTTTGCTTGTGGTCAGACAACCTGCCTTTCTCTCTGGGCTCCTGAGCAGCCTCCAAGAGGGGGCTAGGCACACAGCAGGGGTACAGAAAATGCTGAGCCAGAGGGGGAACTTTAGATCCACTTGAAAGGGACTGACCTATAACTCCAGGGTCTAGGACCTGGAGTATGAAGCCTCCATTACCATTTCTGTTGGTCATATGTGAGAATCCCCCCCCCACGGGGTATCCAGACACATGCCAGGTGCTATCAGGGGTGCAGAACGGAAGAGAAAGAGAAGCCATGCTGCTCGTGGGGAGTTTTATGGAGACAAATTCACATAATCAAACAGCGAGAGAAAAATCACAGGATCACGTGGTCTGAATGTTGAGGGCAGAGGGAAGGAGTGAGGCTTGAACTGACTTTCTAAGGAGGGTTAAAATTCAGGCAAAGAGAGAGAGGTAGGCATTGTAGGCTGGGTAACAATGTGAACACAACCCGAGGCAGGGATTAGAATATTTATTTTATTTTCACGTCATTCCATCTAGAGCTTGAAGCAACTTAGAGGACAGTTATTCAATAAAATAGTAAAATGCAAATGAAAAATAAGAGCCAGTGGGGAGTTTGGGGACTCTGCAATAAAATATTGCCCTGTAGTTATAGTTGGATGTCACATTTGGGCCTGAGCTTCCCGGTTGCCAAAGGGAAAAGACACACACACACACACACACACACTTCACCTCATTAAATAATGCATCAACTTTGGTTGGTTCATTCAACCAACGTGTATCAGCCCCAGTTTCTTTCATTCAGCTCAGTAGGGGAAACCAAGCTGAAACCTAAAGAACTGTCCTTTGTAGGCTTCCATGGGGGTCCTGAGAGTTGCAGAAGTGACCTTGTCTTTGATGGCTGGGTGCACCTTCATCTCTAGGGTCCTGTGCCTTCTTCTCCTACCAGTGAAGATGAGAAAGGGATGGAGAAAAGTGGAACCAGATCCTTTAGATCTGAGTGTTCACACCATGTCAGGCCTAGCCTGGCCAGGGGCACTTGGAACTCTGTGCCTCTGACTCTTGAGTGTGTGGTGGTGGTGAGGGAGGAAAACTGGGGCTGGGGTCTGCTTTCTCGCCAAATCCTGTTGCTTCCCATTCCAAGAATGTTCTGGTTGTGTTGCTGGCAGGGATGATCTGGGCAAAATGACTTATCTGACCATGTGCATCAAGGAGAGCTTCCGCCTCTACCCACCTGTGCCCCAGGTGTACCGCCAGCTCAGCAAGCCTGTCACCTTTGTGGATGGCCGGTCTCTACCTGCAGGTGGGATGGGTGGATTTGGGGGTGGAAAAGGAGTCCCTGCATGCTCCTCTGGCACCCTCTGTGCCTTTAGTCAAATCTTTGCACTTTTGGGGAAGAGCTCAGGCTTTGCGTTCAGAGAGCCCTGGGTCTAAATCCCAGCCCCACAACATATTGATCAATTCTTCTACCTCTGAGCCTCCATTTCCCCTTCTGTAAAATGGGGATGAGAAGAGTATCTATGTTTCTAGGCTGCTGTCAGGATTAAAGAGAATGTTCACCAAGGCTGCCATGTACCACCATGCAGGTCATGCCCTGAACAGCACCAGGGAGCAACACTCACATAGACTATGATGCTGTGCAGTGTGCAACCTGCACAACTGTATGTGGTAGCTTCATAAAGAGTGTTAAGCCTGTACCTGGTTCATAGCAAGCACCTGGTGAATGATAGCTGTTACTGTTGGCAGTATAATATTATGAATAATAACTTCCCAAGAGTCAGTTAGCTGAAAAGGTTTAATAGTTCCTTCCTGTTCTACCTCATGATGGATGGGTTCATTCTCCCCTTTATTCATCTCACAAATGTCTATCAGGTGCTGTACCCAGTGCCGGGATTACAGGAACTGGGCATCATGATGATCAAAGTACTGTGATGAGTCGGATGTGGTCATGAACGCTCTGTCACTGGCAGTGGTCAGGCAGGAGCTGGCACCCCAGTTAAGGGGTCACTAGGGGACTCTGACCTTATGTGGAGGTAGGCCTGGCTACCCAGGACTACCTGGTCACCAACCTCTGTTCTGCCCACAGGAAGCCTGATCTCTATGCATATCTATGCCCTCCATAGGAACAGTGCTGTATGGCCCGACCCTGAGGTACCCTTTCCCTGGGCTGGGAGATCAGACAGGGTGGGGGACTGGGAGGGTCACCCTCTGCCAGAACCTGGCGAGTGTTTAAGCAAGGCCTGTCCCTTCAGGTCTTTGACTCTCTGCGCTTTTCCACTGAGAATGCATCCAAACGCCATCCCTTTGCCTTTATGCCCTTCTCTGCTGGGCCCAGGTATGGAGAGACCCAGTATCCCAGGCCCTCAGGACTGGGGAGGAGAGGGTGGATGACATCATAGGGGAGGCACTATTAGAAGGTACTCTGAATAAAGGGGAATCATGCTGGGTTTGTGGTGGTTCTAATGCAGGAGGCTTCTTCTTGCAATTATCATATTCCTGTCCCTGGGAAGTGGGTGGGATAGATGAGTCATTCCAAGAGAGAACCCCATGCCAGACCCCCACCATGTGAATCTACCTGGTCTGGGACCCTCACCATGCTCCCAAGGTTTGTTTCATAAGCCCAGGTCAACCAATCTATCAGCCAGTTATTCATCCAAAAACAGTTATTGACTTTTGTTGGCTGCTAAGAGCACTGAATGTCATCACTCTGGATGCTCCATTGCACGATGACTCTTTGTGCTGCTTGCTACAGGAACTGCATTGGGCAGCAGTTTGCCATGAGTGAGATGAAGGTGGTCACAGCCATGTGCTTGCTCCGCTTTGAGTTCTCTCTGGACCCCTCACGGCTGCCCATCAAGATGCCCCAGCTTGTCCTGCGCTCCAAGAATGGCTTTCACCTCCACCTGAAGCCACTGGGCCCTGGGTCTGGGAAGTAGCTCTGATGAGAATGGGGTCCCAGATGGCTCAGGCTGTGACCTCCCTGGGCACCACCCTCCCCAGGCTGGGTGTGGAGGAGTTGGGGCCCCCTGCCTTCAGGAGGCTTGTAGTTTAGAAGGGAAGTAGGCATTACCATAGACGACTCCTAGAGGACAGTGCTATGTAAAAATGTGTGTCTATAAATGTTTATCATGCATGTATTCTAGAGCTCATTCATTTATTCAACAAACATTTGGTGAGCACCTATTTCGTTCGAGAAACTTCATTTATCTCCTATAATTGGCAAACTTAAAAATGCAGCAGAAACTTACATTCCAACCTTAGAGACTCATAGTGAGCACAAGGAAAGTTTTGCCCTGAGATTCATGGTTATGGCTGGGTACCACCAAATAGAAGAATGGCTTAGGGGAGTGCCCCTTCACTGAGATGTGTTTCTTTGTTGAACTTTGTGTGTGTGTGTTTAGAATATAACAGACATAAGAAAAAATTACCTAAATGAAGACTGTACAAAATAATAAATAATTCTGAAGCAGACTCTCTTGTAACCATCACTGAAGTCAAGAAATATGGAATATGGTATCACTGATGTGTCTTCTGCTCCTCCTGAGATGGGTCTCTGTGGCACCCCTGCCATTGTCAGTGTCTGTGTCTCACAGTCACGTGGTGCTCCAGGCATTCAGGGTTCAGCTGGGGAAGGTGGCCAAGTGGCATTAGAAGGGGGTTTCCTGGAGGAAAGGAACCCCTCTCCCCCACTTGAATCAGCTTAAATCAGGCCTTGAGGAGGCCTGGGAGGCTGGATGGGAGGGGGCCATTATTCCACTTCTGTAGGAAGGGAAGGAACCTGTAAGACACTCATCTGGGAGGAGCTTGAGCTGAGGCCTCTGATTCTGGCCTCTTTGACCAAGACTCCATCATTGTACTGACACTCTCCGAGAGTGTGTGTCAGTGTGAAAAGGAGCTAAGAGCTTTGGTGTGAGAAGGGATAGACAGGCTCCCTGTGGGAGGGAGATAGGAGGCTGGGGAATGGTGGGCACCAAAGATGGATTCCATTTAATTCTTCCAGTTCTCTAAACACACTCTGCTGCCTCCTATGATCCTGGACATGTGTGTACATGTGTGTGGGTTGAATGTGGAGTGTGCAATGGACACATACAGGTGTGGCTGTGCCTGAGTGTCTCTATATGGTGTCATGGAATGTGCACAGATGTGCACTCAGCCTGAGTCTTGCCCATTGCATGGACTGAGCAGGTTACTTTTTGGTCGCTCATTCATGCCCTATGGGATCCTGTGGTTAGAGCAACTCTCCATGGCTGACCACCCAGAATTCTGAGCCCCCACTGTCCTTTGTTCTCTGAGCATGGCCAGCACGAGCCCTCGCGTGCTATCTGATACTAGGGACCTGCTGAACATCCTGTGCAGGAAGTTCCCAGCCCACTCTTCTGTCCCAACCCTCTCCCTCTGACCCCAGTCAAGCACTGACTGTCCAGGCTGCTCCTTTCCTGCCTCTTCTCAGAGCAGGGCTAAAGTAACCCAGTGATTTGGGAGGTCAGGGGACTGGGAGGGAGGTTCTGCCTACAGCCACCAATTTAGGGAGAAGCCCTGTCAGAGAAGCAGAAAAAGATGTCACATCTTAGTAAAAAGAAGGTCTGTCTATGGCATTCAGGGACCTGGGCTAAAAATGGGGGACACCTGTGCTCAGATCCAGCAAGAGAAGCAAGGTCTAAATGGAGAGAAACTGGCACAGCAGGGACACCAGTCCAGTGAAGCTGTGAGAAGTAGGGGACTGGGTGTTGAAACAGCTCCAAGGCAGTCACCAAGTGTGGACAGGGTTGAGGATGTCCCTGTTCACTCGGAGTGGCCAGCCAGAGAGGCAGGAAACCACCACAAGGCTGTGGTGTGGGGGAGGAAGTGCTTGGGGTCCGACATCCTCTCCACTGGCCAGACCCATTTGTCTACCTTGGCTCCTCCCAGACCTTGCTGGATAGCTGCCCACTCTGTGAACTTCCTGAAGAGCCTGCAGACCTCATGTGTGAGGGAGACCGACAGGTGCCTGGTCATGTGGCCAGGCTGGGCTCCCTTTTCACGTCTCATTGCGGGTATGAGAGGCTGGGTCCTTGAGGCCCTCATGCCAGACCAGGCCTGTGAGGCTTTCCTGCTCAGCTCACAACAGCCCTGCTGGTTGGGATGTGGTGTGTCACTGCTCAGACTCTGGTTGCTAACTTGATTCCCAATGTGGCAGTGTTTGGAGTCTGGGCCTTGTGGGCAGTGTTTGGGTCATGGGGGTGGATCTCTCATAAATAGATTAATGTCCTAGAAGAAAACCAAGGCAATACCATTCAGGACATAGGCATGGGCAAGGACTTCATGTCTAAAACACCAAAAGCAATGGCAACAAAAGCCAAAATTGACAAATGGGATCTAATTAAACTAAAGAGCTTCTGCACAGCAAAAGAAACTACCATCAGAGTGAACAGGCAACTTACAGAATGGGAGAAATTTTTTGCAATCTACTCATCTGACAAAGGGCTAATATCCAGAATCTACAAAGAACTTAAACAAATTTACAAGAAAAAAACAACCCCATCAAAAAGTGGGCGAAGGATATGAACAGACACTTCTCAAAAGAAGACATTTATGCAGCCAAAAGACCCATGAAAAAATGCTCATCATCACTGGCCATCAGAGAAATGCAAATCAAAACCACAATGAGATACCATCTCACACCAGTTAGAATGGCGATCATTAAAAAGTCAGGAAACAACAGGTGCTGGAGAGGAGGTGGAGAAATAGGAACACTTTTACACTGTTAGTGGGACTGTAAACTAGTTCAACCATTGTGGAAGTCAGTGTGGCGGTTTCTCAGGGATCTAGAACTAGAAATACCATTTGACCCAGCCATCCCATTACTGGGTATATACCCAAAGGATTATAAATCATGCTGCTATAAAGACACATGCACACGTATGTTTATTGCAACACTATTCACAATAGCAAAGACTTGGAACCAACCCAAATGTCCAACAATGATAGACTGGATTAAGAAAACATGGCACATATACACCATGGAATACTATGCAGCCATAAAAAATGATGAGTTCATGTCCTTTGTAGGGACATGGATGAAGCTGGAAACCATCATTCTCAGCAAACTATCGCAAGGACAAAAAACCAAACACCGCCATGTTCTCACTCATAGGTGGGAATTGAACAATGAGAACACTTGGACACAGGAAGGGGAACATCACACACCGGGGCCTGTTGTGGGGTGGGGGGAGGGGGGAGGGAAAGCATTAGGAGATATACCTAATGTTAAATGACGAGTTAATGGGTGCAGCACACCAACATGGCACATGTATACATATGTAACAAACCAGCACGTTGTGCACGTGTACCCTAAAACTTAAAGTATTAAAAAAAAAAAGATTAATGTCCCCCTGCAGAGGCATATGAGTTTTTGCTCTAACTGTAAGGGATTAGTTCCTGAGAATGTGGGTTTTGAAAGGAGCCTGGCTTCCTCAGTCTTCCGTGCTTCCGCTCTCACTACGTGAGGGTCCTGGGTTGTAGTTTTGTTTATTGTGCTTGTTTTGTGTTGGTTGACCTTCAGCCAGGAGGTGGCACTTTAAAGAGAGCATCATCTGTGGTAGTATAGGGAGGGGCCAGCCATAGAGCTCCCAAGAGATTATGTCCTTTGTCTTTGGCTACCAAGGTGAGTAGAGAAAAACTATCAGGTGGGCACAGGGTTAGGCATGTCTGAGCTCAGACTCTCCTTGGGTGAGGCTTGCTGCAGCAGCTGTGGGGGATGGGAGTGTGGTTCTCAGGCCAGTGGAATTATGTTCCCAGGGGGATTATGGCTGCCTCTGCTGTGTCATGCAGGTTACCAGGGAAGCAGGGAAAGCCATAATTATAGGCCTTACCTAGCTCCCATGCAGCCCCAAAAGCCTGTCTCATTCCCATTATGCTTCACCAACAGCACTGAGTTTATTTCCAGGCAGTGGGTGAGCAGGGCTGAGAAGTTGCCCCAGGTTGCCAGCCTCCTGGCTGAGAAAGCAAGCAGGGCATTCAGGTTTCATGCTTCCTCACCTGCTGTGGCTTCTGTGCTGTGTCTGTACTCCCAATTTCCCCCTCCCCCAGGTTCTGTCCAGGAAACTTCACGTTCAGTCAAATTTATTACGAAGTTCGGCTGGAAATTTCCTTCTTTGTGTGGTCTTTTCCCAGTTCCTCTGGCAGCCCTCCCTAGGGACTCCTATGAGACAAAGTCAGAAATGGCTTCTTTGGGGACTGAGAGTGCCCAGTGCTTCTTCTACCCCTGTATTTCACTCAGCTCTGTAAATTCATCTCAGCTCCAGGTAAGGTCAAATCCTACTCCCTCGATCTGGACTTTCAGTTTTCCCAATGAGGGTGTGTGTTCAGGGGCAGATGAGTCCCCTTTCACACTTTAGACACTCACAGTTTTTTGACTGTTTGCCGGGGCCTGCAACAGCAATCTGCTTCCTTCAGAGGGTCTGGGGATTCTGTCAGCTTTCCAGGTGTTTTCCTGCACTAGTTCTTGGAACAAAAATTCATGATATGAGTCTCCATATGCTACTCTGTCTGTCTGAATGGGAGCTGCAAGTTATTCCTGCTTCCTGTTTGCCATTTTTTCCCCCAATCAGTGTATATTAACTTTTAAAAATTAGTGAAACATACAGAACATAAAATTGGACACTTTAACACATTTTAATTTCATTCCATTGGAGAAATTGGTTTCATAACATCCATAGCATGCCTTTTATTCATTCAAATCCATGAAAATTTCAAAAAAATTATACTTAATATTAGTTATGATCTTTTCCCTTTTATAGGTCTACCTTTAGCTGCCACCATAACATCTGCTAAATTCACACTGCAGTCTTGTCTTCAATTGCCCAGAGAAGGTCCTACAGCAATTTCAATCCAACTTCAGTCAAGTACTATAGCTATAGTGGGAACATGTTTACTAATTCTTTTTCATTCTACAGTAGAGAAAGATTATACAACCAGAACTTTACACTCTTTTTAGGAGCCCTGACTGCCTAGTTTAGTACAATCTGTGCTGAACACAAAATGATATTTAGAAAATGATTGGTTTGTCAACCTGAAGTCAAGAAGCTCTACTAAGAGTAACCGTTGGTAAGAACTAACCTTTCTGGCACTTTTACATACCTCTATGTGAGCATTTTCTAAAGCTTTATTATTCTAATACTCTGGATCCATTATTCATCATTTAAATGACAAGACTTTTTTTTTTAAATAAGACTTTTAAAAACTCTTTTACTCTATCCTCAGTAATATTGGAAGCCTTACAGTCATAGATGTACCATTCCTGACCCGTGTCTATTGTAAAGAAAAAAACAAATCTGACTTTTTGAAATCACTTTATATTAAATAGTTGAAACAATTTTCATCTAAATAATGAACACTGACTTTACCCCAGGTAAGGCTTGTTAAGGTGACAGAGCTGGTAATTGTGTAGAACTTAGACTTATAATCAGAGGTGCAACTCTTCTGCTTAACCATATGTTCATTAATGATGAGAACACATAGACACATAGAAGGGAACAACAGACACTGGGTCCTATTGGTGGGTGGAGGGTGGGAGGAGGGAGAGAATCAGGAAAAATAACTAATGGGTACTATTTATTAATAATACCTGGGTGACGAAATACTCTGTACAACAAACTCTCATGACAAGTGTTTACCTATATAGAAAACCTGCACATGTACCCCTTAATTTAAAATGAAAGTTAAAAATAAAACAAACAGAAAAGTTTATTATTAATCAACTCTTATTAGTTATTCCTGTTTAATTAGCCATAGCATTCTTAGTATTGTACAAAATTGCACAAAAAGTTTTAAGACATACACAACTTTGACAAGGACCTAGTGTTATTGCCCCCATGGACTGCTACAACCATTTGCAAATGCTTTCAAATTGTTTCTTCAAGAATCATTGTACCTGTGAGAGAAGCAGCTTGCCACTGCAAACTCTGTGAGACAGTCAAAAAACTGTGAGTTCCCAAAGTGTGAGAGGGGGAAAAGTCTGTCTCTGAACACATATCTCCACTAGAGAACTGGAAAGTCCAGAGCATGGAGAAGGATTTAACCTTACCTAGGGCTGACATGGATTTAGGGAGCCAACAAAATATAAAAGCAGAAGCAGCCATGGGAAGGGCCCTATAGGCACTGCTGGTCCCCAGCTTGAGCCCAGGGAAGCCATCCTTGACTTTACCTCACAGGGATCCTTGGGGAAGGCAGCCAGCAGAATTGGGCAGGGATTACAGGGTGAAGGAAGCTCCTAGTTGAACTTCTTTTTTTTAATTATACTTTAAGTTCTAGGGTACATGTACACAACATGCAGGTTTGTTACATATGTATGCATGTGCCATGTTGGTGTGCAGCACCCATTAACTTGTCATTTACATTAGGTATTTCTCCTAATGTTATCCCTCCTCCCTTCCCCCACCTCATGACAGGCCCCAGTGTGTGATGTTCCCCACCCTGTGTCCAAGTGTTCTCATTGTTCAATTCCCACCTATGAGTGAGAACATGTGGTGTTTGGTTTTCTGTTCTTGTGATAGTTTGCTGAGAATGATGGTTTCCAGCTTCATCCATGTCCCTACAAAGGACATGAACTCATCATTTTTTATGGCTGCATAGTATTCCCTAGTGTATATGAGCCACATTTTCTTAATCCAGTCTATCATTGTTGGACATTTGGGTTGGTTCCAAGTCTTTGCTGTTTTTAATAGTGCCACAATAAACATACGTGTGCATGTGTCTTTATAGCAGCATGATTTATAATCCTTTGGGTATATACCCAGTAATGGGATGGCTGGGTCAAATGGTATTTCTAGTTCTAGATCCTTGAGGAATCGCCACACTGTCTTCCACAATGGTTGAACTGGTTTACACTCCCACCAACAGTGTAAAAGCATTCCTATTTCTCCACATCCTATCCAGCACCTGTTGTTTCCTGACTTTTTAATGATTGCCATTCTAACTGGTGTGAGATGGTATCTCATTATGGTTTTGATTTGCATTTCTCTGATGGCCAGTGATGATGAGCATTTTTTCATGTGTCTGTTGGCTGCATAAATGTCTTCTTTTGAGAAGTGTCTATTCATATCCTTCGCCTACTTTTGATGGGGTTGTTTGATTTTTTCTTGTAAATTTGTTTGAGTTCTTTGTAGATTCTGGATATTAGCCCTTTGTCAGATGGGTAGATTGCACAAATTTTCTCCCATTCTGTAGGTTGCCTGTTCACTCTGATGGTAGTTTCTTTTGGTGTGCAGAAGCTCTTTTGTTTAATTAGATCCCATTTGTCAATTTTGGCTTTGTTGCCATTGCTTTTAGTATTTTAGTCATGAAATCTTTGCCCATGCCTATGTTCTTAATGGTATTGCCTAGCTTTTCTTCTAGGGTTTTTATGGTTTTAGGCCTAACATTTAAGTCTTTAATCCATCTTGAATTAATTTTTGTATAAGGTGTAAGGAAGGGATCCAGTTTCAGCTTTCTACATATGGCTAGCCGGTTTTCCCAGCACCATTTATTAAATAGGGAATCTTTTCCGCATTTTTTGTTTTTGTCAGGTTTGTCAAAGATCAGATGGTTGTAGATGTATGGTATTATTTCTGAGGGCTCTGTTCTGTTCCATTGGTCTATATCTCTGTTTTGGTACCAGTACCATGCTGTTTTGGTTACTGTAGCCTTGTAGTATAGTTTGAAGTCA